>NC_000014.9:101429714-101732714 GCF_000001405.40 Homo sapiens
ACAGCTTCACCAGCATCTATTGTTTCTTGGCTTTCTAATAATTACCATTCTGACCGGAGTGAGATGGTATCTCATTGCGGTTTTGATTTGCATTTCTCTAATGATCAGTGATGTTGAGCTTTTTTTCATCTGTTTGTTAGCTGCATAAATGTCTTCTTTTGAGAAGTGTCTGTTTATAATCTTTGCCCACTTTTTGATGGGTTTTTTTTTCTTGTAAATTTGTGTAAGTTCCTTGTAGATTCTGGATATCAGACCTTTGTCAGATGGGTAGATTGCAAAAATTTTCTTCCGTTCTGTTGGTTGCCTGTTCACTCTGATGCTAGTTTCTTTTGCTGTGCAGAAGCTCTTTAGTTTAATTAGGTCCCATTTGCCAATTTTCACATTTTTTGCAATTGCTTTTGGCATTTTCATCATGAAGTCTTTACCCATGCCTATGTCCTGAATGGTATTGCCTAGGTTTTCTTCTAGGGTTTTTATGGTTTGGGGTTTTACATTTAAGTCTTTAATCCATCTTGAGTTAATTTTTGTATAAGATGTAAGAAAGAGGTCCAGTTTCAGTTTTCTACATATGGTTTGCCTAATTTTTAATTAAATTTTTTATCATTGAGATTTAGAGTTCTTTATACATTCTGGATACAAGTCTTTATCAGATACATAATTTATAAATATTTTCTCCAGCCTTGTCATTTTCCTAAGAATATCTTTTGAAGAGCAGAAGTTTTTAATTTTGATAAAGTTCAATTTATCAATTTGTTATTTTATGGATCATATTATGGTTGTTCTAACTAAGAAATATTTGTCTAACCCAAGTCATAAAGGTTTTCTTCTATAAGTTCTACAGCTTTAGATTTTATATTTTGGACTAGGGTCCATTTTGAATTAATGTTTTTTATATGCTTAGATCAAAAGTCCCAGCACAAACTGTTGAAAAGAATATTCTTCCTCCATTGCCTTGGGGAGTTGTCTGTATAAGTGTGGGTTTGTTTCTGAACTTTATTCTGTTCCACTGATATATTTGTATATTTTAAGCCAATACTGCACAGGGTTGATTACCATCAGTCTATGATAGGTGTTGAAATCAAGTAATGCTAATCATTTTTAAAGTTGTTTTGGCTATTTTAGGTCCTTTATAGTTCCAAAGGAATTTTAGAATCAGTCTGTCGAGTGCTACAAAAAAAAAAAAAAAAAAAATACTTGCTCGGATTTTGATGAGGATTGTGTTAAATCCATATAGCAGCTTTGGGAGAACTGACATGTGAATAGTAAGAACGCTTCAGATCCATAGACATACTGTATGTCTTCTCCACTTGACGTCTTCTTTGATTTATCTCCTCAATGTTTTGTATGTTTCAGTGCATACAACTTGCACATCTTCTGCCAAATTTATCCTTACATATTTTATATTTTGGATGCTGTTATAAATGATATTCCTGAATTTCAATTTATGATCTTTTTTATTCTTAATATATAGAAATGCAATTGATAGCTGTGTTTTGATTTTGTATAATGCAACCTTGCTAAGCTATTTGTTCTGGTAGCTTTTATTGTAGATTCATATAATTTTTCAAGACAACCACATCATTTGTTCATAAGGTCAGTTTTACTTCTTCTTTTCCTATCAAGTTGTCTTTCGTTTCTTTTTCTTGCCTGATTGTCTTGGCTAGGATCTCTGGTATGATAATGAATAGAAATAGGAAGAGAACATATCTGTGTCTTGCTCTTGACCTTAGAGTAAAAACATTCAGTCTTTGACACAAGCTAAAGAATTTATGTAGATGCCCAATATCACACTGAGGAAATCCCCTCGATTCCTAGTTTGCTGAGAGTTGTTTTTAGAAATGGATATTGGATTTTGCTAAATATGTTTTTGGGTAAAGAGAAGGAGGGTGTCTATTGAAATGACCACTTGGTTTTTCTTTCTCAGTTTGTTCATATAGTGTGTATATGTGTATCTACTATACACATATGTATAGTGTATCTACTATACAATGTAGATTGATTTTCCAATGTAAAGTCAACATTGCATTCCTGACAAACCACACGTGGTCATAATGTGCTATCGTTTTTGCATATTGTTTCATTCAATTTGCTAAAATTTCATTTAGCATTTTTGTATCCACGTTTATAAAGGACACTTTCTGTGATTCCCTTTTCTTACAATGTCTTTGTCTTATTTTGGTATTAGGATAGTACTAGCCTCACAGAGTGAGTTGGGAAAGGTTCCTTCCTCTTCAATTTTTAAAAAATGTTTGTAGAGAACAAGTATTATTTCTCCCTTAGATGTTTGGTAGAATTCACCTGTATAGCCATTTGGCTTGACATCTCACTGTGGGAAAGTCTTTAACAACAAATTCCATTTCTACAGTAGACATAGTGTTATTCAGGTTATTTAACTTTTAATTGGTAAGCATTGATGATTTGTATCTTTCAAGGTATTTGTCCATTTCATCTAAGTTGCAAATTTATTGGCATAAAATTTTTCATATCATTCCCTTATTGTATTATAAATAACTGGACAAGCTATAGTGATATCACCTTTCTCACTTTTTTTTTTTTTTTTTTTTTTTTTTTTTGGAAACAGGTTCTCACTCTGTCACCCAAGCTGGAGTGCTGTAGTGCAATCATAGCTCGCTGCAGGCTCAACCTCCTAGTCTCAAGCAATCCTCCTGCCTTAGCCCCCTGAGTAGCTGAGAGTATAGGCACAGGCCACCACACCTGGCTAATTCTTTATTTTTAATTTTTTTGTAGAGACTGGATTTTGCAGAGACTGTGTTGCCCAGGCTGGTCTTGGACTCCTGGGCTTTAGCAATCCTCCCTCCGAAGCCTCCCAAAGTGCTGGGATACAGGCTTGAGCCACTGCTCCCGGCCCTTTCTCATTTTTGATACTGTAATTTGTTTCTTCTTTTTTCCTGATCAATCTGTATAGAGTTTTATCAATTTTATTGATTTATTTAAAGAACCAGGTTTTGGGTTCATTTGTTTTCTCTATTGTCTGTTTTTATTTTTTCATTGACAGCCACTCTGGTCTTTTTTATTTCCTTTCTTCTACTTACTTTGAGTTTACTTTGCCCTTCCTTTTTATATTTGTTAATGTGGAAAGCGAGATCTTTCTTTTTTCTTAATATAGGCATTTCATGCAACAAAATTCCGCTTAAGTGTTCCTCTAGCAGCATCCTACAAATTCTGATATGTAGTGTCTTCATTCAGCTGAACACGATCCCAATGGTGGGAGCTAGAACAATTGGAGCAACAAAACAAATAACACAGTATTGGCTTACAGCCCAAAGCATAAGATAAATATCCATGAGTCTATCCTGATAGAAATAGATGATTGAGTAAATAACTAAAGGAGGACAGAAGAGCTGAGTCTCCCATGCAGAACAACTCCAAATACTTTATGTAGATTCTCTGCCAGCTAGGAGACAGAGCCTAGCTCCCTGCTCACGTGGGAGCTGTGCCTAGAGACTTCCATCCAAAGATGATGGCATTGGAAAGGGGTAATGAGTGACTGTCCAGAGAAGAAGGCTGACAAACACTACGTCCGTCTGGTGATGAAGGTCAACATTAATGGTGATAAGCCATGTTGATGGTGGGCACCCTTGGGTGGGATGTGATGAGAATGGATTTTATCTCTGTAGTCTTCCTTCCAAAACCCGTAAGCCCATATAATCACAAGAAAAACATCAGACAAATCCGATCTGTGGGATATTCCACAAACTACCTGCCCAGGACTCCTCAAAACTGTCAGGGTCCTCAAAAATAAGGGAAGTCAGAGAAATTGTCAAAGCCAAGAGAAGCTGAGAGAGACATGATGACTGAACATAACATGGTGTCCTGGATCCTAAAGAGAGAAAACTAAAACAACAGGAATAAAGTATGGACTTTAGTTTAAATAATGTGCTCATATTGGTGCATTAATTGTGATGAGTATGCCATACTATTGTGAGATGTTAATCTTAGGGGAAACTGGGTGGGGGTAGATGGGAACTCTGTGCTATTTTTGAAAATTTTCTGTAAATCTAAAACTATTCTAAAATGCAAGTTTCTTTTCTTTTTTTTTTTTTTTTTTTTTTTTGAGGTGGAGTCTTGTTCTGTCACCCAGGCTGGAATGCTGTGGTACGATCTTGGGTCACTGCAACCTCCACCTCCCAGGTTCAAATGATTCTCCTGCCTCAGCCTCCCAAGTAGCTGGGATTACAGGCACCCACCACCACGCCGGGCTAATTTTTTTATTTTTAGTGAAGACGGGGTTTCATCATGTTGGCCAGGCTGGTCTCGAACTCCTGACCTCGTGTTCTGCCTGCCTCGGCCTCCCAAAGTGCTGGGATTACAGGTGTGAGCCACCGTGCCCAGCCACAAGTTTCATTTTTAAAAAAATCTATGGGATATGTTGAAAAGAAATATAAGGGGAAAAATAAAAATTTGAGAATTAGAAAGAGACGTATATATTTCTAAAATTATTGACATTAGGTATCGTTTCATTTAAGTAGTCAATTTAATTGTGTTATGTAACAACTCTTTTTAAAAGTCAATATTATAATGTCAAGACTTATATATTGAATCTTATGATGAAACTTTCAAATAACTTGACAATGTTGCAAAAGGAACAGAGTTTTTCATTCCAAAAACATTTAGGAAATGAAAGAAAAGTCATTTGAGTCTAGTGGTAGAGAGGACCTGAGAGAAGAGATTGCACACTCCACCCCAGTTCCCCATGGCCATTTAGACAGGGAGAGATGGACATATAAGTGATTCTTACAGCTCCCTAAACTTGTGTTTGAAAACTGGAGAAGGGATAAGAACTCTAGTGTTGCTACCTCCCTGGACCCCTACCTGGATGGAGTACTGGTGAGGCACGCATCCAATTCAGCTGATGATCCCTTTTTTTTTTTTTTTTTTTTTTTTTTTTTCAGACAGAGTCTCACTCTGACACCAGGCTGGAGTGCAGTGGCACGATCTCGGCTCACTGCAACCTCTGCCTCCCGGGTTCAAGCAATTCTCCTGACTCAGTCTCCCGAGTAGCTGGAATTACAGGCGTCCACCACCACGCCCATCTAATTTTTGTATTTTTAGTAGAGACGGGGTTTCACCATGTTGGCCAGGATGGTCTCGATCTCTTGACCTCGTGATCCTCCCGCCTCGGCCTCCCAAAGTGCTGGGATTACAGGCGTGAGCCACCGTGCCCAGCCTGATGACCCCTTTCTTAAGGCTTCCTCAGAGACAGCCGAGAGCCAGGATGATGCTGCATAAACAGCCCAAGAGAACTAGTCAACTCAGGCAATCAAATGCCACCATTCCAGCAGAGATTGCCAGCACTAGCATGAAACTGACCAAACCAGAGTTGGAATAAGACTACAGAGACTCCAGCATCTGGGGGAGCCCTGGTCTCTTCTCGCTGAAGAGCCTGACCACTGCAACAGTCCTGTGTGGCTGGAAATCTGAGGTCTCTGGAGAAGGCTTGAGGAAACCACAGAGGCTCTCTCGGAATGGCACGATTGCATTTTACGTTTTCTGAATGTGTGGGGCACATATGCTCTTAATAAAATATTCATATCTGGAAAAAACCTAAGTAACTGCCTATAAACATGTATCTATCTAAAGGTACTAAAAAGAAATGTTTTTCAAGTTATTAAGGTGAGCCGATCCTGCTTACGTTGTTAGTTATTAAAGTAAGTTTAATTTAAATTTTATTATTTTTATACCATATATATTCTATCTGCAAAGGAAAGGTAACATCAGTGCCAGCAAAACCCTGAACCTCATTTCACGATTGACTAACACTCAAACACTCACCACATCCATAGATGATTCTGTGCCCCTGTTGGCATCAGGAGCTGTCCTGTGCCCTGCAAGGTGTTTATCAGTATTCCTGGCTTCTACCCACTATACGCAAGTAGCACCCGCTCCTTGAGTGGTGACACAAAAACATCTCCAGACACTGCCAAATGTCCTGCGGGGAGCAGAATCACCACTGGTTGAGACCCAGGGTCTGAAAACTACAACCGTAGAAATCCGGCTCACTGCTTGCTTTTGCAAATAAAGTTTTATCAGAACACAGCCGTGCCCATTCATTTCTGTTTTGCCTGTGGTCCCTTCCACACCACAGTGGCAGAGCTGAGTTCATGCAACAGAGACAGTGTAGCCCACAAAGTCCAAACTATTTACCATCTGGCGCCTTATAGAAAAAGTTTGCCACCCGTACTCTAGTTTCTACCTCCTAAGTCTCTTCTAGATCCATATTTACCTGTCTCCTGCCTCGCTGTTGCCACCCAGCCCACCCGGATCAACTGCCACCTGGATTTCTGCAAAACTCCCAGGGCACTCCTGCCTCTGGTCTGGCTGCCCTTCAGTTCATGCTTCACAGAGCATCCTGGGGGACATTTTCCGAAAGCACAAGGTTCATCATGTCACTTCCCTGTTTAATGCCTTTGGGTGGCCTCCCCTGTGCTTAAGATAACATGAGGCCCCTTCACATGGCCTGTGAAATTCAAAGATTGACCCCATCACATTCCAGCCTCTAAAAGGTGTCCATGAGAGACTTCCTTCTGTCCTGCAAGCAGGGAACACAACAAAACCCAGCTCTGACCTCCAGACACGAATATTCCCATGGACCTGTGAGCCTGGGTTTACCCTCTGCACCGTGTGGCATGGCATCTCACCTGCGACAGGTGCTCCGCCAGATGTCAAACAGCCACACAGCTGCCCCTGTGCTGTTAGCTTCTCATACATATTCAGTTAATGTGTCAGCTACTCCACTCAACCCCAACATTAACCATAGGAGACTCTAAAATTTAGTGTTTGCTGAATAGTCTCCGCAGCAGGGATTTTCCAGTTTTTTGATAATGACCCAAAATAAGAACTGAATATACAAAACATCGTAATCTAGTACACACATGCTTCTGTGTGTGTGTGAACACATCTGAGACATACATTTCATGATAGAATATTTACCTTTAGGCCGGGCACGGTGGCTCACACCTGTAATCCCAGCACTTTGGGAGGCCGAGGCGGGTGGATCACAAGGTCAGGAGATCGAGACCATCCTGGCCAACATGATGAAACCCCATCTCTACTAAAAATACAAAAATTAGCTGGGCATGGTGGCACGCACCTGTAGTCCCAGCTACTTGGGAGGCTGAGGCAGGAGAATCGCGTGAACCCGGGAGGCGGAGGTAACAGTGGCCGCTGCACTCCAGCCTGACAACAGAGCAAGACTCCATCTAGAAAAAACAGAAAAAAAGAATATTTACCTTTACTAGTAATGTTTTTTATTGTTTTCTATTTCATTGTTTAAATTTTGGTCACAACTCACTAAATTACTTCAATTAACCTACTAATGTGTTGTGATGTACAGTTTGAGAAGCACTGCCCTGCAGCTTCTAGCAAGGTGACTTGATGAATTAACTAAGTGATGAGCTGGTTATGAGAATATCCAAGAAACAGTTGGAAGGGCCTGGATCTTTAGCTCTGGGTCTTTGGACTTTCCAATTTGTTAGACTTTGTGGCAAATGACCCGATCCTCCCTCACAAATGCCGAATCCCTCAAAAGGGCCCCGGCAGAAAGAGGAATGGATACAAAGGTGCTGTTGCGAGTGTGTTTACCCAAATCCTTGGGCTCCTGCAAAAACCCTGTGGATTGACAACTTCAAGGGAGCCAGAAATGACCAAAGATTAGCTCAAAGTAATCCTCCAGAAAACGACTGCCAAGAGAGGCTACAAATGTATTCCCCCAAAAATGAGAATACATGGATAAAAGCAGAAAAATTTTTAAAACTTAGAATCTGTAAAAAACAGCGTGGGGCACTGTGCATTGGTTACCACTGAATGCACGGCTGTAGGGATCCGGTGGGCTCAAGTGGGATCTGGTGGGTTCCGGTGGGCTCTGGTGGGCTCCGGTGGGGTGGGCACAAGGTACCAACTACCTTCCATCCTGCTGACCTTGGCTGGCCATCTCAAGTTAGGCTTACCCCGCTGGCCAGCCTAACTCCTGAGCAGTCCCCAAGCTTCCCTGCCCTGTCCCCTTACACACCAAGATTTGACTTTATAAATTATCAACTCACATTCCCCAAATGAAGCAAACTTAACTTTGACCTGTTAGTAGATACCATATGCCTCAAGGTGGTTTGTAAACTTGAATGGGAAAAAAATTTCTACCTTTATTTTCAATACTTTCTAACAGACATTTAGAACACTTGCTTCAATTATAAACGTAGGCAAGAAACCTCAGTGGTATTTGCTGTTCCTGTGACTTTGCTGTCAATAGAAATCACAAATGTTTTCACACATTAAAGCTGTTGCAGGTATCTCGAAATATCACTCGCACTCATCACTACTCCGAAATCGTGGTAGTTGTTAGATTTATACCACTCGATCTTATTTAAGATATTAATAAAGAAGCACATATGAATATACATCACAAATGTGGCTTTTGATATATTGTCACCTTATTTCAATAGAACAGGTTTCCTTTGTGACTCTTGGTACTTCATTCATTTAAAAACATTAGTCTGAGAAAGGGTCTGTAGGCTTCACCAGGCCACAAAACGGCGACCGTGAAATGGGTCACAACAGAAAAAGGAATCTTTGATGAATGCCTCCATAGGCCAAGCAATTTGCAAAAAAAATTATTTCTTCTTATTTCAGCTACTTTATTTTTTAATTTTTAAAAATATTTATTGACTTGTATTCTCCAATTCAAAAAATAATTTGATCTTATTATAACAAGTGAAACAATGCAAGAAAAAGATATACAAAGGCAGTCTATCTTGGAAGTTTGATACACACATCACAATGGACTGCATAACAACATAGATTCAAATAAAGTGTTAGGAAGCCAGCTCAGAGAAAGACAGTGAGGCTGGCAGGTAGAAGAATTGCTAGTGATGGTGTTTCCATTGTGGACCAAGTAAGCAGTCATTCCCATAAGATGTGAGCAGGCGCCCTGTGCAAAAGGATTCTGTGGTCACAGTGGATGAGAAAATGCTCGGTTAATCAAAGGCACACTGCATTTTTTTTAATACACTAAAATGCACTGAGAATCTCCAAAGGAGAAAATATAATATGCAAGGTTTCTGAAATACAGTTGTCTACAAAATCTTCCTCTCTCCTCCCCAACCCTCCCCAAGAACTTTCTTATATTCCCCAGAACATGGTTTGGGAATTGCTGAAACAGGGTAATGTAAGTTTCATCCTGACCTCAGCCATTTAAAACATGCAGCCAACAATGGCTACATCTTTTGTTTTTCTCTCCTTAGGTCAGTAAGGAGATATGAGATTTTTTGTCTTGCCAGAATTCTTTATTTATTTACATTAAAAACGAGAAAAAATATATAACCACCAACAAAGGTTTCACTCTTTTTTTTTTGTACTAATATACTTCAGACTCAGCTTTTACCTTGCTGGAGGGAGAACTTAATTACTTACAGGTTTTTCTAGAACAGTCCTTAGTTCAACCCTACCACAGTTTACACTGCAGCCCACATTACAGAATTCCACTGGCATTTGGCTCTCCAGTCTCCCTCTTTAGAGTGGTAATACAGTGCTCTCAGGGTTATACACAGAGAAGTTTAGAAAATACCAGCCAGTTGAGACTAGTTGGCCCCTCCACTCAGAAAGCTGCAGAATGCCTTTCACCCAGCCACACCAAAAGATGTAAGGAGCAAAGAGCTCCCACCAGCCACGCACACAAAGGACGTGTATGCTCACCTGGAAATCAGTGGCTAAAGAGGTAGCACCCTTGCGGGGACCAGAAGGGACCCAAAGAGGCCTGAGGAAAGTGAAGGAAACTAGAAAAGACAGCAGAGTCTCACTCCTATAAGTAAACTTCAAACTTGCTTTTAAAATGATTAGCAACACATTCTGGTTTGTTTATAGTCTATACATGATCTCGCAGAGTCAAGAAAAGACAGACTTCCCTCTGTAACCTTTCCACTTGCACCAATGATTTCCAGATCATCGGTGCCTGAAGCCAATCGCCTGCTTCAAAGAGGCATCCTTTGCAAGAGCACTTGTGCGTTCAGAGTTCCAGTGGTACCAAGGATGACAGTGAGGCTTTTGATAGTGATAGGCGGCTTAATGAAGAGAGCCAGGACAGCATGCTTGCTCTGCCCCCACTCGTTCACTTGCTCCCTAACAGTGAATCGGGGGATGGTCTGAGGCTCTCCACTCCCTAACCAGAGCCCACTGAGCCCAGACTGCCACCTCGAAAATGGGTGATGACCATCGTTTCCTTGACCAGACAGGCCTCGACATCAGCCTTTCTATAGAATGCCAGAAATGGCAGAGCCTGCCCTTGGGCGAAAACACTTTTTAGATAACTAATCAGCAATAATGCTGCAACTGACCTGCCTGCAGGCTTCAGCGGCTCCAGATCTAAATTACCCTAATTTTTCTCCCCCAAAATTAGGCATAATATTATAATTTCAAGGAACGCAAGAGCCATTTCTCCCATCATTGGATACCAAGCTCAAGATGTTACAGGAAAAAGAAATAGCTTTTACTGCTGATATGAGAATTTTAAAAGAGAGACAAGTGTGAGCAAACAAAACCTGTCACATCAAATACTCTGGCAAAAAAAAAAAAAAAAAAAAGCTAGAAAAAAAATGCCAGAAATGCTGAAATCTAAATAAAGTCATTTATTTGTTATTTTAACCCCTTCACTGTCAGAGCTACTCTGGCATAAGGCTAGTTAATTCTCCAGAGGTGAGCTTTATTAAGGACAGTGCCCTTATTCTTGCAGCCATTGTTTTCTTGTCACACAGTTCTCTTGATTATCTGGTCCCTTCAAGGGGTTCCACATACAAATGGGGTGCTGTTGATGCTCCTTGGGCCGTACCTCCTTTTAAAGTATGATTTTTTCAGAGAATTTGATTTTATCCAATTTCCACCATGCTAAGCAAAAACACTAGACTGTGAGATCCCGAAGGGCAGCAGCCCCGTGACCCTCATGGTTCTGGCACATGGAAGGTATTCAAAGCATGAGATGGAAATTGCTTTTTGAACTCTGTGCCTTAGGCAGTTAACATGCAAGCAAAGATAAGATGCCTTCGGCAGGGGAGGCTATGACAACCAACGAGAAAAATGGAAAAACACCAATTGGATGGGTCTGCAGTTGATCACTTGCTCTTCCTTGGTCAAGTTCATGAGCCTGTCTCCTGTTTCGAGGATACATGCTTTTATAAATGTTAAATAAGCTAACACTGCTGAAAGGGCATTGCTAATGGAGGTCTGTGGAAATAGAGGGAAATATTTCTAATTAGAAGGTATGGATTGGGCACTCACTGTGTGCCAAGCACTACAGTGGACCCTGAAATGAGTCAGCCACAGACTCGGTCCTCCAAGATCCCCGCTCCTCCAGCTCCATTCATTTTAGCCCGATGCAATGAGGCTTCTTTCTGCCTTCAGGAATTGCTTGGGCAATGGTTCCCAGGACCTTCTGACTCAGAGGATTCCACAGACTTTTCAGCCCTTTCTTCTGGGAGGTCTCCGTGGCCTTCCCACCACTGCCTCAGTCTTGTGGTGGTGCCGCTCCCCATGGGGGCTTCTCCCACCCTCCCGGCTGCTCCTCCCCCACCTCCTGAGCCCACCTCTAGAGGCTGGGTCATCTCGGGCTGTTCCTGCGGTCTCTTCTGCTCTCTAAATACCCACTGTCCAGGAACGCCCACCCTGCGGTGGCCTCAGCTCCCACCTACAAGCCCAGGACTTTTCTCCCAAGTCCTAATCTTATTAAATATGCTGCCTGCCTGCAGGCTGTATTCACCAGCCATCTTCTCGCCTTCGCCCAGGAGTTGATACCACCACTGAGAGGGCACTGCCAAGCACCTATGCAGGGAGGCCCGGGTCCCTCTGGGCCCTGTCCGGGCCACATCCTCAGCATTTCTCTCCGTCTCAACAGCTCAAGCCCTGTGGTACCTCTTGCTGAGCCTCTGGGGTTCTCCCAGAAGGCCAGCCCCACCCTCGTCTGACCCCACAGTCCTGCCTCTCCAGTGCGGCTAGACTGTCTTCCCCAGCTGACGCCCATCTGCGGTTCCCCACGGCCAGTCTCAACAGTCTCCTGCCTGCACCCACTCCTCAGCCTTCTCCATTGGAGGCTCCCCTCCTCAGACACACAGGCCTGTCTGCTGCCCCATCGTCTCTGCGCAGGCTGCTCTCTCGGTGTCCCTGGCCCATGCCCACTCCACGCTCCAGGGCTCAGCCTCCTCTCCCGCTCTCCACCCCACCCTTCGTCTCCTGCCCTCCACCCCACCCCTCCTTTCCCGCCCTCCACCACACCCCTCCTCTCGGGCTCCTGGGCACCCCCCCGCCACCTGCGTCTCCTGTCGTCAGCAAAATGCACTATTTGCTCATCCAGTGCCCACAGTTTGCCCACCGGACGGCCCTGCTAGGTGGGAAGCTCCTTGCAGGCAGGAACCCCATCTCCTTGACTTTACTTTGGAATCCCCGCAGCCTCATACGGGGCTGAGGCAGGTCCTTCCGTAAAATGGAACTGAATGAGCGGCGCTTAATCCATCCGCCAAAGGCCAGTCTCCCTTGGGTTTTCAACAGGTAACATGAGCTTTTAAAAATGAGTCTTGTTAAATGAAGTGCCCTGATTTTCAAAGTTATGCCCACACAGAACGACAGGGCAGGGGCTCCCTTCCAGAATGACAGAGCCCTGGGGCTCGTCTGACCACTTCTCCACCCCCAGATTCCTCTCATCACCCGATGCCTTTACTTTGGGACTCTTCCAGGTCGTTCCTCACCTCGTGCAGCATTGCTGTGAGTGGGCGACAAGGAACCTCGTGGTCTCCGTGTGCTTTGCGGGGACCACCTCTTCGCAGGGGCCGCCACCTGCCTCTCCGGCGCTGCATCCTTAGCATCCCCACTGCCCCCGGATCTCCTTCAGGGAGGTGCGGCGGCAGAGCGGCCCCAGCAGCCTCCTCCTGTGGCCCAGGCGCACCAAGGCGAGCGCGGCCACGAGTTCCGGCCCAGCGCCACCCAGACTCTTTGATGTGGGTTTGTGTGTGGGAGAGTAAAAGATGCACACACCCTCCGCAAGTCTAGAATTTGTGGTTTTTGTTATCTCACAACTTCATATTTGGAAGAAGTATTTTAATGTCTTATGAGTTGTGAATAATTATGTAATTCTGCCACTTTCTCAAAACCAAGATTTTTCAAACGGACTGCTCTAGTCTGGAGCTGACATCCTTAAGAGAACTTTGCTTTTTTTCCTGTGGGTTTTAAGCAAGAGTGTGCCAAATGAATTCTTTCGTCCGCTTAAAACAGTTCATTAGGGGGAACCATCCTGTAAAAGGAAAGGAAAGGAAAGGAAAATCCTTCCTTCTTCAAATGAATTCTCAAAAATTACTTCTGAGATGCAAATGCTGCCTGAGTGTTTGAGCTCCGTGAGAGAGTCCACTTCCCAACTTGTTTTCAGTCTGCTGTTGGGTGCTACTGAATTTCTTAAACATTGTGTTTCTCCCTTATCTGTGAATTAGCCATGTGTTCTTTGGAATCTCTTCCTGGGTCTTCGTTATTCTTCCTCAGTTATTTAAGAACCTAGGGAAGGCCCGGCGTGGTGGCTCACGCCTGTAATCCCAGTACTTTGGGAGGCCGAAGCGGGCGGATCACCTGAGGCCGGGAGTTTGAGACCGGCCTGACCGACATGGAGAATCTAAAAATGCAAAATTAGCCGGGCGTGGTGGCGGGCGCCTGTAATCCCAGCTACTCGGGAGACTGAGGCAAGAGAATCGCTTAAACCTGGGAGGCGGAGGTTGCAGTGAGCCGAGATTGCGCCATTGCATTCCAGCCTGGGCAACAAGAGCGAGACTCCGTTAAAAAAAAAAAAAAAAGAAAAGAAAAAGAAAAAACCCTAGGGAAAGGGTCACGAAGACTGCATCATCAAATGACACCATGAACTCCTCAAGGGTCTACCCATTGTTTTAACTTACTGCCCAAAAGGTACTTCTCATTCGAATAGCCCCCATTCTACAGTCATCTCTATCAATCATCATGTCACTTGATCATGACATCGTTCTAAGCACCTGTAACATCCCAGACCCTGTCTGAAGCACCAGGAATGCTGGGTGAGCGGGACAGAAGGGACCACAGATCCTCACGTTGCCTTATCAAGTTTAGACTCTAGTGGTCCCGATGGCTGATCTCATGACAT
The DNA here is from genome assembly GCF_000001405.40 of Homo sapiens. NCBI lineage: Eukaryota > Metazoa > Chordata > Mammalia > Primates > Hominidae > Homo > Homo sapiens. The sequence continues at coordinate 101,443,864 of NC_000014.9, forward strand.
TCAAATAGGAGGCGATCATTTCCTTAAATACAAACACGAGATTGTCAATAGTTAGGATGTGCTTATTTTTCCTCCAGGGCATAAGATTTTTTTTCTTGTATGTATTTCATATCCCTAGCTGGAGAAATATCAAAAGAATCTGAATATCACCATCTGGAAGTTGTGCCATGGACTCCAGTGGGCAGGATTCGAGCTGGGATTCTCTTCTTCCTCTAGCAGTGTATTTCTTCTGCTTAAAATGAGCACAAACACATCTAATTCCCTAATGGACCAACTCAGACCTAAAAGTCTCTTATTCTTTGCCCGCCTTCCTCTACCCACATGGATTCCTGGGATTCTCTAAATGCAGATGGCAATGGGGAGGGCTGGGGATTCCCATCAAGGATATTTGATCATCGGTGACTTCACTTAACCAATAAATCAAACGTGTTGAAATACACACATGTCAGAAATGTGGTATGCTGTTACTCACTCAAAAGTCTGTTGGTCTGTCTTGGTTGCGATTGGGCAATGAAGCCCTAGGGACTTATTTCGGCTTCAATAGTCTGTAACCCTCAATCAATATTTCGTTAAGTGTCAGTATTCATTCCTAGTATTTCCCCAAGTTTAACTTGTTCCTTTTGAAACGACTGGTATTCTTATGAGCCAGAAGACTGTTATTTGAAAATGTTTCCTTTTTTTTTTTTTTTTTTTTTTTTTTTTTTTTTTTGAGACGGAGTTTCACTCTTGTTGCCCAGGCTGGAGTGCAGTGGCACGATCTCGGCTCATTGCAACCTCCATCTCCCAGGTTCAAGTGATTCTCCTGCCTCAGCCTCCCGAGTGGCTGGGATTATAGGCACCCGCCACCATGCCCAGCTAATTTTTGTATTTTTAGTACAGACGGGGTTTCACCATGCTGGCCAGGCTGGTCTCGAACTCCTGACCTCAGGTGATCTGCCCGCCTTGGCCTCCCAAAGTGCTGGCATTACAGGCGTGAACCACCATGCCCGGCCAATGTTTCCTTTTTTAAACCTTCATTATATATCACTTTCACATTTAGAACTCTCTTCGCCTCCATCTAGAAATATTTTCGTTTTCTCTGGATGTGCTTCTGTCTCCCGCTGGACAAGCCTGGCACTCCGGGAAGAGGACCCTGTGTATCACGACACCTGGCACACAGAAGAAGCTCAATAGGCACTGAATGATTTTTTTTTAACATTGAAGTTGTTTTTAGCTCTCCCCTATTAGCCGTTAGTTAGCAGTTCACATTGTATGTGGAGTCTGTATTTATAATATAACATTAGTTCTGCCCTAAAATTCCACAGGACAAATTCCATTTGGAAACGTCCTCTAATTGTCATGCAGTGGTTCTGTTCAAACTGCGGGAACATTTCTAAATCCCACAGCTCTAACAGGCTGCCTGCCCATTACAGAAGGAGACTTCAGGCGGAAATTCAAAACACTTGCTACTGTGACATCTGCCCAGCAGTACTAATTTACATCCATTTGTATTTATTATTGTATAGTTTGGGATGTAATAAGATGCTGCCATCACCCCCACAAGCCTCTGGAATACTGAGGAGTGGTATTGCATGTCATGAAGCACGCAGGCTCTTCGAGTTTGACCTCTGCTTTGAATTCCCACTTGACCCAGGATGAGGAAGTCTGACTGAGCAGCGGTTTCCTCATCTGTAAAATGGGTATAACACCAGCACCTATCTTGCTGGATTGGCACCTGGAATAAATGAGAAAGCACAGGCCAAGCCCTCCAGCATTGGACACAGTCAGCATGTAATTAATGCTAGCTCTTCTTATTAAATTCCTTTAGCTTAAAGACAAAGTAATCAGAGACACTTACAGAATTACAGAAGAGTTTATCATGCCGTTCTCTTTGAGGAAAACAGTTAAGCAGTTTTAATCCATTTTATAATAATGTCTTACATAATCCTTACTCAGAGCTTTAATCAAAAAGGTTGTCTTTTAATAAACAAGATTCACATTTAGACTCTGTCTACACACACAAGCCAGTTTTAAATGTCACCCAGATTAAGTCAAACAACCGATAATTAACAATGTTTTACATGTAACTGGTTTTGTTTGTGGACCCAGTCCTAAACATTTTTTTACCAAGTAACCTTAAATATGTCATCAGATGGGTTTTTAGTAGACATATCTGAACCTAATTTTGTAGCTTAAAAATAGTATATTTTATTCACTTTTTTTAATATTAAATATGTAGGATATTTTAATACTTGGCCAATTCAAGTGTTGATAAGTAACATCTGTCAACATTTACAATATTATCTAGCTCAGTTATCCAGAATAAACTGAGAATCTTCTGGATTTTTAAAACAATTCTCAGGCCCTGATTTACTAGGAGAGTTTGGGAGGACCTTTATGCAGACAAACAACTCATAGTTTAAGTTGGCTTCCGCTCCTTTCTAACACAAAGATAACCGCGAGGTGGAAAAATATCACTTTGTGAAAACGACATCTTAGCAAAACAGATCTGTACAAGGCAGAACTGGACAAAATATGTTGATTCACATTACCACTGACTTATATCAGACATTCTATCATTTTATCTGCCTCGAGCATTTATCAAAGTAAACTGCTGCAGAGTGCAACTGCCTCCTTGTCGGCCGGGACAGGTGTTACCACATCTATCGCCTCGCCTGCTTGTAAATGGGGATAGCCCGTTCCTACAGCTAATCCTGGCAACACAAGCTCACCTTCACACAGCAGGATTGGGAGGCTCTGGAAGGTTCTAAGGCCAAAGACAGAGCCAGGTCTGCTTGGAAGCCATCTGTGATCCCCGTTCCTACCCCTCCACCTTGCTCATGCCTCCCTCTGCAGCGACCAGCCTGGCACCAAAACAGCACCTGCCAGGGGAACTTGAGGATTTGGCTGGCCTGGGGCTAGAGCTGTCCATTCCCACCAAGAGGAAGAGGCCCACAACCCCAGTGGCCTCTGAGGCCAGCAGAGCCTGTGGTGCCACAAGGGAACAGCCTGTGAGCCTGTCCTCCACTGCGCCCTGCGCTTCTGACTCAGACTAACACACCAGGATTTTCCATTTCAACAGCAGTGTCTGTGGTCCTCTTTTCTAAGTGAAAGAGTCCAAGCTAAGGTTGGCTAGAGGGATCCTTGCAGCTCCGGAGCAGGTGTAGGGCTGATACCAGCCCTCTGCTGTTATTTGACAGCTTGCAAAATGTACAAACTGGCCAGATACAGGTGTGTGCTTGCATGTGTGTGCATACACACACATATCTGAATATATATGTGTGTGTATCTACACATCATACTAATAAACTAATAACTTCCATGGGCAATAAATTTTCAAATTTCTTAAGGATTCAGATAAGGAGAATGTATATAATCAACACATTAATTATTATGCATACATAAACATACTAATACTCTTAATACGCCCTTTGAAAAAATATATTCAACCAGCTTAATTTTTCTAATTTTGTTTTTGTTAAATCCTGTTTTCTTATTAACTATTGATTGCTAAGCAGCAGGCAGTGTGCTAAGTATGTTACCTGGATTATCTGGTTAATCCTTCCAATAGCTACACGGTGAAGACACAGATGTCCACATCTTCTGCAGATAAGGAAACTGAGGGGTAATAATAAATAATTTGCACAACACAGCACAAAGCTGAGGAGCCAACACTGGACCTGACGAAGTCCCATTCTGGAAGCCAAACTCCCAACTGCTAAGCTCTGCTTGAATTCTCATTGAGCATCTCGCTTCTTAAAAGTTTCAACAACTCAGCAGTCTATAATCCAACTCGCCTTCTCCACAATGCCAAAAGGTAGAAGTGACACTTTCTTTTTTTTCTTTCTTTTTTTTTTTTTTTTTTGAGACAGAGTCTCATTCTGTCACCCAGGCTGGAATGCAGTGGCGCGATCTCAGCTCACTGCAACCTCTGCCTCCTGGGTTCAAGCGATTCTCCTACCTCAGCCTCCCAAGTAGCTGGGGCTACAGGCACACACCACCACACCTAGCTAATTTTTGTATTTTTAGTAAAGAGGGGGTTTCATCATGTTGGCCAGGATGGTCTCAATCTCTTGACCTTGTGATCCACCCGCCTCGGCCTCCGAAAGTGCTGGGATTACAGGCATGAACCACCAAGCCTGGCAGTGCTTTCTTATAAGGGAGGTGCTTTCCCTATCCATGAGGGTATTTAGGGAACCATATAAAAATATATATGTAAGTTGTATAATGGTAATTGATAGACATAACACAGTTAGTTAAAAATGGCGTCAAACAATAGAATAACTACTTTCCATCCTTCATAGATTCAATACTCATTTAGCTGAGGTTTATCATTGGCCAACATCAGGGTTGAGCTCTGGGAGGGAGAATAAAAAGTAGTAGGCACCCTCTTCTCCCCAAGAACTCACACTGATCATACAGATAAGATGTGTGTGGTATAACACTTGCTTTCCATGAAAATAAATTGATTAATCACATCGAAAATAGAGGAACAAATAATGAAAGTGTTTCTTAGGGCAAAAAATAAGAGCGCTGGGGGTTTTCATACCCTAAAGGTAGTCCTTTTTCTAACAACCAAAGAATTGGCCATGTCTACTCCTGACATATAGCCGTCCTCCTTTGCTACCAGGAATAAACAACAATTTGACTGAGCCAAATAGCAGATGCAATTTTGCATGAAGCTAGTAATACTGTTTATGCTTTACTATTTTTAATATGCTATAAAAACTATTTGTCTTTTCAAAAAAAAATTTTTTTTACAGATTTAATGCCACTGCCTTAACTTTAAACCAATGGGGTAGACATTTCTCCTTCTCTTTTCAGGGGCAAATTTTGGAATTATTTTAAAATCAGTCTGATGCCTCACACATCACGGCTGCTAAACTTGGGTATTTGTTTTTCAGTGCAATGAGCTTCATGCTGAATACTGATTTGAAGTGTGGTTCACCACACAGACTTAAATTGTCCTTCCCACAACTTTATCTGAGAAGCATGACAACGGTGACAATCACAGGACTAGTTTTATTGGGTAAGACTATTCTATGTGCAATTTATTCTGACAGGCTCCACAATTTTTAAGTGCAATTAAATCCTAAGAATTTGCCCAGAAAAAAAAAAGTCTACCACTTTTTAAAAAAAATTTTTTTTGAAGAAAGCAGAAAAAACAGTTGAATTGAACAACTAATTACTAACTGGTTGCTCTCTTGAAAAAAAAAAAAAGATATTTGACAGAGCCTCAAAATCGATTTCATTATCTAGACAGGCAACTTTCTGGGTCTGAGAAAGAGAAGGCTTCCAGGAGGTCTGCAGCCACCTGCTTCAGCCACTGCTGGTATCCACATCTTCAAAGCGGAGGTTTAGCCACACCCAGAGGGGGGAATAACACTTGCAGAAAACAACGCTCAGAAATTGGCGTCACCTGATTCCCCACAGCAGAGCAGACCAGCTGTCTCCTGTACAGGTGGAAGCAGCTTGCACGCTTCCTGCCATCCGCATGCTCACTCCTCCCTCACAGTCCCAGAAATGGAATCCCAAGAGGCCGCTCAGGCAAGCCAGATAGAGCCACCCATGTGATCAAGCATTCAGGGCATGAGGGCCCCCACTACCATGGCCCGGAAAATACATGCATCAACATGACTCATGTCATTTGCTTGCCCTTGGTGAATTTCACGTTGCATTTCTAACCCGAAGCTAGGGTCGCGATTGTCTGGGGCGTAGAGTCCCTACCACTTCTAGGTATTCCACATTCCCAGTCTCTATTCAACAAGAGGCTAGGCTGACACTGAAGCAGCTATCCAGGTTATTCTTCAGAAATCAGATATTTTTAAAGTGATGCCAAGTTACACCTAACATCATAGAATATTCTCTTCATGTGAACTTAATTCAGTAGAAAACATCTTCGGCCAGACACCTGCAGCTGGCATAATCTGGCTATCTGGTGCCTGCTGCTCCCTCTACCCTTGCTGCTGCCCCGACCTGCCCCATACCCCAGCCCCCATTGGGGTCGACGGTTTCCCAGAGATACTCAGCCTTTTGGTGCTCCTCTCTCCTCCTGGTATACCCCATGCATTAAGCATTGATCCTCCCATCTTGTGTGCCCCCAAGACATCTACCACTGTTAACACTAAAATGGCCTTGCCTGTCTCACCCAATTTGGCTCCGAACTCATTGAGGACCACCTTACACACTCCCCAGCACCTCACACAGTTACTGGTACAGAGCAGGCTCCCGGGGATGTTTGCTGAAGGTCTTTTTTTCCCTTCTGAGCTGCTAAAACAACAGGCATTAAACAGTCACCTGGGCCACATTGTTGCTGTGAAATGTCCTTCTCTGCAGATCGTAAGCCCCGTGACGTGATGGCAGAAACCGCGCCCTCCTTTTGTGCCCTAATACCTGGGCCAGTGCTCTGGGCCTATTAGATGCCAATAAATGTTTCTTGAATAAATGAATTAAAGACAATACTGATACAGACATCCTGAGAGAAAGCCGAAAAGGTCTAAAAATGAAGGCATTCCAACATCCATGTGCACAGAACATTGGGAAAGCTGTCCATCAGCGTCTCTCTTTTGTGACTTCCTATTAAGGTGCTCCGCAGAACTTGAACTGACCTATTGCAGTACAGCACAGTACTAGGGACACAGGCCAGGTGGAAAGAGATTACTTCATCTGCTTGCCATGCAAAGCAGGGCTGAGGATCCGAGGCCTCAACATGGAGAGTGGGACCCCAGGGCCCTCACCCCTCCCTTCTCAGGCCATTTGTTCCTTTTTCCTGGATGACCACCTCCCACCTGTCACCCCCTGCCTTTGCCTTCCACTTGGCCAATGCTAAATCACCCTCTCAGACTCATCTCAGGTACCACCTCTCCAAGGACGCGTTCCCTGACCCCTCTGGGCCTGGCCTGGTGTGAATGCATACTATACTGTTACCCTCACTGGACAGAGACACTCTCTTCCTTTTTTTTTTTTTTTCAGACAGGGCCTCACTCTGTCGCCCAGGCTGGCGTGCAGTGGTGCGAACCTCCACCTCCCAGGTTCAAGTGATTCTCCTGCCTCAGCCTCCCAAGTAGCTGGGACTATAGGTGTGCTGCCACCACATCCAGCTAATTTTTGTATTTTTAGTAGAGACAGGGTTCCTCTATGTTGGCCAGGCTGGTCTTGAACTCCTGACCTCATGTGATCCTCCCACCTCAGCCTCCCAAAGTGCTAAGATTACAGGTGTGAGCAGCCACGCCAGGCCTGGTCACTTCCTTTCTGAGTATCTCCACCGCTACTGAGTGAGGACCTTGAGCAGTGCCAGGATTTGCTGTTGCTCCTGCCTCCCACCCTCTCTTGAATCCTGCTCCCTTTCCCCCTGCCTGGGCCTTTGCCACTTCCCCAGATTTTAATTATGCAAAATTAAATAGCTGCTTCATAGGCGAACAGCTGGATACAACACCTTGCAGTCTTCAGGGGAAATGGTGCAAGCATAAAAAACAGGAAGAGCAATTTAAGATTAAAATACTGCTTTGAGGCTGGTGTGGGCACTGTCTCCAACAGAGGCTGACACTTGCCTGCTGGATTTAAACCTGCCCATGGTCAGGCATCAAGCCCCCCATGCCAGGCCTAGGGGAGACAGAGGAGGTGAGATGGCCACACCCTCAGCCACCTTTCCTACTACTTTTGGCAGCTCCACGATTGGCACCAGAATGGCACTTATTGGAGGGTTTTCTCCCTCGCAGCCCTCCTAAGAATCGCCTGCTGCCTTTCCTCCTACCCATTCTAACCCTTCAAACCCAGGGGATGCTGGGCTTCCGACCCTCTTCCCCTTTTATAAGTGTAAGGTGCTATCCCTGGGAGGCCAATGCTGTTGGCTGCACACTTATAGAACCCCAAGTTATTTCCAGGACCCCCTAAAAATGTGCAATGCTGAAACAGGACTGTTTTACTTTGAGCACCAGATGAATTCTGGAACAGTCAGGTGCAAAACTGAATCCTGGCATGGCGAATCATCTTCCCCATGGCTTCCATTTTAATTTCAGAAGTGCATTAGTGGAGGCTGAGAACTTGCATCCAACACAACATGAAATCTAATGAGGAATTCCGACATTGCCTGAGAGTGCACACAGCCCATGTGCATTTCATTTGCCTGTATGTGCCCTATAAAAAATTCAACCACTTTGGGAGGCCGAGATGGGCGGATCACGAGGTCAAGAGATTGAGACCATCCTGGCTAACAGGGTGAAACCCCGTCTCTACTAAAAATACAAAAAATTAGCTGGTCGTGGTGGCAGGTGCCTGTAGTCCCAGCTACTCAGGAGGCTGAGGCAGGAGAAGGGCGTGAACCTGGGAGGTGGAGCCTGCAGTGAGCCAAGATCGCGCCACTGCACTCCAGCCTGGGCGACTGAGCAAGACTCTGTCTCAAAGAAAAAAAAAAAAAAAATTCAACCAAATTCAAACGCACCATCTTTTATAATAAAAATCTCTCTAATATTTAAAATGTACATCATACTCCCATTTAAATCACAATGCTTACTATTTTTACCCAAAGTGCTTCTATTTCTTGAAAGAGCTGATGTTTACTAGAATTGAACATGGGTCATGCAAGAAGCACTGAGTCAAGATTGGCTGGGACTGCGGAATCCTCTCTCTCCTGCAGGAATCCCATCCACACGCTCCTGGTTCACTTTCATCATCTGAAGGACCTCTTCGTACCTAGATTCTACTTGTTATGTGCAGTTTATTTTGGTTCTAAAGGTCAGAGGCAAATATTAATAAAGGCATTTGCAGCCTTTTAAGCTTGGAAGATATTCCTGGCAGGGCGAGGGGCAAGACATGGCATCAGAGGTCATTCACCATCCCCGGCACTGTGTCCCGCCGGCCACAGGACCCCTGCATTCACTCCCTTACCTAGTAGTAGGATATATGGAAATTAGCCTGGGAAATGTTGTATGTTAGCATAGTTCATGTTTAATATACTAAAGCATGGCCTTTAGTCCATAAGGTTTTATGAATTACCCGAACATATACAAGCATTCTTTAAACAAATAACACTTAAATACCAGAGCGACAATTAAAACTGACCAATGGAAAGGATCTGGAAGGCCCTGGAACAAGTGCCTTTTCTTTTTTGTTGTTTTTGGGTTTGTTTGTTTTTGAGGGAAACAGGAGAGGCTCTGAAATCCAAGTCTACGGTCTCTTACATGAAAGTGCAAAACTCCAAAAAGCTCTAAAAACCAAAAGTTGTTACTCAAATTTTGCAACCCACCCTGACATGCGGATATCTAAGGTCTTCCTGTCACTCCACTTAGAGTGACCATTCCTATGTTCACTATCCAAATGCCCATGCAATTGGGAAGAAAGGAATCCCAGGCTGGAGAAGTCTAGAATATCCCATTACAGTCTTGATACTGTATTCATTTTCTATTGAAAGAAAAAAAAAATCTCAATTCTGAAAAACATCCAACCACGCAGGTTTTGCAGACTGGTACTATTAGAGTCTGACATAAACAGGGGCCTGGCATGTAATTAAGTGAGAAGGTACCCAAGCTACATTGAAGAAGGACGGTGACTCGCAGGGTTAAAACTGAGAGCCTGGCTCTGATCCAAAGCTGTGTTTAAAGACGTGCAAACATACCACACCGGTTCACCGATCATCAGCCGAAGCTCCAATATCAATTCTGTGTTAAACCATCAATCTAAAGTGGATATTTTTGTTATTTTGTTTATCTTTTTTCCCCCATCAGGACACCCAGTGAACCAATTTCAAATGACACCTGAACCTACATATTTTTCTTAAACTACTGAACTGGAACAAAATCAAAACATCAAAATATTCTCCAAAAGTGGCGGGAATGGAATCGGGATTTCATTTCGGTTTAAGTCCCAGGTTGAAAAGACACAAGATGGTCAGGTCATCTCATGGATGGAAAGAGCTTAAACCACCCACCCATTTTTGAAACCTTGACCTCGAGAAGAAAGAGAGAAAGCTTTTAAGTTTTTAAAACAGCTGGAAAATCATACCATCTGTGCATTTTTACCCAGCCATACTCCAAACCCAGCTCTCTATTTTATATACCTGTTTTTTTCTTGTGATTATCTCACTGTTCCTTGCAAGAATGAGCCGATAATTTGATACTCCAGAGGGAAGTTCAATTTCTCAGCTGAAGATGAAGACTCAGGGGTGGCCTCCTTCAGGAATTGTAAAGTTCAGGGGAGAACGGCAATCCATTTTTATATGCTAATACTTTGTATTTAGTTAATTTGATTAAGTGGTAGGAAATGATACCTTGCTCGTAGATGGATCGTTCGCACATTTGCAGTAAAACCTAAATGCCAAATTTTCCTCCTTCAAGTTCTTGAGAGAGTTATTTTCATCACTTTCATTTCTTCCTGTACCACAGCCATTGCTCATCTCTTTGTTCCCTGAAGAGCTTTAAAAGTAGCTGTGTTCATGTCATTTTTATCTTGTTACTTTAATCATGTGCTTATTGACAAGAGCGGAATTTGTCATCCTCTTCCAAGCAAGCCCTGTCACCAGTTTTTCAGCGTGATTCAGCATAAGTCATGCTCCCCTGAGGAAGGGACACTAACCCAACCCACCCAGGAACACAAGGACGTCACTGGAGAGGAACTTTTCCCAAAATCCCCAGGACCTGCCTTGGTGCAGGGCAACTTCAAAGGAGAGGGTCTTGTGTGACCAGGAACAGATAACCTGAGGAGGCATCATCCTTTCCAGGAGCCTTCGCCATGACATGGCAGCACTGTTAGAATGTCTTGTTTGTTTCTCCAGAGTCTGTTCCTTTTCTTAGGCAAGTCCAGAATATCCAAAGCAGACAGAACTGTTTGGATTTCTGGATTTGCTTTTGTTTGTGTTTTCTCTACTTTCTATTGCAGTCCAACTGAGTCACATTCATTTTTTAAACAACTTAAGATTCCATGTCATTTAAATAGTGTTATGTTGTTTGAGAAAGTCCAGTGGCAGGTCCGGTGAGTTCAGTGAAGAAGCATGCCCACTGCTGGCCTGTGGCTTCGGTGAACGGGTGCATTCTTTTTTTTTTTAAGACAAAGTCTTGCTCTGGCACCCTGGCTGGAGTGCAGTGGCACTATCTTGGCTCACTGCAACCTCTGCCTCCCAGTTCAAGTGATTCTCCAGCCTCAGCCTCCTGAGTAGCTGGGATTACAGGCATGCATCACCACGCCCAGCTAATTTTTTTATTTTTAGTAGAGACAGGGTTTCACCATCTTGGCCAGGCTGGTCTCGAACTCTTGACCTCAGGTGATCCGCCCGCCTCCACCTCCCAAAGTGCTGAACGGGCGCATTCTTAACTGTGTTTCTCCTTCCGACTTGCTGAAATATGAGTGATTTATAACTCAGCATCCTATTGACTGACGGATGGCCTGGTTTCTGTGTGCTGGGTGCTGACAGAGCCCCCAGAAGTGCGTAAAATGATACTTGCTCACCAGGGGTTCCCATTATTTTCTCCTCAACCAGAAACATTCCCAGAGACATGCCACACAGTGAGAAATAAACATGGTGCAATAAAACACAGACGGTACCGCGAGGATCCTCTGTGAGGAGCAAGAGGTGGAGACAGTCCCAGGGGAGTCCACAGTGGGTGGGGTCAAAGTGGGTCTGAGTGGTGATGGGAGAGCTGGGTCTGAGAGGTGCCATCTGGACAGGTGGAAAGAAGGGTGGAAGGCATTTCAAGCAGGGAAAAGGAGGTAAGGGAAGCCCAGAGACAGTGGGGGAAAGGCTGGTTAGGGAGTCAGGGAAGAACTCAGTGCAGTCAAGGAGGAGGATTTTGAAGGCAGGGCTGAGAAGTGCCTGAGGTTGGATGTGGAGTTGGGAGTCTTGACCTTTCCCACCCAGGCCTTGATGTATCCCAGCTGAGAAGATGCAAGGTCAGCAGGCAGGCTAGGGTGGCAGATGGACACAAAACCAGAGACCAGGGACCAAGGAGTAGATCCCTGCGACAGCAGGACCAGGACAGGCAATGAAATTTGAGAAAAATTTCAAAATAATTGATGACTAAGAGAAAGCAGTCTAAACTCCAATATTCAGTTTTTGCACACCTATCTTTAATGATCTCCTTACAGTTAGAAAACAGTCCATTTTCCCCATAATCGGTAGTCGTTTCATTAGCATCTAAATTATAATTCCTTAATTATAAGCCTATCACCTATTCTGCTTTCCAAAAATTAATCCAGAAGCTGTCAAATACAAACTTATGTTTAATAAAATGAACATCTGTGATCACACACCAGGAGCAAAATCCTAATTGTTCTAAACCCGGCACTTTGCTTTGACAACCAAGTACCTTTTTTTTAAATACTTTATTTCTTTAAAACACCTGCTTTCTTTACATACTGACTTTTAAAGGAAGAGATTAAATTTTATTGGCAGGAACAGAAGTTAGTCTCTAAAATAGCAAAGGAAGAACTATGCTTTATAGAAAAGTTGCCTGCTACATTAAAAATAAACCAGAATATGAATCAAAATCCACAAATCCAACAGGGGCCAATCCCCAATTTTCCCACAAAGAGAGCCGACAGTCTGATAACCTCAGCTCTTTGGAATTAGGCTGTTGGTGGCGGCTGCAGTCCTTGTTCCGATGGTAGCCGCACCACCCCAGCCCAGGATGGCTGTATTTCCATTAGAATTGGCTGTCCTGCCCTCTCTGCCTTCGCCACCCCCCTTCGCCCAAGTCCGGTTATTCAGTGAGTTATAATTTGGCACTAAAACTCAATTAAGCTGAAACGTTGGTCATACGTGGTGTTTTTCCCAGCAAAGCATAATTTCTTTGACCCATTTTCCAAATGTCAGTAGATCGATTTTAAAGCACAGAGAGGTAAAAGTTTGTTTAAAAATCCAGCTCGCATTTCTAGAAACTGGCTGGAATTTTTTTTTTTTAATTTCAAATAAACAGTCAGGATGTGGTGTTACTATATTAAAGCGCTTCAAGTTTTCATAGCGCTCGTCAAACAGAGACCTCGGAACGCTCTGCAGACATTAATTAATGTTCGCTCCGGCCCTGGAAGCCATTTCACCAATGGAAATTCCGATGAGAAAGGAAGAAACGAGGGGTTCAAGGCCGCGCCGTTGTGAGTCCGCTGCGGAACTAGGAACTGAAACCCCGTGGTTCCCAATGAGCCAGCGAAAGTCTGTCGAAGTATTGAGCACCCCTATTGAAGACTGTGGGAGTTTTGGCGGCTTAATGGGATTGTGTTCGGTCCTTCAGGCTCTCCTTTAAAAGATTCCATGGCACCAACGAGACTCCAATAAAAGGGCCTCTCTAATTGCTTTCTGACTTTCTATGAAACTTTCTAAGCTATGCTGACATCCTCGAATACAACTATGGAATTAAAGAGGAGAGAAAGGCGAGGCACAGTGGGTGCGCAAAGAAAAAGAGGTTCTCAGCGGAGCGTGTGTGAGGCGGGGGGTTACGGGGGAGGGGAGACGGGGCGGGTGTGAAGTCTGTGCCGGGAAAAGAAAAATATGAGTGTTCTCTTTTGTGTGCGCACAAACAGCCGAGCGCGGGGAGGTCGGGCCCGGGGTCACGCGGCTCCGGGCTGCAGCTGCCGCCGTGGGGCGGGGGGTCCCAGGCGGCCACCGGGCGTCGCGGCCGCCTGCGGCATCAGCATTCCGGCGGCGCGGGCGGCCGCTGTCCTCGCGCGACCCCAGCCCGTCCAGAGCGCGCCCCGGCACCGACCCTCGGGGCGAGGCGAGCGCAGCCCCCGCTGGCCAACAAGGTAAGCGCGGCGCGGGGAGCGGTGGCCGGGAGCCTGGGCGCCAGGCGACCCCTCGACAGGGCGCACGGACCGGTTCTCCGCCGCGCGGGTCGATGACCGACGGGGAGGCCCGAGTCTGGCCCCGACGCCCTGGCCCGGTGTCCCCGACGCGCCTGGAGCCCGGGAGGGAGGCGCGGGCCTGGCCTGGGCCCAGGAGGATGGAGCCCGACTCAGGGCCGTCTCTCCCCGCTTGGGGGTGCTCAGGAGGGCCCAGGGTACCTGCGCGGGCACCTTGGCGGCGGGTCACCCTCCCTCCGAGCCACTCCGTCCGTGGGCAGCGGCCTTACCAGGTCCGAGCCGGACGCTCAGCGTTGCCCTCCGCGAGCCCCCAGCCTCCCCTCGAGCGCCGCGGGAGCCCCAGGTGCACACACGCAGGCCTGGGCCGGGCCTCCAGGCCTCTGTCCTTCGGGCGGGCTGGGAGGTGGCCTGGCGATGCCCGCCGAGGGGTGGAGAGGGCGAAGCCAGGGCGGCGTCGGCGAGGCCATCAAAGGCCGGGGGTGGCGGCCCGCCGCGTTGCCCATGACCAGGCCGAGGGCATGAAAGGATCTTTATCCTCCAGTGACATTGCCAGGCCGGCGCTTTTCTGCGGCCTCCCCCTCCCGCGGCCCTAATTGGGGCCGGCTGCTAATGTGATTAAAGGCCAGTTAAACGTTTCTCCGAGCAGGGGGTGGGAAGAGGCCGAGACCCCTGCCCCCTCCCCAGGGTCACGCCAGGCCCGTGGTCGGGGGTCGGCGACGGTGCCAGCCTGGGACGGCCTGGCCAGGTGCCTGCCGATTGTTCACCCCCAGGCGGGCGGGCCGGCGGGCTCCCGGGGCTTTATGTAAGCCGGTGGGCTTTGGGCCCGACCGGATTTAGGGATTCTTTTCGCACAGTTTCCATTTTCTGGCCTTTGGAACTGCGCCCTAAGCCCTCGGGGCCCTCCCCCTCCGGTGCCCGGCGCTGGCGGGGCCCAGCCACGGGGGCGGGCTGGGGGTGCCAGGCTTTGGGGGTCTGGAGGGCCTGAAGCAGGTCGCGTTGGGGGTCTCACTACCTAAGACAGTGACTCAGGACAGTGGGACCTGGGTGCTGTGCTGCGGCCAGGCAGAGCCTGCGACCCGCGGCGCCCCCCGCGGCCTCGGCGACAGCCCGGTTCCCACGTCGGCGACGGCGTGGGTGGTCCCGCCCGCCCGGGAGGGCTCCGAGTCTTGGCCGCCCGGGGCGCGGGGCCTGAGAGCGAGTGTCTGCGCCGCGCTGCCCGCCGCGCCAGTTTCCGAGGTCGCCCGCGGGCTCATGCCCTGCGCCCTGGGGCCCCGGGGACCTTCTCCAAGCCGGCCTGACCTGGTGGAGGCTGTGCGCTGCGCTCGGGGAAGGCCGGGCTGGTGCCGGGGGCAGCGGGTCCCAGCTCTGAAGTGCCAGCGCCGGCGCCCCACTCCCCGCCTGCTACGGTGCTCTCGCCCGGAAAGGCCCGAGGCCCTGGAAGGAGCCCCGCGGGGGGGCGCCGTCTGGAGCAGCCCTCAGGGGCGCCGGGCTGCCGCGACGCAGTGGCTGTAATTGCTTCGGGGTACCTGGGGATCGATGGCGTGGCCCAGCCGGGTGTCTGCGCCTCTGAGGTTGCAAATCTGGAACCAGTTAGGATGCGGGAGGCAGATAATAAAAAGCCAAATGGGCGCCAGGTGGAGGAGTGAGCTCCGCACGTTCCATCAGGTGGCCCGGGCCGCGCGCTCGGGCGGCGGCAGAGTCTCTGGGGCACTCGGGGCGGGCGGCAGCAGGTGGGACCCGCGGCCCGACCCGCGCTAGGGCCGCCCACCCCCTCGGACCCCGGCCGGGTCTCTCCACAGCCTCCGTGCGCGTCCCAGAAGGAAAATGCTAGCAAACCGGAAGGCCGCACGGGGCCGAGCCGGCCTCAGCCCGGCCAGGAGAGGCCGTCGGTGCCCCGAGGAGGAAGGGGACCCGGCCCGGGACGGCCGCCCCGCGGTACCCAGGAAGGACGCCCGCCGTTCCCAGCACCCCAGCGTCTGAAAAATGAATGTGAACTCCGCAAGCGTGCTCCCGCGGACATTTTACATGTCGGTTGTTCACATTTTAAAAATATTCTCTGAAATAGTCTGCAGAACTTTTTCACATCTAACAAATGTCAGATTGAACAGATCAGAAGATAAGAAATGAACATGACATTTTAATTCAAGTAGAGAGAAAGCAGACGGTATTTTTAAAATAATATTTTTGTAAAAACGTATTGTGGATCTAAGATTTTGTCATGTTCAAAATGTATAATTTTTTGATATTTAAAATACACATTTTGTACATTTTCAACCAAAAAGACAGGGAAAAATTTAAAAAGCAAAAGCTGGAAACCAAGAAAAGCCTGGAGAGAAAATGGGCCGTAAGGAACCAGAGCCCGTCTTTCTCCACACCATTTTTTTTTCCTTCCTAATAGCCAGAAAGAAAAAGAAAAAGAAAAAAAAAAGTGAAAATAAAATAATTTCATATTAAACTAACACAGAGAACTAATTAATTTCTTTCCAGATGGGTTGAAGGGACCTGGCTGTTTTAGTGTGCTCAGAAAATGCTAGACTCAAGTTGGTTTTCTTTCCTTCTGCTGCTCAGAGAATCTTACGAAAAAGTAAACAACCCCAGCCTAACCATTTTTTTATCGGCTTATTGAACACAGATAAAATTAGAATCCTTTTTTATTTGAGATAAAAGACACACAGGAAAAGACTAATTTTTTTTTTAACCAAGGGAATATCTGGGGTTTTTTTGTATGAAACTGTAACATTTAACTAACATGTAATGAGCTGAACGACCTTGGGTTTGTTTCACTCTAGCTCCTCCTGAAATCTTCCATTTTTTTCTGAGATGGCTTTTCCAGTGATCTTGTGTCAGTAAGAGAGGAATATACAGTGCAGCAAATAATTTGTGCATTCGTGGTCAATACATTTCTCAGTCAAAAAATCAAAAACAGGTCAATGGCTGGTTATTAGGAATAACCTTTGAACCGAACAGGAAATGGGGAAAATACCTGTTTGTTGACGCTTGCACGCCCAGGAGGAGAATTGAGGTGCAGTTAGTTTCACTGTGTGAGGGAGAGATGCCGCTCTGTCCAGAGGGTTTATTGGAATGCCAGGCCCCAGGTGTTTGGGTGTGTCTATGCAGACAGTTAGTGCTGACCCCTGAGGATTTTGATGTGTATAATCATGCCATAAGAGGAAGGCAGGTGGGTCAATTGTCAGTGGGAGCACAGGAGATGCTGGGGCATGCCGGAGCCTGGGCAGTTTCTATCCTGATACCTTCCGTGTCCATGTTTTAGTCCCATATTGAGGACATGAAAGGTCCATTTTATGTTTCTCTCCTTTAAAAACTCCCCAGTGGCCTACTCGGCAGCATTGCTGGGGACCCACTGGTCATTTTTCATAAAAATAAGACCACAGTGTGGACCAAAACTTGGGATCTGAGATGTCCTTGAGCTCACCTGTCACATCGAGTCACCACCTGGAGAAGAAAGATTTGCTGACCTCCTACAGAGCCAGGCAATAGGACGTTCAGCCTCAGTCCTGATTACGGGTGGGCAGTTGGGTTTATGTGTGTGTGTTTGGGTTTTTTGTTGCTGTTTTTGTTTTGTTCTGTTTTTCTGGGAAAACAAAGGTCCCTTTGGGGGTACCTGGGCTGGCCGGTACGGCAAACAGGAAAGCCAGCCAGGTCAGGAGGAGACGTGGCTTCACGTTGGAATGCCAGTTTGCTTTGTGATTGTTTATTACAACTGAAGGTTTTGTGTCATCTAGCGTTGCCCAAAGTAGAAGCCCATTCCCAGGATGGATGAATCTGTGGTAAGAGATAAACACAAGAAACAAATGCCCAGGGGAGGAGGAGAAGCAGATTGCCTGGGGCAGGTAAGAGGGCTACACCTGGAAATGCATCTGCTGGGGTTCTCACCCACACCAGAATCTCTGGTCAGAGCAGCTCTCTTTGAAGAATGCCAGACAAACAGAAACCTGGCCACACCCCCACCAGAGTTACCTGATTGAAACACGAATCTGATCACTGAAAGCCTTCCTGCATCCGTCTGCTGCACGCAGGAGGCAGCTCGGCCTCCTTCCCCAGTGGCCTCCCAGCCCTACCTCTAGAATTTCCTGGCCCCTGCCCTCCTGCCACCCTGATATCTCTTACTCCCTAAGACACTTGTCCTTGTCGCCGACACGGGCCCAGCGGTGAGAGAGGCGCTCTCTGCCCATTGCCCGTGAACACACTGCGTTCAGGGCTTCTCAGAGCAGGCCAGCCTGGTGGAGCTGCTTTGGGGCCTAGCTCTGGGGGTCTCAGGAGTACCCCAGCCTGCAGATAAGGAACCCTATGCAATGTATAAGGAAAGGAAAGCATGGCCCATGTGAGCACAGCATTAGGGCCTTGGAACTCCGTGTTTAGCACCCCCCATGCTGCAGCCAAACATTGACACCCCAAGTTCTAGGACCCCATGAGATGGTGCCTTGCCTAGCCAGCTGCGTTGATGTGTGGGAAGGGGCATGTTGCGGAAATCCTCCAGCAGGTCCTGGCTCCTGTCCTGTGCCCAGCACTGGCGTTCTTGTTCAGAGAACAAAGGCCCGGAGGCCCCTGCAGAACCAAGAAAGCCTGAAAGCCGTGGCTTTCAAAGCTTGCTGACCGTGGCTGGGGTAAGAAATACATTGTGCATCTCAGCCCACGGCAAGCCAGACAACTATGTATAAAATAATTAATTAACTATACCTAGATAACCAAAACACAATTTTTGCAAAAGAATGGTTCTCTTACTAGACGTCATGAATGCTGATCTCTGTTCATCCTATTTCTTTTTTCCAAATAATGGCTGCCACCCCTGAAACAATCCCATGATCCTAATGGGCTGCAGCGTGGAGCTTGCAGACCACCCTTTAGAGCTGAGGTTGTGTGGGTTAAGCCTGAGTGGAGGGAGACCCGCAGTTCCTTCCTGCTGCATCTCCTGCCCCCACTTCCAGCCCTGGAGTCAGAACCTCCTGCTGGAATCCTAGCCACCACTTCCTACTATGACATTGAGAGGCCACCTCCCCTCCTGAGCTGGAGCCTCTGCTTCTTCCTCTTAGAATGAGGAGGACAACTCCCTGCTAGGGTCTTAGAGAGGATTCAGCGAGATCATGTACCAGATGAGGTCTTGACTCAATGTGTCTGCCCAGGCTAGCACCTGACAGTCATCTGTCACTTTTGATCCTGTGCCTCCCTGGGGCCCAAGATGTCTTCTCCCCTACCCCCCAGTAGCCCTCCAGTAAAATCCTCCTCCCCCCTTCCAATTCCACTCCAGTCTTCTCCTTGGGCCAGCTCCTCCTCAAGCCCCACTGCAGATTTTGGGACTCACAGATCTGTGCAGCGCGGATTAAGGCCTGCCACCCTGGTGGACTCTCAGGCCTGGGCTCTGCCTGGCTCGCCGGCATTTATAGACACATGTCTGATTGCCAGTTAGCCCCGATCCAACCTCAACAGCACTGTGGACACAGAGGCTGTGCTTCTTCCCATTTGCAGATAAAGTATATGGGGCCCAGGAGGTATCATCATGTGACCGTGAGTCGCACAGTTAGTGGCAGAGCTGGGGTAGGCTAGCTCTCCTGGCCTTCAAAGACCATCATGCTCATGGCCCAGAGTCCTTCCTCCTGGCAGGGCACTAGGGCCCTTTCTGACAGGCTCGCAGCAACCAGATTTGTTCCCTGGCTGCCCACCTCCACGTCCTCCACCCTGGGAGAGCTGAGTTCGTTTTCCTTTGACTGTTTTTTTAATGCTTCCCTCAGGAGGCAGGCCACAGTCTTCCTGCACCACCCTCACGGGCTCTCACTGCTGGAGCAATGATTACTCACAGATTTACCCAAGGAGAGTGTGTACTTGGAATGGCTGTCCGTGTGTTCCCTGTGCACACACACACGCATACCCGCACATACACTGTGGTGACCTGACACACACACTTCCGTGATCTCACACACTCGTGCACACACACACACTGCCCTGATCTCACACAAACACACAAACACTGCCCTGATGTCACACACACACACTACCCTGATCTCACACACTCATGCACACACACACACACTGCCCTGATCTCATACACACACACACACACTCTGCCCTAATCTCACACAAACACTGCCCTTTGCCCTGATCTCTCTCTCTCACATACTGTCCTGATCTCACACACTCATGCACACAAACACACACTGCCCTAACCTCACACACAGACACACACACACTGCCCTGATATCATACACACACACACAGACACACACATACTGCCCTGATATCACACTCATGCACACACACTGCCCTGATCTCACACACTCATGCACACAGACACACTGCCCTGATGTCACACACACACACACACGCACACTGCCCTGATCTCACACATACACATACACACTGCCCTGATCTCTCTCACACACCCACTGCCCTGATGTCACACACACACACACACACACACACTACCCTGATCTCACACAATCATGCACACATACACACACTTCCCTGACCCTATCACTCTGCACATTGGAGCTAAGCTCATGAAGGCTGCTCATGCATTTTATTTGGCAAGTCTCTCTCACATCTTTAATCACACTAGCCTGCCCACTGCCAATCAATAAAGATTAGGAAATCGATTGCTAACTTACTCTTGGGTTAGATAATAAAATTGTTTGAAACATGCACCTGGAGGAATTTATCTGTGAAGAGTCCTTTCAGAGTTTGTTTCAAGCTTTGCAAGTCTCTCATGGCTCTGAGGTCGGGGAGGCTGTGAGGGATCCTCCACGCCCAGCAGACGTGGAAGGAGCCGACGTTCTTACGGGAGATGGACAGACGGTCAGCATGTGAATAGTCCCCTGCATGCAGGTGAGGACTGGGGCAGTGCAGAGCCGCAGCAGGGATGGGCTATGCCTGGGAGCCGCCAGCTCTGGATCAGGTGGCCAGGGACGGTCATGCTGAAGAGGAAGGCTCCAGTGAAGCTCTGGAAGAATGTTCTGGTGCCTGTATGTACAAAGGCCCCCCTAATTCAGGACCTGGCCCTGTACAGATGAGGAGCAGGAAGGAGCCAGTGTAACTGAGGCCAGTGTGGCTGCAGCAAGGGGCTGGAGGCGTGAGAAGAAACAGAAAAGAACGGAGGGCCATTTCTGCCTCCCCAGTCCGGATCATCCTCCTCCTCCACCCCAGAGCCCCAGGGTGCTGAGCCTTGCGCCCCTGCCCCTCAAGGCTATGGAATGTCATTGCCACTCAGCGTGAAGGTTCTGGAGGGGACCTCAAACACCAGGCCCCTCTGCCCAGAGAGCCCCAGTGGACCCGCTGAGCCAGGGACCTGCTCCTTGGAGCCAACCACCTTGTGACTTGTGAATTGTGTTGAGTCCCGTTTCCTTTTTCCCTTTTGTTTATTGCTTTGTGTATCTGGCAGCTTTATCCCAAAGCTGCTCTCACGTGGTCCCTCTGTCCCATCCTGCCATTTTCCTCCCTCTGGGGCCCCTTGCATGGGAGACTGGGAGCAGCGTCCACCCGCCACCCAGCAGAGGCTCAGGTCCTGGAGTTAAAAGAGAAGCACAGGCAGGGGACGCTCTCCAAACTGCCTTCAGCCCGCATCTTTGAACTCTGCAGTAGGAAGACTCCTGGGCCCCCATGTCCCCATGCATATGCACCTGCATGCATGTGACACACTTCTCGGCCCATGGAGAAGACTGTCCGCACGGGGGTGTGAGCTGCCCAGCACCCACTGATCAATTGCTGCATTCCCAGCTGCCTTTAAGCTGGCATGGGGCGCCCTCTGAGGCACGCCCAGCCCCTGGGGCCTAGACTCTGGTGTTCTCTAGGAACTGTCTATCTCTGTGTGTGGGAGCCACAGACTTGGGCTTTCAGACCCCCACAATGGATGGCTCAGGCCTATGGCTCACCCCCAGCATCTGTGACCACCACCACTGCCCACCTTCTTTGCCTAAGCATTACTTCTGGGGGGCAGTTCTTCACTTATGTGTGCAAGCCAGCCTTCTAGAAAACTCTTTGCTCTCATGACCAGGCAGGCCTTGCACAGTCCAGATGGTGAAGCCCAGTTCCTACCTTCCAGTGAGGAGCACCTGACCCTTCAGGGGCGATAGACGGGGCCCTGCACAGATGGGACAGGACAGGTGGGGTGCACAGAGGATGGCAGGTGCCCTCTGAGAGGCAGGGTCGGGGCAGGTCGGGCAGGAGCCTGGCATCTGTGGCTGACTGTTTGGCCCCTCAAGGCCTGTTTTGCTCACAGTTTTGCTTCCTCCTTGCTCTCTGTTTTCCCTGCCACCTGAACTTGGTTGCATGCTGCTTTCTGTCCATTGCCCTCAGCCTCTCACCTCAGTCATGACCCTTAAGCCAGCACCTCCCCCATGCGTCTTACTCTGAGGTTTCCCAGGAGCATGAGCCTCCTCCAGTGTCATTGCGGCTGCTTTGATCTCCTTAATGGTTTTGCTTGAGTGTGGATTCATATTCAGACTCTTTTAGGGACACAAAGACCCCCAAAGTGGATGAATGCCCTATGGAGGCAGATGCCCAGTTGGGGGCCCGAGGTCTGGCTGGCCTGTCCTCCCTGCCCAGGGTTTGCTGAACACCCCAGCCACATGCTCCAGGCACACACCGAAGCTTCAGCTCAAGATTCACCTCGGAGGAGGGCATCTAGTCCAAGCCACTTCGTCTAAGAGGCGACCAAGGTGGCCAGGACTTACTTGCCATGAGACCTTGGCAAGTGGACAAGTGCTGAGAGTGGTGGGAGGTGACAGGCTTCTCTACCAGCACTGGCAAGCACTTAATCCAAGCCCCGAGGCTCCAGCTGCAAACTGGGACGGGAATCTGATGACACCCACCCTAGAGGGATGGGGGTAAATGTAGACGACATAATTTCCATATGTCTGCATTGAGCGTTCACATACATGAGCGTCCTCAGAAGCATTATCTCCTCATGCTTCTCCAAGGAATGTGCCCTTTTCTTAACCCTGGTTGACTGAGTCCTACCGAGGAAGGAAGGGTTTCAGGCCACACCCCAGGGATAGCGCTGGATGCCCCCAGCCAGGCCAAGGTGGTCAGATTTCCTTGCAAGAGTTTGAGCAAAGACACAGAGATTGAATTAGACTGAGCTGGGCCTGGAGGCTTGAGGTCCTGTCGACGAGGAGAGCGATATCTCAGTGTATGAATCTGTGGGTTTTCTGTGTGCCCTTGCAGTCCTGGGGACCCTCATGGCCCTTGGTGAGCCCACATTGAAGGAGAAGAACCAAGAGGCGGCAGAGAATCTAGATTCAGGCTGCAGAAAGTCTTGCTACTGCAGAGGTGAGACGAGGCCAGGGCAGGAAGGGAGCAGGGGTGGGGTGCAGGACCCTGAGTCCCCTAGAGGCCACGGTAGGACATCAGCAGCACCAGGGGGAGTCACCAAAGCTAAGTGCCAAGATGCGGTCGACTGAGGACCTGCTCCTGGTGCCCGCCCCTTCAGCCCAGAGACGGTGTGTGGTCCGTCTCCACCCAGCACAACCGTCCTAAATACCTGAATGAGTTTCCTTGAGCTCCTGCAGCAGAGACCCATAAAATGCTTAAAGGAGCAGAAATCTACTCCCTTGCTGATCTGGAGCCCAGAAGTCTAAAGTCAAGGTGTCGACAGTGTCGTGCTCCCTCTGAAGGTTCCTGGGGGTGCCCTTCCTCACCTCCTCAGCTCCTGGTGGCCCTGGACATCCGATGGCTTGCGGCTGCATCATCCACTCTCTGCCTTTGTCTTTCCGTGGCTGCCCTCCCTCTGCATCTGTCTCTGTGTCCACTCCTCTTTTTATAAGATCGCCAGTCCTTGGGTCTAGGCCTTGGGTCTAGGGCCCACCCTAATGCAGCGTGACTTCATCTTAACTAATTACATCTGCAAAGACCCTGTCTCCAAATAAGGTCATATTTTGAGCTTCTGAGTGGAAGTGGATTTGGGGGACAGTCATCAACCCAGCACAATGCCCCTCCTCCCCATGCTCTCTAAAGAGAGAAGGATCTTGGACATCTTGATTGGACACGATGACACGAAGACAAAAGTTTCTGACTAGCTAGGCCAAGGGTGGACACATTGTCCCTGGAGTGACAAGTCGGGCCAGTGATCTTGTAGGGACAAGCCTACATCCAGAGCAGTGCTGGTATAGGGGCAAGCCAACATCCGTGGCAGTGCTGGTATAGGGGCAAGCCAACATCCATGGCAGTGCTGGTATAGGGGCAAGCCAACATCCGGGGAAAACCAAAGGCCTGTAGGAAAAGCCTATGGGGAGGATGGAGAGAAGAGGGATGGAGCCCTGGATGTAACGGGGACCTGCATCCTGTATCCCTGTCCCTATGATGCTGTGATGGTGCCTGACTTTCTGTAGACCAAAGCTCTCCTTTTTTTTTTTTTTTTTGAGACAGAGTTTTGCTCTTGTTGCCCATGCTGGAGTACAATGGTGTGATCTCAGCTCACTGCAACCTCCGCCTCCGGGTACAAGCAATTCCCCTGTCTCAGCCTCCCAAGTAGCTCAGATAACAGTCATGCACCACCACTCCTGGCTAATTTTTTTGTATTTAATAGAGACGGAGTTTCACCATGTTAATCAGGCTGGTCAAGAACTTTTGACCTCAAGTGATCCACATGCCTTGGCCTCCCAAAGTGCTGGGATTACAGGTGTGTGCCAACACACCGGGCCCCAAAGCCCTCCTTTTACTGGAGCTATTTTGCACGGGATCAATAGGCTTCTGCAGTGGTGCTGGCCATCCTAGCATCCCTGGCTTTCCTTCCCTGCTGTGGTCTATATAGTTTGGGTGGAGCTGAACCCATAGAGTTGCCGGCTGCACATGGGACCAGTGCCCTCCCTTTGGACGCTGCAATCAGCTTGGGAGTTTACTCACAGCTGAATTTGAGCAACATGAGGAGGGGAGATTCATAAACTGGTAGAATGAACCATAGAGCTGACAGTCACCTGGCCACTTTGAGGAGAAGGCCTGCTGGAGAACGAAGACCTGGAGGAAGCTGAACTCAGACAGATGGACAGACAGACTTGGTGACGTCATTGGAGGCACCAGGTCCAGCTGAACCTTGAACTCTGTCATCACAGGAACCAGTAAATTCACCTTTAAGCCCAAGTTGAGTTTCTGTCACTCACCCCCTAAAAAAGTGCTGATGGGAGGGTGTCTGGGTAACAACTGCATGCCAGTTGACCACATCCATGCCGCTGCCAGCCCCGGATCTGGGGTAGAGTCTAGCCGCCTGAGGGCATCAAGTTTGTGGCCCATGAGGGTCGTAGCCATGCTACAGGGCAGAGGACAAGAACCGGGTCCCCATGAGACCAAAAGGAGACAATAGGTGGAAAGGATGGCCTGCACTGAAGCCGGGGCCACCAGGCTTGTCGCCCCTCACTCTGTGGACAGACTGGGTTGCACCATTTCTGAGGGAATCTCCATGACTCAGTCCTGGGCATTGCGGCTGGGGCCAGTACTCAAAATGGCAGCAGACGCAGTCGGCCTGCCAGCCCCTGCTAGCTCTTGTTTCAGGTCAGAGGAAGAAAGTACTGGTGGCCTCTGGGGATCCAGAAAGGACTGGTGGCCTCCAGGTGTCCAAGAGTCTTCTCTTCAACGAACATGGTGAGGGGGAGCATTGTGCTGGGTTGATGAGTGTCCCCCAAACCAACTTCCACTCAGAAGCCCAAAATATGACCTTGTTTGGAGACAGGGTCTTTGCACACGTAACTAGTTAAGATGAAGCCATGCTGCATTAGGCCAGGGCCCTGTGTCCAGGGCCTTCCCTGTGAGGTGGCCGCCAGGAGGCCGACCTCAGGGACACAAGGACTGGAATGTGGGGGTCTTTGGAGAGGCATGACGCCCCCTCTGTGAGTGGACAGACATCAAGAATGAAGGGAGCCCTCAACGGGGATGGAGCAGCCCCTGAGACCTGAGGGTCCCACCCTGGGACAAAGGTGCCCTGAGCTCAAGCCAGGACACCCAGCAGCTGCCGGCCAGGCTGTGCTTCCCCCACAGCCTCTCCACACCCTCGCTGTGTCTTCTGTAAGATGAGGTCCCCTCCATTACCCTGGGCCAGGGATCTCAAAACGGAAGGCCGCCAACCAGTCAGCGGCCAGGGGCTGGAGCCCATGGTTTCCCATGGCTCCCACTAGGACACTTGCCAGAGAGGGGGTGGGTGAGCTGGTTCCCATGGAGACAGGCTCAGGATCCCCAGAGGCCACCAGTCCTTTCTTCGTCTGACCTGAAGCAAGAGCAAGGCCAGGGGCTTACAGGCTGACCGTGTCTGCCTCCGTCTCAAGGGCTTAGACTGAGTGAGACTGGCAGAGGCCCTCCAGGTCACTCCCATTGTTTCACAGATGAGGAAACCGAGGCCTACCGGGAGGGAGGGCCTTCCGACAAGTCACGGAACTGATCGGGGGAGAGCTGGATGCCTGCTACACCGTGGCTCTGCTGTCTCCCGTGGAAACCCGGGCCTCTGTTCGAGCCTGAAGTGGCCTCTCTGCACCAGGCTGCTGGGAGACCTGCAGTCACCAATGGCAACGTCACTCTTGCAACAGCCAGTGGGGTGTGGGGCAGCAGACGAAGCTCGAGTACCGCCTGGGTTCCAAGACAGAATGAGACAAAGTGAGGGGTCATATGGGTGCCTGGCCTCCCAGGCAGATGTTTCTGTTACCAGGTGGTCTTTGAATTCTGTCCTGGACTAAATATAGTTCCTTGGGCATTTTTGATCTTGGTAATCATGCAACCATGGTACAGAAATAATTGGTCCGCTCTCATCTTTTCCAGATTACAGTTCGGGGCAGCTGAGTAGGCCCTGGGTAGAGGGCACAGAGGTATGGCTCGGGTGCAGGCGGGACCCTGGGTGACACCCACGCAGGGTAGAGCCCCTCCCCCGGCCTCGGTCTCCCCACCTGTGTAACGAGGAAGTGGACTGGACATGACTCACGGTTCTTCCATGTCCAGCATTCTGCTTTCAGCATCACGGGAACGAGAGGTGATTTCCGTAAGCAGGCTCCAAGGTGCCACCACCAAGCCCAGAAGTATCTTTCCCACTTTGCAGATTTCCTACAGACCCAGTATTCTCTCTTCCATGGGTTGAGTTTCTAAAATCACATGACTGTATTTTTCTTTTAATACAGAAAAGCATAATAAAGGCATAAAAGCCCATGCCCCTCTGCAGAGCACCCTGTTGACATTTTCTGAAAGTAAGTCATCTATGCACCTGGGAAGAAAGCACAGAGGACTCAGAAAGGCCAAAAACAAAAACAAAAAAGCCCCACCTCAGCCCCTGCCCCTCTCCCGGAGAAGCCGGAGTTGTCAGCCCATGCAGCAGAGTTGGTCAGGAGCTCAAGTTCACATCCCCCAACCGCCACATACTACCTGTATCACCTGGGCAGGTTCTCCCAATACCTCAGTGTCTTCATCTGCAACGTGGGTAAGATGGGAATGCCCACCTCCTGGGGAACTCAGGACTCGCTGAGTTAACTGCATTCAGGGACCTGAAAGAGACTCGCCAGGCAGTAACCCCAGTCCACTTGTTCCATGCTGGTGTGAGCAGTGACTGCATATTCTTCCAAAAGCATCTACCCCATCTATTTTTTTTTTTTTTTTTTGAGACAGGGTCTCCCTCTGTCACCCAGGCTGGAGTGCAGTGGCATGATCTCAGCTCACTGCAACCTCCACCTCCCGGGTTCAAGCGATTCTCCCGCCTCAGCCTCCTGAGTAGCTGGGATTACAGGCGTGCACCACCATGCCCAGCTAATTTTTGTATTTTTAGTAAAGACAGGGTTTCACCATATTGCTCAGGCTGGTCTGGAACTCCCAACCTCAGGTGATCTGCCCACCTCAGCCTCCCAAGGTGCTGGGATTACAGGCGTGAGCCACCGCGCTGCCTATACTATCTATTTGTTAAGCCCCAAATGGATCATACTTTGGTTCAGCCTCTTGCGTTCTTTGCCTTGTTTATTTTAGAGACCTGTCTATCTCAATCCATGCAGATAAATGCCTTGCTCTTTCTTAGGTGCCACCAAGCATAGACACAGACCTCCCCAATGCCCCATCTTTCGCCATTAATCAACAGTGTTGGGATGGTAGGACACCAGGAGTTAGACACCTCAAAGCACCGGTTCTGGCCACACTGGTTATGCATATTGTACTCGACTGATTCACACTCTCATGGCCCTGGATGAGTGTCTCTGGCCATCCCGCAGGCTGGGTGCTTCCCAGTCTGAGCGTGGTGGCCTGTTCTTCTCATGGCTATTACCCCGGGCCTCTGTGGGTCCACCAGCCAGAGTTCTGATGCCCGGCGCGCTCACAGGAGCCTGACTTGGGGACAGCTTTATGAGGCAGTGCAGGGACCTTGAGGCCATAGTGGTGCAGCAGAGAGGTGGGGATGAGGAGGGGCCGCCAGGGCCCAGGGCAGCTCCTGGACTCACTGGGAGAGCCGAAGTCCACAGGCAGCTCCTCACGCCTTGTCAGGCCTGCCCTGCACTCAGCTCCCAGATTTTATAGAAGGAAGTCCCTGCCTTTAGGCCCAGTCAAAAAAAATTGGACTGGGATATTAACAACCAACTTTCCCTGGTGCTTTCCTGAGTCAACCTCTGCAGCCGGGGCTGGCTCAGATGCCTGCCTTGGGGCCCTCTGGGGCAGCGTGTGGAGTCAGGGCCATCTGTGATCTCCTCAGCAGGTTCCATCCTGACCCTGGAGAGCCAGCTGACTTGTGGAAACAGCAGGATGCCATTCTGAGCCAAGCCCAGTGGGTAGGTACACAGGGCCAACCCAGGTCACCCATCAAGTGACCACAGAGCAATGACACCCATCTGCCCCATACTGTCACTCGCTTAGAGAAAGTTCCAGAAGAGGGGCTCCAAGCATGTGTCCCGTGATAAAGAGGCGGCCTCTGCGAGGGTTAATTTCAGTGTCAACTTGGCGGGGCCACAGCGCCCAGATATTTGACCAGACATCACTCTGGGTGTTTCTGTGAGGGGCTTGGGGATGAGACTCACATTGGAATCAGTGGGCCAGGTAAAGCAGTTTCCCCTCCCTAATATGGGTGGGCCTCATCCAATCAGTTGACAGCCTGAATAGGACAAAGGGGGTCCCGTCCCCTGAGTAAGATAGAATTCCTCTTGCCTGCCAGCCTTTGAGCTGAATGTCTAGCTTTTTCCTGCCTTTGGACTTGAACTGAAACGTCCGCTCTGTCTAAGCTCGGGCTGCTGTAGACTGTGTGGCTTAAGCATCAAATATTCATTTCCCACCATTCAGGAGGCTGGAAGTCCAGCACCACGGTGCTGCCAATTTGATTTTGGTGAGGGCCCACTTACTGCTGGCCTTCCTCTCTCTACGTCCTAATGTGACAGAGATCAGAGAGAGAGAGCTGCCCTGTCTCTTCTTATAAGGGCACTAATTTCGTTCATTAGCGCTCCACCCTCCTGACCTAATCACCTTCAAAACACCCCACCTCCTAAGACCATCACATTGGAGGTTGGGGTCCACCATATGAATTTTGGGGGGACATGTCTAGTCCCTAGTAGCCTCTTCTGGGTCTCCAGCTTGCTGACTGAAAATCTTGGGACTTATCAATTCAGTTATTCCAGGAGCCAGTTCTTTACAATAAATCCCTGTTTGTGTGTGTGTGTGTGTGCGTGTGTATGTGTGTGTGTGTGCATGTGTATGTGTGTGCATGTGTGTACATTCTGTTGGTTCTGTTTCTCTGGAGAACCTTGACTAATAACATTCTCCAAGGTGACAAGGAGACTGACAGGGGGAGAGTGAAGTTTAACACATCGGTTAAAATAGTCACAAGATTCTCATCAACTGCCACAAATGGCATCTGGCCACAGCCACTGAGCTTGGCCACTTCTCCGGCTTTGCAAACGCCGCTGGATGCGCCCGGCCTGCTGTCCCACAGTCCCACCCTGCCTTCTCCTACGTGTCCTTTCTGAACTGCCTTCCAAGCTCCTCCCAACCCCGTAGGGTCCACCTCATTGTGCCTCCTTTGTCTCCTCCTCCGCAGCTCCCCTCCCAACACTGGGTTCCTAGCTCCTAGAGGTCAGAGGTCACACTTTTCCCTCTCTCTGTCTCGGTAGGTGAAAGCAGTAAGTGGCACCTAACGGGAAGTGATGGGGTTGGTGGGGAAGAGAACAAAGTGTGGATCAGTCCTGAGGAGGCTGTGCAAAGACCCAGTGCTGGGTCCAAGGCCCAACCCCAAGAACCAGGATCTTGTGCCTCAGTTTCCTAACTGTAAAAGGGGATGTTGGAATCACGTGTGTCAAAGATCCCTTCCAATTCTGTTCTTTGTGGGTTTTCTCATGTCTAGAGCTGGAAGAGGGCAAGCAGAGAACGCCCCCGCCTCCAGGCCCCGAGCACTGTGAGCTGTCTGCCTGCACAGGGCTGCCTGACCCCACCCTCCTGACCACGTCCCCACTCCTGGGGACGGTTCCCGGCCTCCACGGCATCCCGGGGAAGGCAACAGAGATGGACTGGAGGGCACGGGAGGACACGCATTCACTGACCGTCCAGCCCAGCAAAGCAAGAAACCGTCAAAAACTAAAAATTCCATTTGTAAACAAGATCGAATTATTTGATTGTGAAACCAGGGTCCATGGAATTTAAAATAATTTAATATGAAACAATATCATTTGAAATGCTGGCCAGCCAAGGACCTGGACGGGGAGGGGGACTCTGTCCTCCTGTGCCCAGCCACGTGGAAACCCAGCCTCAGAGAATAATAACAAATCATTCTACAGCAAGTGTGGCTGAGATTCAGCTACGTGGCAGCCCCAGGCCAGGCCCGGGGGGCAGCCGGCGAAGACTCCTCGTCCTCTCAGAGTTTACGGTCTAACTGAGCAGACCAGGGTTGGACAATTAAATAACGATGCCAGAAAGCAGGAGAGGAGTGAGTGGGTGGCACTCAAGCCAAAAGGGAGGCCTGATAGAGCCAAGGGGAGTGTGCTGTGGGCCATGGCACTGCCAGAGGAGGCTCTTGGGTGCTCTGGCACCGCAGTGAGCAGCTGGGGGCTTGGTAAGTAGGGAAAGCCAGCACTCAGAGGAGAAGGTGGCAGAAAAAGAAATATTCAGAATAGGAAGCGTGATCATTTGCAACCCCAGCTTTGTCTTGTACTGCCCATGCCAACTTGGGCAAGCACGTTATCCCAAGCCTCAGTCTTCTCATCTACAGAATGGGAACAATCCCAGTCCCTACTTCCTGGCTGTTGTGAGGGTCGGAAATCATTCACGTGCAGCCCTCTGGGAGCCCGTGTCCCTGACAGACAGTGGTGCTCCAGGTGGAGCACGAGGCACCGCTGGCGCTGTAAGCAGATGCCTGTGGAGGGAGGGGAGGAGCAGGTTTCCTAGAGGCCTGGGAGGGGCTGATGCCTCTGCAGTGGGCTCTGCACTCAGCTGCCTTGAAATCCCAGCAACAGTGCCTGCCTGGAGTGACGGGAGCAGGCTCTTTGGGGACCGGGGGGTCAGGAGGGCACATGCACGTGCCTTGCAGCTGGTGCCTCTTGGAAGGATGGGGAGGCGGGGACCCGGCAGACCCTGGTGCACCGACACTCCACAGCCATGTCTTCTGCCTCAACATAAACACGATTGGGAATAGTTCAGGACTGTAAGAGCAAGAAAAACAAACCCAGGGAAACCAAAGAGCGCGCAAATGCTAACTTTCATGTCACATCCAGAAACCACATGTTCATCAAGCCACCTGCGGGCTTGTAACTCAGTGGGGAGACACAGGGTTGTTGTCCTTAGAAAAATCAAGCTATCCTTACAGCTGCAAGGGGAAAAGTCCAGTTGCTGCCTCCCCTCCATCATCCTGGACCAGGTCCCCCCACAGAACAGCCCTTTGAGGCAGCCAGGGAGCTTCCCGTCGCTGTGGCCACCTGGGGCATGGCCCCTAAACCTTTCCGTGCACAGGGGGTTGGGGAAAAGCCCCGGACCTCCAGGCTGATGAGTGGCAGGCCCAGAACCCCCATCAGGGTGCCCAGCTCCCCAGTCTCCCTGTCTCACCACCACCCCAACCTGGGCTCAGCCGCCCCCGTTCAGGGCAGGCAGGACTTGTCCTGGCCTCGGGGAGGGGCCGGGGAAGAGGAGAGAAGACCCCAGTGGGGCCCCCCAGGCCCGCACATGCCGCCCGACTACCTGTGGGCTTGGGGAGGGCTCCAGATCACTCCTGCCCTCAGAGACGGCGATGCTGAGAAGTGTTATTTTTATTCCTCCCCAAGCCTTGCCAGATTACATTGTCAAGGCCAGCACTTTGGAGATATTTCCTTGGTTTCGCAATTCACACAGTGACTAACACATGTTACATTTTGAAAACTTCTCTGGGTAAAAATTTAAGCTGAATTGTAAATACATAAAAGTCTCAACGTTAATGGGGTACATGATATCTCAGTGACTATTGTGTAACACCAAGATTCGGAAAGGATGTGGAATTCCATATAGTCGGGTGAGGATGCCGTCCCAGAGCCGCCCTGTGAAAGCATCATTGTGAGCAGCAACCTTGCCTTTCTCTGCGGTTATGTAAGTTACAAAACCCTTTGCCTCTTGGCCTCGTGAGGCATCAGGACCCTCAGGAGGCTGGAACTGCAGAGCTCCGCCCGCGATGATGAATCCCCTCCAGGGGGCATGTGCACACGTGCCCGGCACACCCTGCCAGGGGCTTCATGCTTGTGACCTCCTTGGCACCATGAGGCACTGGGCTACAGGTGACAAAACTGAGGCACATGCATGTTAAGGGACTTGCCTAAGGACATCCCCTGACAGAGGCAAGCAGGACTCAATCCCAGATGGAATGCTCACTGCTATGCCCATCACCCCCTCAGCCCCTGGTGCTGGGCAGCTATGAGCCATGCTGTGCCGTGTCATGCACACTGCACCCCCCCCCCAATGATGGCACAGGATGGCCCCCACCAGGACAGGCGATGCATGGGCGGTCACCTGGGGTCACTGTCAGAGCATCTGGACTACGAAATGAAGGGGATGGGCCACTTGGCAGTGTCCCTACGCAAGCCAGAGCTACAGGAGCACCTGGGCATAGGTGTGGGAAGGAGGCAGGGAGAGAAGGAAGGAAGCAGAGAAGCCAAGAGTGGTTGGGGAGTGGCTGTGTTGGGAGCCAGTCCCCCCACTGCCCAGGCTCCTGCCCAGCCGAGTGCCCAGAGCCCTGCCCATCTGCAGCAGCCCTGCCCAGCCCTCCCGAGCCTCCACCTGCCTGTTCATTGCTTTGCTGGATGACGCTTATCAGCCTCTACTTGGCCAGTTTTCTGTTTCATTTCCCCGTTCAACATTGATCTCCACACAGGACTGTAGACTCCATGCAGGCAGCACACTGTCTGCCGGGCTCCTGGCCGCATCACCAGAGCCTGGCCCCAGGACTGGGCATGGTGGGCATTGAGTAGTTATTTGTTGAATGTATGCACCTCCGAAAGAAAGAGGGAGCCACCATCCTCGCCTCGCTGCTGTGGCTCACTGAGTGGCTTTACCACCTAAGATGCCTGCTGCCTTTCTCCTGCTCCTTCTGTGACCTCAGACAGGCAGTGCAGGGGAGGGGTAGGCAGGGCAGCTCTCTCCTCAGCAGAGCTCACCTTGGGCCACTCAGGGGCCAGGAAGTGGCAGTGCAACTCGAGACGTTTATGACACAATCAACTCCCTGCTGAATATTGATTTTTCTTCAAAGCTCAGGGCCTATCTGTCTGGGCTCCTCCCAGCGCCACCCCCAGCCCTGCCTGGCGAGCCTGGAGACTCCAGCAGCAAGGCTTCATGCTCCCAGACGCTGCAGGTCCCCCTACTCCGCCCTGGTCAGGGCCCTCCCCACCGACATCCTGGTAACTTAGACATTGCAAGCCACAGCTGCCGCAGTGTGCCAGAAAACGTCCCTCCAAAGACACAGGATTTATGAAGGACTGTTCTCTGCTGTGTCAGGAAGGGTATTCACACAGGTTGGGAAGCATCTCATGTGCTCCTTTATTGACTGTGCTGGGAAATACTGAAGTGGGCAAATGCCGTCCATCTGAGCTCTCAGGACACGTAGGGGATAAAGGGGAGTTGAGGCTGACCAGGAGGCTATCACAGGTCAGTGTGATAAGCACAAAAATAAAAGTATGCCCAGGGCACCAGGACGGCAGGATCCGCTCGAAGTGGGGTCGACAGAGGCTTCCCAAAGAAAGGAAGTTTCCACCATCTCTTGCGATTTTCATTTGGCATCTCCAGAATGCCTGTTCTATTAGAACCAACTAAGGCCTTAATGGGATTACTCAGCTTTCAGTCATAACAAGTTTGTCTAGGTCATGTAGGGAGGTACTTTAAAGTCATTCTTCCTTCTCTTTTATTATAGCAATGACTTACAATGCTTGAAAAAACATTTTCCTTAATTCAATTACCAAGTGAGCTAAATGCATTTGCTGGAGATAATTAAGAATCTTTACAAATATAAAACAATTATCCCATCAAAATACAGTGCTGGATGCTATTATTCACGCTGGGTTTTCAATCAGAGCCCCCTCTCCCCTTTTAAAGCAATTCCAAAGCCCCCTGTGCCTGCCTTTGCTGGCCGTCCCTGTGAGCCCAGGCCATTTGTCCTGCCAGCTCTCCAGCACCATGGAAGGGCGCCCTGTCTGCCCGACCCCTGGCCCGGAGCCACCAGAGCTCTCTTCGCTCACCTCTCTGGTCCTAGTCTTGGCCCAGAGCAGGTATCAAAAACAACGTGACACAGACCAGAGGAGCCGGGGGAGACGTGACAACTAAATGCAATGAAGTCCCCTGGCGTGGGTCCTGGAACAGAGACAGGACATTAATGGGAAAACTAGCGAAATCCAAATAAAGTCTGGAATTGAGTTAACAATGGCCCAATGTCAGCTTCTGAGTGCTGGCAAATGTACCACGGTAATGTGCGCGGTTCACAAAGGGAAGACCGGGTGGGGGGCGAACGGGAACTCTCTGTACTATCGTAACTTTTCTATAAATCTAAAATTGTTCCAAAATAAAAGTTTATAAAAACAAAGCAAAACAACAAATGGGACTGAGTGGGCAAAAGAGAAGGCAGAATGTCTCCATTGCTGAAGTGAGTATTCCTGGTCTTCAGAAACCCGCCTGGCCCCCACACCCACCCCCCACCTCCAGTTGCAGTCCCGTCTCAGTTCCCTCTGAAGACAAGTCTCAGGGACCAGCTGCCTGCGGTTGCTGCCTCCACTTCAACACTATCTCTCCCCACGCTATTTGTCCTGAGCCACAAAGTGAAGGTGAGGTGTCAAAGTGAGCACCTGCAGGACGGCACCCTGGATGTTTAGCCTAAGAAAGCTCCCCCGTCCTCCTTAGAGAAGCCCCCACATTGCACACCAAGGAGTGAGGCTGAGGCAGTGCTGCTGTCAGTATTCTCCAAGGCCGCTAACTGGACCTCTGGACAACCTGCTCTTCACAGGGCCCCCTCAGTCCCTCCTGTCCTGGCCACAGGCCACAGCCTCCCTCAGACAGGCTGGAATGAAGGAACACACTGAGCCTGGTCTGCAAACCCTGGCGGGGGCTTGTACTGGACAGCAGTGCTGATATGGGGTGGGCTGAGTATAGCAGAGGCATAACTTCCATCCCCCAGGTCTGGGTACAGACACAGGCATGACTTCCATCCCCCAGGGCTGTGAAAAGGAGACGCTGTCCAAGGCACCTCATCTGACGGTGCTTGCGATGACCGTGCAGGACATCAGAGGGGCCAGAAGCACCCACGGCCCTGCGGTCGGTCGTATTTACCTCATCATTGCCATGCCTTTGAGGAGCTTTCCTGGGCCTTCTGAGTGCCTGAGCTTGGGAAGTAACCAGTGGCTCTATGAGATTTCCCCCAGAGGGCACTACGATTTTCATGGGCCTCTCCCACCATAAAAATACCTGTATTTAAAAACGTGTTTAAGGAATACAAATCCTTCTACCATAAAGATAGGCATGTGTCCTTGCGGCACTATTCACAATAGCAAAGACATGGAATCAACCTTGATGCACCTCAGTGGTGGACTGGATAAAGAAAATGTGGTACCTATATACCATGGAATACGATGCAGCCATAAAACAGAACATCAGACATCAGGTCCTTTGCAGCAGCACGGATGGAGCTGGAGGGATGGAGCTGGAGGCCGTCATCCTACGCGAATTAACGCAGGCACAGAAAATCAAATACTGCATGTTCTCACTTATAAATGTGACCTAAACACTGAGCACACATGGATACAAAGGAGGAAACAGGGAACACTGGGACATACTCTAGGGTGGAGGGAGGGGAGAGGCTGAGGATGGAAAAACTACCTTTCAGGTATTATTCGGATGACCTGGGTGACAAAATTATCTGTACACCAAACCCCATGACATGCAATTTACCCATGTAACAAACCTGCACATGTACCTTTGAACCTAAAATAAAAGCTGGGGGGAAAATTGTAGTAAATGTCCCTAAGTATGAAATAAATAAATAAAATTTAAAAATAAAAAAATTAATAAATCTTCAAATGCTTCCACATATTTTTTTCTGGTTTAAGCAAAGTTAGAGAGATGTTCTTGGGCCCCTAAAGGTATCAGGTTGAGACAGACATCCTCGCCCTGGGCCTGCGGAGCTTAATGGACAGGCCGGGTCCCCGGGCCACACTTACCAGTTAAGTGACCTGGGGCAAGTTACTTAACCACCCCATCTTCAATCCCTCATCTGCAAAACAGGGATAATGATACCTGCTCTGCAGAGCTTTTATGAGGATTGCTTAAGCTAATTGGTGTAAAAGCATTAATTCCAGCCTGGCCCCCAGGAGGCGATCAATAAAGAAGCATTACTCTTGTGAAATACTCTAGCCATCAGAGCAGGCAACAATGTTTCTGTCTTCTAAAACGTTCCCAAGAGAGCCTCGGCTTTACTCTACAAATAAGACCTCTTGATTTTATTCTGCGAGCTTAAATATCTTTGACTCTCTCATTACCTGAAACTCAAGGTCCTTAAATAGGTCTGAGGCCCCTAAACGTTCCTCTAAGTGCCCTGTAGAGCCATCACTTAGTGGCTGAGACACACTCGCTGGCTTTCCCATCGACAGATGCCTCGGTGGCCCTTTCTGGATCATCTAATCCCTGCTCCAGGCCACTGGCTCAAGTTCCCTCATTGTAATAAGTGCAAGGGAGGGTGTTTATGAAGGAAAGCGGGTTTGACTGAAGTCCAGGCTGAACTCGGAATTTCCCTGTTTGCTTTCTCTTCCTCCCCGGGCGTGCTGATGGACCAGACCTGCGGGAGCTAACTCAACAGGCCTCCAGCTGCCAGAGATTTGAGATGTTAGTCAGGGCTCAGGGGCGGGGGGCTCCGGGAGCAGGGAGCAGGGAGCTGGAGCCCTGAAAAGACCTCAGCGTCTCCTTGTCAGGACTGAACTTCCACCTTGGGTCCTCGCTGAGTCTTATTTTGCTAATGAGATCAGACAGGCTTGTAATTTTAGGTAACTGCAATTGCTAAGACTGGAAGAGAGACTCATTCTCTGGCATTCCCACAAATTCTTCCCAGTTTGTTTAGCTTAGGAAATTAGGCAAGAGCAGGTAGAAAAACGGCAGGTCAAACACAAGCCATTGCAAGAAACTGACTCATGCTTTACCAACAGCGTTATTCATCCCCCCCGTTCCTCTCCCTGGCTATGTATTTATTCGTTTATTCAGCAAACATTGATTGAGCACCTAACATGTGTCTCTGCCTTTTCACACCCTCAGGCCCTTGCCCAGGCTGCATCCTCCGCCATGTCCTCCCGTTGACCCACTGTGTATCCTTCTAGACCAGGTCAAAGGCTACCTCCTCTGGGAAGCCTGCCCCAAAGTTCCATGCCAGACCCAATCCCTGCCTCTCTGTAGGAAGGAGACTACCATGGCTCCCAAGAGGAGCACTGGCTGCCGAGTCAGAAGAGGTTGGCTGAGAAGCACGGCTCCAGGACATCCCTGATGTGTGGCTTGGGCAAGGTACTGAGGCTTTCTGCTTTCTTTCCTCTTCTATAAAGTGTGAATACTAATACCTCCCAAAACTAAGTGCCCAGGGTGCTACATAAAATACACTACACATCACTTTCCACGTGGAACTGAGCTTACAAGAAAGGCAAGGAGTTTCCCAGAGGCCAAAGGCAGGGGAAAGCCAAGAGCGAGAGTGATAAGTCGGTGCTGGCATGAAGCCACCTCAGGTGTCAGGCAGTCCCAGTGGCTTTCAGTGGCCATCCAGGGGCAGAGAGAAGGTGGGATGGCAGGATTGCCATCCTTGCACCAAACCAGAACCTCAGAGGTTCTAACGCCAGTGGAGGGGCAACTTGAGAAAACCACCTGCTGCATGTGGAGGCTTCTACTGCTTACCCATATTAAATGCTCTTCTTCCTCCAGGCGACAGATGAACACAGTCTCTGACCCCAGCAATTAGCCTGGGCTTGGGACTAGCTCTGGCCAAAGGGCTCTGAGAGGAAGCGATGTGAATCGCTCCTAGACTAAAGCCATTGACACCACCAGACTCGGCAGCGCCATCTCTCTCCTGTGGCACGTGTGGAGGCTGAGCCTGAAAATGGTAACCTGGACCCAGGCTGCTCCAGGGAAGACATTTCCCTGGAGAGTTACTCAAGTCCCCAGCAAACTTTGCAGGAGCCATAAAAGCAAGAAATAAAGCATCTGTTGGGTTTAGCCAGTGAGAGAGTTCCTTTGTTGCTGCAGCAGAACTTAGGCTATCCTGACTAATTCAGCTAGTAAAAGAAGCAGCAGGAGCACTTGTCTGTCTCTCTCTGGGATCCAGGTGGAGGACAAGTCTCCCCTGACAATCACAGCCACAGACCTCACTTCACAGGAGGGTGGGGTTCGAATTCATACTCCCTTTGTGTTCAAGGAAACTCCAAACCATAAAATTAAAGATATTTCAGGTATGTAGTGTTCCGTGACTAGAAGCAAACTCAGATCCCCCAACCTGACCTCACAGGATTCCCACAAATAAAGACTCACCAGAACAGGCAGTCGAAATCCCAAATTCAAACCCCAAGAACTTCAAACAAAAATTACTCACTAGGGAATTTTTAAAAATAATTTTAATGCATAAAGAAATGAATTGAGAGCCAAAACTATGGGCAATTAGCAAAGTACTATCAAAAGTGACTAAATAAATTTGAAAGAGAACCAAACAGAACTATGAAAATCTTATTAACGATATGAAAACCTATTTGGTAAAACTGCAGATTCGAACTGGCTCAACACAGAATTAGTGAAATGAAAGGTAGAATTGAAGCAATTACCCAGAGAATCACAGAGAGAAACGCTGCTGGAGAAAAAAAAAAAAAAGAGGTGAAGAGGCATCGAGGCAGAGTGAGTAGCGTGATAGCTAATTAACGTTCTGGAAGAGGACAGTAGAAATAACAGGGCTGGGGGTGCATGCCTAAAGCTATAATGGCTAAGAATGCTCCAAGATTGACAGTAGATGTGAATCTTTAGATTCAAGAATACTAGTGAGTTTATAGCAGGATAAATAAAAATATGCCTTGAGATATCATAGTAGAACTGCAGGATACCAAAGACAAAAGGAAAGCATATGCTTATTATAAATTCATCAGATTTATTAATTTGTAAGAGAAAAATGTATCAAGCACCTGCTAGGTGCCAGGCAGTGTTGTAGACACTTGGGATATATCCGTCCAGAAAGAGACAGAATTTGTGTTCATTGTCACCAGGAAGACAGGTGACAAAAAATAAACATAATAAATAAGTAAATTATACAGTGTGTTAGATATTGGCAAATGCTATCAATTGGAATATATGGAAAAAGAAACAAAAAAGGATGAGGAGACTCTGAGTATGTGTGTGGTTGGGAGAGGCTGAGCCAGGGCACCATATTTAATAAAATGTCAGGGGAGTTAACAAAGGGAAGAGATAACCTACAGGATAGGAGAAAATATTTGCAAACTCTCCATCCAACAGGGGGTTAATAAGCAGAATGTATAAAGAACGCAATAGCAAATAATAACAATCTGTTTTTAAAATGGACAATAGACCTGAATAGACATTTCTCAAAGGAAGACATACAAATGGCCAACAGGGATTTGAAAAAATGGTCAACATCACTAATCATCAGGGAAATGCAAATCAAAACCACAATGAGACAGCATCTCACCCCAGTTAAAAATGGATATTAGCAAAAAGACAAAAAGTAATGGATACTGGTGAGGATGTGGAGAAGAACACTGTTGGTGGGAATGTAAAGTAATACAGTAATTAGGGAAAACAGTATGGAGGTTCCTCAAAAACCTACAACTAGAACTATCACATGATCTAGAAATCCCACTGCTGGGTATGTATCCTAAAGAAAGGAAATCAATATGTCAAAGTGGTATCCGCACTCCCATCTTTATTACAGCACTATTCATAATAGCCAAGATGTGGGATCAACCTGAGTCCATCAACAGATGAATGGATAAAGAAAATGTGGTATATGTATGCAATGGAATATTATTCAGCCATAAAAAGGATGAAATCTTGTCATTTGCGGCAACGTGGGTGGAACTGGAAGTCATTATGCTAAATGAAATAAGCCAGGCACAGAAAGATAAATATGGCATCACATGTTCTCAGTCGTATGTGAGAGCTAAAAAAAGTGGATTTCATGGGGAGTGGAATGGTGGTTACTAGAGCTAGGAAGGGCAGGAGGGAGGGAGAGAAGTTGGCTAATGGGTACAAAAATACAGTTAGATGGAAGGAGTAAGTTCTAGTATTCAATAGTATAGTACAGAGACTATAGCTAACAATAAGTTATTGTACATTTCAAGATAGCTAAAAAAGAAGAACTGGAATGTTCCCAACACAAAGAAAAGATAAATATTTGAGGTGATAGATATTCCAATTACTCTGATTTGATCATTACACATTGTATACAGATATCCAAATATCACAGGTACTCCCAAAGTACACACAGCTACTACATATCAATTTTTAATATTACACCTGAAAACAATTTCAAGAGAGGCTTCATTGAGAAGGTAAAATTTGGGAGGGGAATTGAAGGAGAGGAAGGAGTTGGTGAGACCGAGATATGGAAGAGTGTCTCTCAGGAAGAGAAGCAGCTAGGGCATCCTGGCAATTTGTGTATCTTCATTTACAAAGTGTCTGTCCAAACCTTTTGTCCAACTCTTTAATTGTTGCATATATTATATTATTGAGTTGTAAGAATTTCAAATATATTCTGGATATAACTCTGTATCAGATATATGTATTGCAAATATTTTCTCCCTGTCTGTAACTTGTCTTTTCGTTTTCTTAACAGGTCTTTTCAAATGTAGACATTGTTTATTTTGATCATGTCCATTTTTATCTATTTTTAGTTTTATGCTTGTGGGATTGTTGTGTTCTGTTAAGAAATATTTGTCTTCCTCAATGTAACAAAGTGTCTAGAAGTTTTACGGTTTTGGCTTTGTTTAGGGCTGTGGTCCATCTTAAGTTAATTTTTCTGCATTGTGTGAGGTAGGGTTGAAGTTTATATCTTTATGGATGAATAGCTAATTATTCCAGCAACATTTGTTTAAAAGTCTTCCCTTTTCCCAATAATTTAGCTTGGCCCTTCTTTCAAAAGTCAATTGAAAAAATATATATCATATAAAGACTTATTATACTATATGTATTTTTCCAGACTCTTTATTCTGTTCCATTGAGCTGTTCTTACACTACCACACTACCTTAATTATTATAGCTTTATCATGAGTTTTAAAATTGAATACTGTAAGTTCCCCTCACTTTTTTTAAATTGCTTTGGCTATTCTATGCCCACTGCATTTCTATATAAATTTTACAATCAGCTTGTCCATTTCTACAAAAAAGACAGATGTGATTTTAGTTGAGATTAAGTTGAATCTATGGATCACTGAGGGCTGAATAGACATTTAACAATATTGAGGCTTCAGATTCATGAACTTGGTATATCTCTTCGCTTATTTATGCCTTCTTTCATTTCCCTCAGCGATGTTTTGTAGTTTTTAGTGTACAGGTCTTGCACATATTTGTGAGATTTATCTCTAGGCATTTCATACCTTTTATGCTATTGTAAGGGGTATTGTTTTTAAATATCTTTTTATTTGGAGGTAACGTTAAAATATCGAAAGAGTCACATCCACAGTACAGAGACTCCCTGTATATTATTCACCCAGCTTGCCCTCGTGCTAACATTCTACATAATCACAATCTAATCATGAAAACTAAGAAATTAATATTGGTACAATACTATTAACTCAACTACAGACTTTATCTGGATTCTACTAGTTTTCCACTCATGTTATTTTTCACTTCCAGGATCCCATCCAGGATCCTACATTGTATTTAGTTGGCATATCCCCTTAGTCTTCTACAATCTATGACAGTTCTTCAGTATTCCTCTCTTTCATGACTTGAAGATGCTTTCATGGCTTGATGGTCTGTCAGATATTTTGTAGAGTGTCTCTCAGTTGGGTTTGGTTTGATATTTTCTCACGACTATTCATGGTCACGCTTTATCAAGAATACTACTGGAGTTTTGTACCCTTCTAAGTGCATCAAACTAGGCAGTTACCTTATTTATTACTGGTGATGTGAGCCTTGGTAACTTGGTAAAGAGAGTATCTGTCCTATTCCTTCACTGTACAGTTACTATTTTTCTTTTTGTAATTAGTAACTCTTGGGAAAGATACTTTGAGACTGTGCAAATGTCCTGTTTGTTAAACTTTTGCCCACTAATTTTAGTATTTGGTGTTTAACTTGCCTCCAGCAATTATTGCTGTGGAATTTCAATGATTTTTCTATTTTCCTCATTTCTTCTACATTTGTTAATAGGAATTCTTCTTTAATGAGGTGTTGTTCCTTTTCTCCCATTTATTTATTGATACTTATAATTTAATATTATATATTGCACATTATTTTTATAATGTAAAATATAAAAATTATATATTTATTATGTATATGTGTGTGTGTATATATGTAAAATAACCTGAGGAAAAGATTTTATTATTTTGGTTATAATCCAATATTATTACTATTTATTTTGTTGCTCAAATTGTTCCAGCTTTGGCCATTGGGAGCTCTTTCAAATTGGTTCCTGTGTCCTTTCAGTACCCATGATCCTTTTGGTTTTTGAGTATATGGTTTATCATATGGTATTATTTTTTATTTCAATCACCAACTGTTCTTTGTTAGTATATAGACATGCAATTTATTTATGCATATTTAAAATGAGTTTCTTACAGACAACAGGAAAGTGAACCTTGTTTTTTTATCCAGTGTCACAATCTCTGCCTTTTATTGGAGAGTTTAGACTTTTACGTTTAATACAATTAATCAGTATCATTGGATTTAAGTTTACCATCTAGCTATTTGTTTTTTATTTATCCTATCTGCTCTCTGTTCCTTTTTCTCTTTTTTCCTTGCTTCTTTAAGTTTAATTGAGTATGTTTTTAGGATTTTATTTCTTCACTAGTATCTAACAAACTATCTCTTTGTTCTAATTTTTAGTGTTTGCTCCATTATTTAAAATATACATATTTAATTTATCACAATCTACCTTCAATTGATATTATATTATCACTTCATGTATGATGTCATATTCCTGCTACAGTATATTTCAATCTTACCCCACCCATCCTTCATGTTTTTGTTGTCATAGATATTACTTTTTAATATATCGTAAGCCCAAAGTACATGGTTGACATTCTGTTTAAAACAGTCAATTGTCTTTTAAAGACATTAAAAAGCGAGAAAAAAGTCTTTTAATAGATATTTTTAAATGCATGTAGCACAATAATGTAAACAGTTCATGTAAAACACCAATTTATAATATTCTATATATATATATATATATATATATATATATATATATATATATATATATATATATATATATAGTTTCCTTCAGGTAATAGGTTGGAAGGGTTTAGAATAAAATGAACATGCATCACATCTGTTATTTTAAAATATTTAATCAAGTTTTTAAAATGTTTATGAACCACCAGAATGCCACTGCCACAAATATCATTACCAATAACCAGTCTTTTTTTTTTTTTTTTTTTTGTGAGACAGGATCTCACTCTGTCACCCAGGCTGGAGTACAGTGGCATGATCATGGCTCATTGCAGCCTTGACTTTCGCAGACTCAGATGATACTCCCACCTCAACCTCCTAAGTATCTGGGACTACAGGCAGGCACACCACCATGCTCTGCTATTTTTTACTTTATTTTATTTTATGTATTTTTGTAGAGATGGGGTTTTGCCATGTTGCCCAGGCTAGTCTGGAACTTCCGGGTTCAAGCAATCTGCCCAGCTCAGCCTCCCAAAGCGTTAGGATAACAGGTGTGAACCACCACACTGCCTACAAATAACCATTCTTTAAGTGGGCTTTTATTTGTTTAAAAAACTTTTTTGTGTTTATCTACATAATTGCCATTCTCACAGTCTTCATTCCTTTTCAGAGAGCCGGGTTTCTATCTGGTATTGTTTTCTTTATGCTTGAAGAACGTTCTTTAACATTTCTGGTAGTACAAGTCTGATGACGTCTTAAAATGTTTATTTTGCCTTCATTTTTAAAAGATATTTTCGTAGGATACAGAGTTCTAGATTAACAGCTTCTTTCTTGCACTTCTTTTGAGATGTTACCCCATTGACTTCTGGCTTACATTGTTTCCAAAAAGAATACTGTTTTCATTTTCACCATGTTCCTGTGTATGTTACACGTCTCATTTTTCTCTGGCTGCTTCTAGGATTTTCTCCTTAACGCCGGTTTCAGAAAACTGCTTATGATGTGGCTTGCTGTGGTTTTCTTTGTATTTATCCTGCTTGGTCTTCATTGCACTTCTTGGATTTATAGATTTATGGTTTTCTTCAAATTTGGAAATTTTTCATCCATTATATCTTAAAACATTTTTTGTCCTCTCCTTGCTTTCGAAGACTTCAATTTTTCCATACCTTAGATGACTTACTATTGCCCCATAGTCACTGCGAATCTGTTTATTGTTTTCCAGTCTCTTTTCTCTGTGTGCTGTGTCTCAGATCACTTATAGAACTATGTCTTCAAGTTCACTAGTCTTTGAACCAG
Organism: Homo sapiens; assembly: GCF_000001405.40. Classification (NCBI taxonomy): domain Eukaryota; kingdom Metazoa; phylum Chordata; class Mammalia; order Primates; family Hominidae; genus Homo; species Homo sapiens. Next base: position 101,488,645 of record NC_000014.9, read on the forward strand.
CTGTCAAGCTTATCCAGTGAAATTTGCATTTTAGACATAGCTCTACCAGTTCCACATAGTTTCTTTTTATATCTTCCATTTATTTTCTCACTATGGTTATCTTTTCATTTAAGTACTTGAACATAGTTATAATAATTGTTTTTAACATTGTTGCCCGGCATTTCCGTTGTTCGTATCATCCTTTGGTCTGTTTCTATTGACGGCCTTATTCCCTGGCTGTGGTTCACATTTTCTGGCTTTTTGGCACATGGATTTTGATCAGATGCTGAATGTTGTGAATGTTTCATTGTTGAGTGTCTGTAATTTGCCATCCTCTTTTAAGGAGCTTTGGGGTTTGTCCTGCTTGGCAGTTTAGTTACTTCCAGTTCAGTTACACACTTTCTAGGCTCGTTTTTAGCTTTATAGGACAGGTCTAGAGGATCCTTTGTTCTAGAGATAGTTTGGGCCCACTGCTAAAGTGTGGCTCTTCTAAGGTGTCTACCGAATGCCCGGTGATCAGCAAGAAGGAATTCTGAACTGCAATTGCAATTGAGAACTTGAACGATCCCATCTCCACATGGACTTTATGAACGAACAGTTCAACGCAGCTCCAGTGAATTACTCTTTGACTGACCTGGTGAGTTTTACCTGACTCAGGCTTTTTTTTTTTTTTTTTTTGGTATTCAGCAAAGATTAAAGAGGACCCCTTTGCTCCTATTCTGTAGCTCTTTTTTGCAAAGATCTTTCCTTTTTGTAAGTATGACCCCCGGCTTTTGGTGACCCCCCTGGAGAAGCCTCAGTGCTCTGCTTAGCTTCCCACCCCCACCCCGAGTCCCACACAGCAGCATGGAAACCTCCAAGCAGAAAGTCAGGCAAAGAAAGGGCTCCTTCCTATCTCCCGCTTATCTCCTCCTGGGAGCGCAGTTGTTTGTCTCTCTTGCCCAGTGTAAAGAGGAAGGTCAGTGCAGCCCCTGTTGCTCCATCATCATGGTTGGGAGCAGACATCTGTCCCACCACATGGTTTTGAGCTGACAATTGAAAAGAAACTGACAATTGAAAAGAAACACTCTGGCTTCTGAACTGAGAACAGACAATAGGAGTGCAAGGGCAGAAGCAAGGAGACTTCCTAGGGGGCTATCGCATCACAGCCATCCAGAAAATGAATGGTTGGGTTCAAAATGAATGGTAACATTTTGAATGCAAAGCTTACAGAAATCCCTGATAGATTGGATGTAAGGAAACAAGACACTTTGGGAGGCCGAGGCGGGCGGATCACGAGGTCAGGAGATCGAGACCATCCTGGCTAACATGGTGAAACCCTATCTCCACTAAAAACACAAAAAATTAGCCAGGCGTGGTGGGGGACGCTTGTAGTCCAAGCTACTCAGGAGGCTGAGGCAGGAGAATGGCATGAACCCGGGAGGCGGAGCTTGCAGTGAGGCGAGATCGTACCACTGCACTCCAGCCTGGGTGACAGAGCGAGACTCCATAAAAAAAAAAAAGAAAGAAAGAAAGAAAGAGAGAGAGAGAGAGAGAGAGAGAGAGAAAGAAAGAAAGAAAGAAAGAAAGAAAGAAAGAAAGAAAGAAAGAAAGAAAGAAAGAAAGAAAAGAAAGAAAGAAAGAAGGAAGGAAGGAAAGGAGAAAGGAAGGAAGGAAGGAAGGAGAAAAGAAGAAAAAAGTCAAGATGATACAAGGTTTGGGTCTGAGCAACTAGAATAATCTCGTTGCCATCCATTGAGATGCTGCAGTCTGTGGGTGGAACACGTCTGGGGCTATTGGGGAATTGTTTGGAGGCATGAGCTTAAATGTCTACGAGGCACACACACGTGGAAATGTCAAGCTGGGACTTTAAATATACAATTCCTGAGCTTGTGCAGAGTTTAGGGTTGGAGATATAAATTTGGGGTGAGTGTAGGATAAAGAGAAAGAACAAAATCTAACACTGAGAGGCTGGGGCATGGAGGACCAGGAGGGCTCAAAGGAGACAGAAGGAGCAGTCAAGGAGGAGTCAAGGAGGAGTCAAGGGCCGAGGACCAGGAGGGCTTTGAGTCCTGAAGCAGAACAGTGCATGTCAGAAAGGAGGATGGACTGCAGCAGCTTTGTAGGTCAAGAAGAACAGGGCATAGTAGACAACCGCTGGGTCTGACAGCGTGGTGGTCCCTGGTAGAATCATGTCGCTAAGAGCCTGACTTTGGGGTAAAGAAAAAGGAGGAAAAGGAATGGGAGACAGAGACTACAGACTTACTCCTTAATGAAGCTGTGCTCTACAAAGAGGAGAAAAATTGGGACGGTAGCTAGCATGGGAATATCCAATGACTGATCCACGTGGATGCAAACGCCTGCCCCCTGGCCTCAATTCAGGACACCTTGGCATGGCCACCCCAAGTCCAGGGATCTCTGTGGGCTCCGCCAAGATTCTGGTTGCAGCTGTACTACTGTTGAACTCCTCCGGCTGCTCAATCCTGCTCCTCTCTCTCCCCAGCAAGTACACACAACTCCGAGTTGAACCCCACCCAAGACACTTCCCTTCCCCGCACCCCCAAATAAACCACTTCCATTGGAATCCTGTCTCAGAATCTGTTTCTGGGGAACCCAAACTTAGCCCAACAGCAGGTCTCAAGGCTGACAGGAATGTGGGAAATTGAGGGAAAGTGTGGGAACCAGAGGAAGATGGGCTGTGGGATGCCACTAAGCAGGTGGGGGGGCCTGGATCCAGCGCACAAGGCGAGGGCCTGCCTTAGGAAAGGGGCTTGTCACTTGCAGCACTTGGTGCAGGATTCAGGTAGGTGGCATCTGCAGAAGATCCCTTCTGAATAATTCTATTTTGTCAGTGAACCAGAAGCAAGGTTACTACTAAGCATGAAGACTGGGGAGAAGTGGGGTTTGGAGAAGAAAGGAGACTGGTTTGGGGGCGGGGGGTTGCAGGGAGGAAAGTGAACAGACTAGACAGTGAGTCACAGGACAACTGCGGGAGGACATCCTCAAGGTGCCTAAGAAAACAATAGTCAATCTGGACATATACCTGGTGAAACTGTATTTCAAGGAGAAAGGTAAAATAAAGATATTTTTAGATAAACACAAAAGGAGAGACTGTCCCACCAACAACTCTCACAAAAGGACTTTTGAAATGGATGCATTTCAGGAAGAAAGAAAGTGATCCCAGACGGAAGATCTGGGCAGGAAAAAGGAGTGAGAATCTTACAGAAGGAGACAGGGAGTTGTGGATCCATCAGGCCTGAAATGTGATGGTCAGTTGGTCAGTTTTTGTGAGTCAACATATTGCTCTTTTTTCTCTCTCTTTTTTTTTTTTTTTTTTTTTGGATTGGTGAGGTCTGGCTATGTTGCCCAGGCTGGTCCCGAACCCCTGAGTTCAAGCGATCCTCCCACCTCTGCCTCCCAAAGTGCTGGGATTACAGGCATGGGCCACCACGCCTGGCTCAACACATTGCTCTCTAATGTTATTGTTGCTTGCCCCAAGTTCCGTGGAGTCTTCTATCACTTGCAGCTGAGCACCCTGACGGATCTACGCAGCCACTTGAGAGCGCGCTTTGCCGCGTGCTTGGCGAGAAGGCGCCAATCAACCCTTTAATCCAATCATGCAATGATTAGGGCCTTCCAGGTGGAGGTGGAGCTGAGGTCCTTCCGGGAGAGAGAAAAAGCCTCACAGCAGGCTTACTCCTATAAGGTGACACAGACACAATCTCGTCACAGGATGAGGAGTAGGGAAATCTCCCAACTTGGGCACACAGCGTGTGATCTCGCCTTGCTTTTCTCCCTGGAGGTGCAGCATCATCACAGGTGTTGGATGGACAGCTGGCAACCAATGTAAATGCCTGTTTCCCCAGCTCTAATAAACGGGCTTAACAGCACATGCCCTCGTGCACCTTAGGAAGCCACATGTATTGCAGCTGGGCCACTGGGAAAAGGCACTTCTTTCTTTCAGAATAAGGGCCAACTGATGTATTATGAATGACCCAACAACCCTACCTCTTAAAACGCTGTCTGAGAGCCTGAGCAAACTGGACCTCGCCAGTGGCTGGTGAGAGCTCTGTGTTAATGGTGCTGGATTCCTGCGGGGGCCTGTGATTCCCCGCTCCGTAGAGAGTAGGACAGCACCCCGCCTCCTCCGGACATTGCTGCACAGTGGGTGAGCCACCTGCTGCCCTGAACAGGAAGGGAAGGAGGAGCCGTCGGAGCTTGGGGCTAAGGACTCTCAAGAAGACCCACCGGCCCAGGATGCTGCAGCCACCCACGGCCATAAGGCAGGGGCGGGGCCCCCTCGCTGCTGGACCTCCTCCTCGGAGGATCTCGGTGGGCCTGGCCCCCACCCCAGCCTCCCTGGGAAGCTCCCAAGGTCGCCTGGGCATCCTCAGCAGCCTCAGTGCCCCACTCACAGTGGTTCCTCCGCATCTCCCAGGCTTTGGCCCCAGCGTGGAACTCAAACCCTTTCCTTCCTTTCCTTGAGAAGCCCCTCAGAAGGCCCACGCTGCAGCACAGTCCGCACTGAAGGCAGCAGGAAGGGCTCCGCATCGCAGCCCTGAGGACTCCGCGGCCCCGACCTTCCCAGCCCCCACCCTACCCCTCCAGGACCCCATGCTAAGGGGATCACCCTCCCCTTCCAGAGTGGTTACCCAGAAATTTTCCTCCCCACGAAGAGCAGGGCCAGGACTCACAAAATTTAAGACGGCGCTGGAAAAAAGTCTCAGTGATGAAGATGTCACATTTTAACCAATATTTTTAAAAATCAAAAGTAATGTGAAAATGGTGGATACCTGCTGGGACACATTTGTCCAAACCCATGGAATGTAAAACAGCAAGAGTGGGCCCTACGGTGAACCCTGGGCTCCAGGTGATCACGCTGTGTCAGTGCAGGCTCACTGAGTGCAAGAGTTGGTTATGGGGGAGACTGTTCAGGTGTGGGGGTGGGCGTCTATGGGAAATCTGTTCCTTCCTCTCAATTTCGCTATGAACCGAAAACTGCTCTTAAAAATACACATTTAAACATTTTATTTAAGTGACACAAATGTAACTCAACAACAAAAAATTAGCAACTTGATTCAAAAATGGGTGAAGGACCTGAACAGACACTTCTCCAAAAATGCTATACACATGACCAATAAGCCCATGAAAAGATCTTCCATATCATTAGTCCTTAGGGAAATGCAAATCAAAACCAAACTGAGATCCCACCTCATACTCATTCCTGATGGCTGTCATAAATTGGTGAATACACACAGAGAATGAGGGCTGGCCAGGATGTGGAGACATGGGACCCCTTGTCCATTACGGATGAGAAAGCAAAATCGTGTAAGCACTGTGGAAATCAGTGTTGTGATTCATCAAAAAGTTGCATGATGAAACGCTGTCTCTACTAAAAATACAAAAATTAGCCAGGCATGGTGGCACATGCCTGTAATCCCAGCTACTCGGGAGGCTGAGGCAGGAGAACTGCTTGAACCTGGGAGGCAGAGGTTGCAGTGAGCCAAGATCGTGCCACTGCACTCCAGCCTGGGTGACAGAGCGAGACTCCATCTAAAAAAAAAACCTAGAATTACCTTGTCATACAGCAATTCCCAATACCCAAAAGAAAACATCAAACATCAGGGACTCAAATGAATACTTGCATGCTCATGTTATCACAGCAGCATTATTCGTAAGACTCAAAAGGTGGAAACAAACCCAATCAACGAAATGTGGTTTCTTCACACAATGGAGTGTTATCCAGCCCTAAAAGGAAATGAAATAATGACATGCACTGCCACACGGATAAATCCTAAGGAAATTATGTTCCGTGAAATAAGCCAATCAAAAAACGACAAATACTGTACAATTCCATTTATATGAGGGACCTAGAATAGTCAAATTCATAGAGACAGAAAGTAAAGCAGAGGTTACCAGGGGCTGGCAGGGGAGGCAGTAGTGGGCAGTTGGTTAATTGCACCGAGTTTCAGTTTGGGAAGATGGAAAGTTCTGGAAATGGATAGTAGGGATGGTTGCACACATTGCGAACATTCTTGATGCACACCTAAAAATGGTTAAAACTGAATTTTATGTTGTGCGTGTTTTACCACAATTTAATACAAAAGTAATGCAAAACACCCATGATGAAAAAAATCAAAATTTTAGATAAAGACAAGATGAGCGCCATGCTGAGCCATATTGGAGCCTAAGACCAAGGGGGACACCACTGAGACTGATTCTGTCTTTATTTAAAATTGTGATATTTTGGTCATTCTGGATTTCGATTCTTAAATACTGCAGTAACCTATGATTTTTCTAGATTACTGGGTTTAGTTTTGGGCCCAAGGCAAGTGCCTCACTCTCCTCACCCTCATTCTGGCCCTGAGGAATTCCGTTTCCAGCTACTGAAATTAGAAGTGCTCCTCAGTCCTCCCACAGAGCTGATCGCAGTCACTCCATCCCAGCAGGGCAGGCTGTAGGGAGGGGCGCTGGGTCAGGGCCAACCCCTTGCTCTCTGAATTCCCCACTGCAATCACTCCACAGAATAAAACCAAAGGCCTCCCGGAATACTACTCAGCCTTTAAAAACAAGGAAATTCTGACGCTTGCTACAACATGGATGAACCCTGAGGACGTTATGCCAAGTGAAATAAGCCAGACACAAATAGACAAATCCTGTAGATCCCATTTACACGAGGTACCTGGAGGGGTCAAATTCATGGAGCCATGTGGGGAACAGGGAATGGGAATTGTTGTTTGATGGGCAGAGCTTCCGTTTGGCAAGATAAAAAGTTCTGGAGTCAGATGGTGGGGATGATTGTACAACAATGTGAGGGTACTCAATGCCACACTTAAAAATGTTACAAAGGGGCTGGGCGCAGTGACTCATGCTTGTAATTCCAGCTCTTTGAGAGGCCAAGGCGGGAGAGTTGCTTGAGCCCAGGAGTTCAAGGCTGGCCTGGGCAACACAGTGAAACTCCATCTCTACAACAAATTTAAAAATGTATCTGGGCATGGTGGTACACACCTGTAGTCTCAGCTATTTGGGAAGCTGAGGTGGGAGGATCACTTGAGCTCAGGAGGGTGAGGCTGCAGTAAGCCATGATCACACCACTGCACTCCAGCCTGGTTAACAGAGTGAAACCCTGTCTCAAAAATAAAAAAGGTTAAAATAGTAACTGTTATGTATATTTTACCACAATTGTGTGTGTGTGTGTGTGCATGTGTGTGTGTGTGTATGTTAAAGAAAAAGGTAAAAGGCAAACAAACCAACAACAACAAAAACAAACCGAAAGACAGGCCCTGGTCCATGACTCTCCAAAGTGGTTTTGCAGAAGAAGCATTCACAGTGGAACCGCCTTTCTCTTTTACCCTCTGAGCTCCATGGGCCAAAGTCACTGTGTACCTGGCCCCACTTCATCTGGCCAGAGGCCACTGTTTGTAAAGCAGCAAAGATAAATATTTTCCACCAGTTTGGTTTTTAAAGTAATTATGTGTTTTGTTCCCCAAACACTTTTTCTAATCCTACGTTGTCAACCCTCCTTAATTCAGAAAATGCACCGGGACCACTCCTCAGGTCTCCCTGCGATTCAGTCACCAGTCACAGCTCTGCTGGGACCGCACACTGTCCCCCACACATGCCGCCCTTGACTGTTGTGACAAAGAGCTTCCAAGAGCATCAGCATAACAACAGCATGCAGAGGCTGCAGGGGTGAGTGGGCACCGATTTACACATCAGACAGTGGGTGCGCCCCAAGCCTCCACGTGACTAGCCAGGGTCCTGTTGCTGGCCAGGCCTTCCCCTGTGGAGTCTGGCCCCTCCTCCATCGCGCTGGACTTGTCCCCCTGCATCTTAACCACAGCCCATCAGGCCCCAGCCCCACGACAAGTAACGCAAGCAAATAGGAGTTCAGGGTGAGCCCCAGCCCTGTCCAGCCAGGACAGGCTGGCCCGCCGGGCCTGTTTGCTCCTCCCTGCAGATGAGGTTGGGGGTGTTCATGACGGGGGAGGGCAGAACCCCCTGATAACAGAGCTCTACTGGCCCGAGATGCTTCTGCAGAGCCGGCGTGGCACCGTGGCCAGCACCCACTCCCGGCGGGGGCTTCACCGAGCCCAGCCGTCCTTCCCAGCGGGCTCCACGCTTCTGCTTGGTATGCGGCAGGGGTCCGTGACAGGGTCCAGCCGCCTTCCCAGGCCATTCGAGTCAACTCCAGAAAGGCTTTTTGTTGTCATTACCACCCTCAGCCATTAGCAGGGGCAGTTTTTGTCTTCCCAAATGGGAAAGTATCTTTTGCTTTTCTCTTTTGACACTGACTATTTGGCCTAACGCAGGGACCAATTAAACTAATTAATCCCCAGGCACTGTGCCGATGGAGAAACTAGGCTCTCACACTTCAGATCACTCCAAAGGAAGTAATCTGATTGTTGCATCATTTGGGGACCCTTTGTACAGCTCTGACCTTTGTAACCCAGACCAGAGACCCCAGTCTTCCAAGTGGCCCCTCCCCAGGACTCCGGGGCTGTGTGTCTTGCATCTCCCCATCGGCCACCTCCTACCCCCACATTCAGGGGCCATCAGACCCTCCCACCTCACACATCCTCACCTAGGATACAAGCCAGGCAGCAGCTCCAAGGGGAACCGCTTGTCACTTCCATGAACAATTAGCACTTTCTCTAAGAAGAGGAAATAAAGAACCCCAAATACAGGGGGTGGGGGGCTGAAGCTGTGCAGCTCCTCAGACTGCAGAGGGAGAGCCGTCAGCTGAAAGGAGAGTGCTCAAGGTGAAGCTCAAAGGCCCCTGGAGTCCTCTAGCAAGGGCGGCTCAGCTCCTAGCTAACGGGTGCCTCGTCAAATGCATTTTCTTCATGGACAACAACAGAATTTCTTTGGCTCCGGCAGGGAAGAGCAGCTGTCCACACTGTTTATTCAAATACCATCCTGGCAATATTCCGATTTTTTTTCTCTCTCTCGTCCCTGCAGGATCTGAAACTATCAGTGGGGCAGTTGGAAGCACGTCTCTACACATGGTTTTCCAGGGTGGTATCTTTGCAGCACGCAGAAATCCTCTTCTGAAGAGTCCTTTGCTGTATTCCCCCGTGCCTCCCCACCCCCACCCTCCCACCCCCGCTAATGGGCATGTTTCCGTGAACACTGAAGACGAAAAACATGCGATTTTGAATGTGTCTCTTTCACGGTCACACATTTCTTTTTATTGTGCATCTTGGCTGAGCCACGCTTTAAAATTCCCAGCAACCGTTCCCAAGTCAGTTTTCAAAGAGTCTTGCACCTTTGACCCAATAAAAACCAGAGAGAACTGGACGAAGACTTGTGGCATGTCTCGGAAAGCATTTTGCTAATAAAAGTTTCATTTCTTTCCCTTTGATTTCCCATTGCTGCTTGGCGCCCTGGGCTTGCTGACCGAAGGTTCGCTCCACAGCCTTGCACACACTGTACATCTTGACAGGCACCGTGATCCAAGGAGAACTTTGCACAGTGCTGTGGCCGCAAGCACTGACAATGCGTAAAGCTGTGTTTCCCTGTTACTTTCAGAGGACCTGTCATTTTCAGGCCTCGATGCACCCCCGTGGGCCTGAACACCGCCCTCCTATTAGGTCTCTCTTGTTCAGTAACTCTCAGGGGCTCCCAGGCCTTCCAAATTAAGTCCAAGGCCTTCAAGAGGGTGTTCTGGGCCCCATCAGCATGCCCAGCCTTCCTGGCCAGCCTCATCCTCCAGCCCTCCCTATGTGTCCACACACTGGTCTGAGAGGCTACTCACCATCCAGCAAAGAGCCTGCACCTTTCTGGGCCTTTCCTCGTGGGTTTCCTTCCCACCTCGGCCCTCGCACCGTCTCCATCTCAGCCTGCTCACCTCCCACTCCACCCCACACACAGGAGTCTCCTGTTGCTGTCATAACACATCACTACGAACTTGGTTGCTTAAAACAACATACATTTAAGATCTCCCAGTTCTGGAAGTGAGGAGACTGGGATGGCCTCAGTGGGCGAAAATCAGTGTGAGCTGGACTGGTGGTTTCTGGAGGTGCCAGGGCAGAGTCCATCTCCTTGCCTTCTCCAGCTCTAGAGGCGCCTGCACTCCTTGGCTCATGGCCCCTTCCTCCATCCTCACGGCACATCACTGCCACCTCTGCACATCTACGGGCGCATCTCCTGCTCTCTGTGCCCCACCCCCACCCCCCCGCCTCTCTCTTTCCCTATGAGGACCTTGGGGGCAACACTGGACCTGTCAGAGGATCCAGGATTATCTTTCCATGCAAGATCTGTGGGCCCTGGTTCAGCCGAGCACAGCACACAAGCACCTGGTGAGCACCTTCCAGCTCACACCTGTTCACCTCCACGATCCCATCTTGATTTCCCAAAGCAACTTTTCCATTACCTAGACAAAATGTTTCATTCCGTGTTATGGGTAAAACCACTGAGGCCCACACAGCAGTAAACATCAGAGCAAGACAGGGCAGGAAAGTGAAGGCTCAGGGACCCCACAAGGATGGCCAGAGGGGCTTGTCAGTCTCACCCAGGGAGGCCTCGCTCCCAGGGTCAGGCCCAGCTGCTCTGATGCAGGCGTCCTGGCCCTCAAGGCGAATGGCCACAAATGCCCGGAGCAGGTCAGCAGCTCGTTCCCAGCTCTGGATTCCCAATTCTGAACGCAGTCATTTCACAGTTAGAATGAAGTCCTCACCTCCCTCCGCAGACCTGCCTCTTTCCCAGGAGCTGCCTAGTGAGAAAAAAAAAAAAAACTGGGCTGGAGGACAGAGGAGCCAGCAGACCTGGGTTGGAGCCCAGTTCCACCCCTCTGAAGCCACGTGGCCTTGGGCTGGAGCAGGACATTTAGTGTCCAAACAGCAGCACACGCTCCCGAAGGCCATGCACACGCACACGCACACGCACACGCACACGCACACACATACACTCACACTCAAGTGGCTGGACTTCTTTGAGCCCTAGATCCCTCCTCACCATGGAGTATGAGTGGACCAGCATGTACACATTCCAGGCCCTAGACCTAAAAGGAAGGGACAGGGGTATTGCCTCCACTTCCTTTTCTCAGCGTGGCCCTGACTGGAACGCGCATGGGATGGAGGGAGATGCAGCAACCATCTTACGCCGCGAGCTCAGAGTTCCTTGTTGAGGAGAGCAGTGCAGCAGGCTAGATGGCTTCCAGGCTCCCATGGTCTTGGTGTTGCCACATCATCCTGAACTCCTCGTGTTTCTAATGTTACGTGAGAGAGAAATACACTTCCATCATGTGCGAGCCCCTAGCTGGGGGGAGTCTTTGCTCTGCAGCCAAGCGCCTTTCTTGGCTATTACAGGTTTTGCCTCAACCAAACCAAAACTCCATGATGTGGGCTCCACAGACCAGGGCTTCCGTAGTCCAGGACACAGATTTTCTGAGGGACAGTTGTCGACCCTTGTTGCACCGTGGAAATCCTTTCATAGAAACATTCCCTGTGGTGCTTAGAAGTCAGACCACATCCTGACAGCCCTGGAACTCTAGAACTGGTTTTGAAAACTCAGAATGTAGGTGTGTGTTGGCTGCCACTTGCTTCTTTTAGGAAGTGATACAGGAGAGCTACAAAGATGGCTCTGTAGGAGATAAGAGGCAGGCTCCAACGTCTAAGCGCCTCCCATACACAGCTCTTAGCCGGGCAAGGGCAGCCAGCCCAGGAGCCATCATCTGTAGAGGTGCTGCTGTCCTCCCGCCCAAGCCTGCTGGTTCAACTCGCTACCCGGGAGTTACCATTAAATGAGCGAGAAGAAGATGGGCCAAGAACAGAGGCTTGGAAATAAAAAAATTAAAAAAAGACTTTTTAAGCACAAAAATCCAGCTCTAGACAAGATCTTTAGGTGAGTCCATGTGCAACATGGAACTGACCAGGTGCAAATAGACCAGGAGCCTATGACATTTTAGAGGACATTCTATTGCCAAATAAACCAGAAGTGTGGCTTTCAAAAGCGTGGGGTTTTTTGTTCTTGTTTTTTTTTACATTTCCCCCCACTAAAAAAATCCCTGGACTCCCCAAACCCACATAAGCCAGAAATGTGTGATGGAGGTTGAGCTGCTGATGCCCGCCCAGCTGGGCACAGTCATAGCCATGGACAGTGACTGTGGCCTTGGCCCTTCCTCTCTCTTCCAGGGCCTGTTTCTGTAGCAGTCCTGCTGCTCCTGTCCCAGCATCATCTATGAAGAGGGGCTGCAGACCACTGCCTTTTATGTTCAGAGTTTGTGGCTCCCTGCTCCCAAGGCACTGCCTCAGCCAGGATGAGGGGACTGCACGTCCCCCACAGATCCTGGACTCGGAGCTGGACACAGGGGAGGGACTGCAGGGCCAACCCCATGTCAAGGAGCTGAGTGTCTTTAGAGCCCAAAGAGAGGGTCTGTGTGTATATCGGGGCAGGGGGCCCAAGGGGGTGGACACGATGTAGATTGTTAGGCATCCCCCCATATCCATCTGGCCCTTCCTTCTTTAGTAACAGGACCCATGACATTTTATGAAGGCCCAGAACCATCCATAAGGTGATGTCCCCAGCCTCCCTTGAAGCTTGAGGTGACTGTGGATGGGATGGGATCTGGAACAAACAGCCCCTTAAGGAAAGAGCCACACATCCCAAGCTCTCTTCTCCCTTTTCTGCTGGCTACACAGTGGGACTGAAGGCAGACAGAGCCTTCTTCCTTCTCGAGCTACAAGGTGGGAGGTGCACCAGGGCAGCAGTGCTGTGATCAAAGGAGCCTGAGCCCCAAACTCCAAGGAGCTGCCGCTTCAGCCCTACACGACTCATGTCGGAAGAAAGAAGAGACCCTTCCTTGTTATGCTCAGAGTCGCACTGGGATCTCTGTTACGGCGGCCAGCCCCGTGATCTAACCAATACGGCAACAGTGTCTGCTACGCGTAGGTCCCAAAGCACAGGCTGGGGAGGGAGGGGACCCTGCGTGGTTTGAGGGTTTTTTGGGTTTTGTATATCTTTAACCAGGAATAAACTGTCGTGTGATTTCTGCCACTCCTTATGTCTCCCTCGCAGAGGACAAGGCTGCAGCGTCAGTCTCCATAGCGATGCAGGAGGCGCTCTGTGAAACTGACACAGGTTTACACACGGATGAAGTTACTGCTGCTGGAGCCCGACTCCCCCAGCTCTCACCTGCTGGGTGGATGATTTGCTTTTTGGGTTCGGTTCTTTCACGAAATACTGGACAAGCTGGGATCCTCAGATAATTGATTCATCTGTGCCTCACTTTTATCATCCATAGAAATGGAGCTCACAGCCGTTGCTGCCATTTGGGGTGGTGGCTGGAATGAAACGAGGTGGTGTGGGCCAGGCACTTGGCACAGGGCCTGGCACTCAGCTGGCTACCAGCACGGCCGAGTGCTCAGGGTCCCAGGAACCCCGAGTCAGAAAGCATCTGAGATGCTGCCATCTAGAAGCACCAGGGAGAGGCCTGATGGGGGGACCCAAGCCGAGCCTGGCAGCTACGGGGGGGAATAAGAAAAGCTTATCAGGGACATGCAAAGTCCGAGGTGCCAGAGGTGCCCGAGACGAGGTGAGGTGACCAAAAGAGAGGGGCCTGGAGACAGCAGTGTGCAGCCATGGAGGCTCAGGTACCTGTGAAGACATCAACTAGAAGGAGGCATCTAGGCTTGGATGGGAAGCAGAGAGGTCTCTGGCCAAGCCCTGGAAAGCAGTGGCATTGGGAAGAGGACGAGGAGCTGGACAGATGATGGAGCAGCAGCAAGGCAGGGCTGACCACATCCAGTCCCCTATTGGGGTCTCACAGTAGGGCCACTCGGATCTCCCCATCTTCAGCACCATTCCCTCCTGGGCCACGGGCTCCAGCAGAGCAGGAACCATGTCAGAGTTGTCATTCTATCTTCCAGGGTCTCTGTTCCTTCAGTAGCCTCCCCACCTGTCTCCCTGCCATGAAACACAGAAAGCGACCTCATCACTCCTCTGCGGAGAGCCCTCCAACAGCCCTGCACTGTGCAGTAGGTGCTTAGTAAATGCCTGGTGGGTGAGGGCTTGGCATGAAGTAGGTGCACAGTCTGCATCTGATGAATGAACATAGCAGGTGCTCAATAAATCCTCAGTGCACAGGAACCTGTCATGTAGTAGGTGCATAGTCTATGTCTGACAAATGAATGTAACAGGTACTCAATACATGCTCAGCAGACGAGGGCCTGGCACGCAGTGGGTCCTTGGGTCTCGTGCTCCGAGGGAATCCAGGGGCTCCGTGGCCTAGCTTACTCCACACTCCCCCCTGGAAACCTTGGTCCCCTGGCTTCTCCTTGGCCACCTCTGCCAGGATCTGGGTGTCCTCAGGAGACCCCGAGAAGCGGGTGCCACAGAACTGGGAGGCAGTGTTCCTTTCCGTCTTCCCATCGGGCTAAGACTCAAAACAAAACTGTCAGATTTCAGAACATTTCACAGCAGCAAAAATAACTGCACTTGGGGAAAAAACATGCAGACACTTCTCAAAGTCATCTAGTCGCTTCAACAATGTGCCAAAAGCTTCTGGAATTGACAGGTTCGGTTTGCCACGCACCAACTGCGCCTACCCCTGCCAGCCTCGTCTCCCTAGGCCCCCAAGCTCCTTGTGTGCCAAAGCCCCGGCACAGAAAAGGCATCCAGGGGGATGCCCAGGAGCCACCTTTGCCCGGCCCTACTAAGTGCTGATCCAAAGCCACGCCCAGGATCCATAAGCCACAGATGCCAAACCCAAGGTGGCTGCAGCAGGGACAGGAAAGAGGAGAGTAATGTGTGGATAGGCACCTGATTACCTGCCGGGCACTCCCTGTCTGCCCCCTCATTGGATCCTCACACCACCTTACGAAGAGGGTCTGCCCACTTTATAGACAGGCACTGGGGCTCAGGGAGAGTCCTCAGGGCAGAGGCAATTTCTTTCCCGCAGAGGAATTCTGGCCGGCCTCTTGCTCTTTTCTCTCCTCCTTCCAACCCAAGTTGGCTGACCCCACACCTGCCCAGCCGAGATCATCTCTCCCTGCCACCTGGGCAGCCTGGTGCGACGGCATGGTGATATTTGTGCACCGGATATGAGCAGAAGGACAATGTCCAGTGCCCCTGTTGTGCCCTCTCCTCCTCCCGGGGGCAGCAGGAGCTGGAACAGCATCTCAGGTCCAGTGGTGGAAGTCACACTGAGAGCTGCAGAGCCACAAGAGGGAAGGAGCCTGGGTTGCTGAGGCTGGGCCACTGTGCTGGAGGCCTGGATGGCACATCCCATCACCAAGGGTTAGGGACATGAACACTCAACCTAGGTCACACACCTGGCAACAGATTCGGCACAGCTGTCTCTGTGGTTCTGTATCAGGAGCCCGAGCAGGGCAACCTTGTTGGCCCCATGGAGGAGGCTGGACTGTATCCCAGGAGGATGGGGGCTACTGGACAGGAGGGCATTGAACAGGGCAGTGATTTGGTCCGACGTGTGTCTTTCAAAGCAACTGTGGCCGCTGTACCCAAGTGGATTGAAGGGGACGGTCGGGCCTCTGAAGAGTGAGAGACAGTGGTGCTTACAGCTGGGTGATGCCAGAGATGGAGAGAAGCAGAGAGATCCCAGACATGTTCTGGATACGGACACGACAGATGCAGAGGAGCGTGAGGAAGACCCCGGGGCTGAGCCCTAACCTTGGCTTGAGCAGCTGGGGCTGAGTTGGCGCCATGGACGTGGCAGCAGAGAACGCTAGTGGAAGGGCCAGCTGGGAGAGGCAGGTCAGCGCTCAGCTCGGGCGAGCTCAGTCCAAGATGCTGGGAGGTAACCAGGGGGCGATACCGAGTAGGCAGGTGGGTTTCAGAAGATGGTGTGGGGGTCTAGGGGGAACTCTCAGGCTATAGCTGGCAGTGAATACCGAGGGAGGCAATGGAGTCAGCTGAGAGGAAGAGTGCCACAGAGGCGTGTCTGGGCGGGCCTCTCACAGCGCCCACGCTTAGAGGTTGCTAGAAAGGGAGGGGGCCTCAAAAGAGCCTGTGGGGAGCAGCCAGAGAGGGAAAGGGAGGCCACATGAGTGTGGGAGCCAGAAGTCCCGAGAACAAGCCACCTCCTGTGTCAAGGCCGGAAGAAGAGGCCGCTGCATCCTCTTCAAGAGAGGCCACACCAGATCCGCTGAGAGTGCGGCCGCGGGGGAGGAGGGAGTCGGGGCCTGGCTGCAGAGGGTCTCGCAGACGGGGGGGACTCCGTGCACATCATCCCTTGGAGAGTTTTCCCCAAGACAGAATGGGGTGTGGAGAGCTGGCAGGAGGTTGGGGTCTGGGAGGGGGCATTGAGAGAGGAGGTGCAGGGACACGTGAGCGCCAGTGGAGCCCAAGGCTGCAGGCGGCTGGGGCCAACGCAGCTGGCCTTGTACAGGGCTTGGCTGATTTTCGGCCATCCTCCACTCTAGACCACTTTTTACTTCATATTTCTCTTAGATTCAATCCTAAATACTGCCACTTTTTAAACCTTGGCCTTTTTCTAGGCAATATTCTCAGTGAAATCAGATTTGCTAGGCTATTTTTTTTTTCTAATAAACGTGAAAACAAATATGTAACTATGCAAAAGGCCCATCCACGCACCTCAACGTGGCCTTGGGACCCACCAGGCCTACCTTACTTTGGGAACTCAGGAGGGAGGAGGGCGGCCAGCTCAGTCCCTGGTGTCAGGTGGCTGGGATGGCCTCCCGGCTCCATCCCTCACAGGCAGGTTACTGAAGGTCCCCAGGCCCCAGTCACTCATCTCCCTCCACAGCAGGCTTGGAGATGGAGGACAGCAATCCACAGACAGCCCTTGGCAGAGCCGGCAGCTGGCTGGCCTTGTGAGGTCTAGGCTCAACCAGGGTCGCCACCGTTACTGTTGCCTAAGATGCGGGAGAGCCGCGACCCCGGGGGTGGCCCCCACGGACAGTCACCGGACACCTGTGCTCTGCCAGCTCCACTCTGGCCAGGGTTGTGATATATTCAGCGAGGCTCTGGAATATATTACAAACCATGAACTGCAGAGCCTCCCATGCCAAACATGAGCATAGGCAGAACCAGAGTGTGGCCAGTCTACCCACCCCTGGGGAGATCCAAGAGTCTCAGAGGATCTAGCAGGGAGAGATGCTCCAAAGTGCAGACAGGCCCCGCCCTTCCGGGGGTGGGTGAGGGCTGTGGGTAAACAGCTTGGTACAGAGGCTGCCACCGGCACCCAGGAGAGGGTTCCAGCTTCCCCCGGGGCTGGGGACACACGTTGCTCCTGGGCTCTGTCTCCAAGTGAGAGGTTATATAACCATGGCCGTTGCAGCAGCCCCGCTGGCTGGGCCCTTGCTCCTCGCACGAGGGCTAGAAACAACCCTCCTGCCCCCTTTTCACCATTTTCTAATTTGGTCCTCTCTGAGCTACCAGGATCTGCAAATAAAACGTCACACTCCTTTTCTAAAGTGGCTTCCCGATTATCTCCTTTTACAGGTAGGAAACTGAGACAGAGAGAATCCCATGACCAAATTGTGGAGTAGGACCAAACTTTAAAGGACAATGAGTCCAATCTTCTCCCCATTTGACAGATGTGGAAACTGAGGCCCAGCAGGGCAGAGAACTAGATGCCATCACCCGGCAAGAAGAGGCCATGGCCTGTGTGGCTGCCAGAGGCTCAGGAAACTGTTCTCCTGGGACCTTGCTGTCCAGGCAATACCCCACTGCCATGCCACAGGGGCTGCTGGAGACCTCACTTCCCTCCCTCCTCTGTAAAGCGCCCCGCTCCTTGCACGGCAGACTGGCTGGGTGGTGGCTAACCGGGCAGAGCAGGAACCAGCTGAGCTCAGGTCAGAGGGCAGAGCTGGACTGGCCAGGCAATGTGTGTGATTCTACACTGGCTGAGCACTTCGCAAAGGGCACTGGATTCCAACTGACCGCAGGAGAGCCCAGGCCGGCCCCTCCTCCTCTACTCAGCACCAGGACCCAGCCAAGCCAGTGACCCAGAGGGGCTGGTCTTGTGCACAGATAAGAAGAGCCTGCGATTCGCAGGCTGGTCACCTGCCCCGGGACAAATTAGGCCCACAGGGCAAAGGTGAGCCCCTGCCCAGCCCTGCTCAAACGACTTCAAGTTCCAAACTCATCAGGTCCAAAGAGCAGACCCAAACATGCTTCTCTAAAAATGTGTTGAGAAAGAAGATTCTCTGTTCACACTGGCCCTCTGCCTGCTTCCACTTTGGGGTTCTGGGCAGACTTTTAGAAGCAAACTTCTCACCAATTACCAAGAGCAAAACAACTCCCAGAAGATCTGAGCCAGTGCCAGGCAGAGCAAGGAACAAACCCCTTTTGCAAAGAGTTTCCGCTCGGTCTCTGGAAATCCCAGGAGATGCCCCTCACATTGGCACCAGCTGCATCCACAGCCGACCAAGTCCCTCTCCACCCTGCCCCCGCCCACCCCAGCCCCTCGGCTGTCAGCAGCCAGCACCAGCTCCCCACGGACATGCAGGTCCAGCACCCCGCACTGAGCAGGCAGGGCAGCCACCCTGGGATGCAGTCGCCCCCCATCCCTCACAGTCACTGCAACTCTTGGGATTCTGGGCACCAGGGCCAGGGCTCCGCCCCACGCCATGCAAGGACGGCATGTATTCTGGGACACGGTCTTGGAGGAAGCCAGAGACTGACAAGGAGAGGAAGGCTCCAGAAGGCGAATCTTTCCTCATCTCCCATCACGCTGTTGCTGATCAATTAAAAGGAAGAACAGGAGGAACGCACTTCAGACGCGCTCTGCTTGTGGCTACGGCCAGGGAAGTGGGCCTCGCCGTGTCCCAGAATGATCCCAATACACTCAGAACGGGGCCTTTCTGGAGCAGATTGGAAAATCCCCCGGAGCGGGTGGGGGCCTTGCCAGCTGCTTGGGAAAATGTCTTTTCAAAGCTTAAGGCCGTCCTCTCCTCATTTCCCTCCCATTCAGGCTGTGAGCTGCGCAGCCCCGTGCCGCGGGAGGGAGGCAGGAGCCTCAGAGAGGAATCCAGCCTGTGCCCCTCACCTTTGCTCAAGGAGGCTCCACCCAGAGCTGGAGACAGTCCTGGCCAGAGACAGTGGCAATCTTGCAGGATAACAGAGGGCCGAGCACTGTGCTACAGGGACCAGAGGAGAGGTGCAAGATCCAGGAAGGCTTCCTGGAGGAGGTGGCTCCTAAGTGAGTAGGAGTAAGTCAGAAAATAAATGAGGGAAGGAAATCCCAGAGGGCAGGAGAAGAGGTGCAAAGGTCAACAGTGTGAGCAGAAGTGACTTGTGAGCAGGGCTGCGACACAGCATGTGTGGCAGTGAAGACAGAGTAGGCCGGCCCTAGCAGAGAGATGGCTGTAGGAAGAGTGGACAGGCAAACTTGGGGTGGGGCATCTGTGCCAGAGTGTGGGCTTTACCTGGAGAGCAGCGGGAGCCTTGGAGGGCTTCAAGTAGGAGGTGACACAGCCAGGGTTCATGTCTTGGAAAGGTTACTCTGGTAGCCACAGAGCACAGGGCAGAGTGGAGAGAGACAAGCCATGGGGGGGAGCCGGGAACATCCTTTCTGATTCACAGCTGAATATTCCCCACCCTCTCCACCTGGCCCCTTCACCAGCCTCACAGTCCCTGTGCTATGATTTTCCAACCTCTGAGCCTTCACATATGCTGTTCCTTCTGCCTTTCCTTGCTCTCTGACTGTAGGACAAATGCTCAGGGGTAGGCAGGATGGCCTCCTGGTTCACCTCCCTGTCCACCCCTCTTCTGGCAGCAGCCTGGCCATGCCCAGGTGTGACAACTCTCTGGTCGGGAGTCGAACTTCGACCTCCCTGCCAGGCTGGGAGCCCAAGAAGAGCAGGAATGTGCCTCTTCCCCCTGAATCCTGAGCCCTCAGGCAGAGTGAGGCATACGGGGAGTGGGGTCTCAAGAAAAGCTTGAAATGTTGGATGAAAGGGTGTCCCGGGAGGCCTGCATCTGAGGTCACTGTGAATCCACATGGCCTTGCCTCTAGCTCGCACCCAAACAGACCAGCCCATGGGGACGAGTTCAATTTGCCCATCCTGGGCAGGATGACAGAGACTGGCTGAGTTTCTATTAAACCATCTCCCTTTTCCCTATAGCCCAAAGCACCCTATGGCTGAGTGCCACCTGGTGCAATGCGCTCACCCCTTCAGCCTGACCCCTAACAATGACCCATAGGTCTGCTCTCACTCTCCCCCGCCTACCAGGGTGATGGAGACACCCAGTGGGGGCTCCAGGGCCCTAGGGGTGGTGGAGTGGAATTCCGTGGGAGCCACCCAGCGTCCCCATCTGGGAAAAGAATGTCCTCCCCCACCTCTGGGTGAGCTGAGTGGCAGCTCTCTGCTGCTGGCCCTCTCCAGAAGGTGACTCGGTTGAAGAGGGCTCCCTCACCCAAACCATGCCCCTTCCCAGCGGGGGCCAAAGCCAGTATCTGCCAGCAGGGGGGTCTCAAGGGCCCAGCCCTCCACCTTGGCCTGGGTCACTCTGGGTAGCCTTCCCAGCTGTAGAGCTCCCTGTGGGGTCATCTGAGGATCCCATAGAAACAGCACCATGGCCCGCCTTCACTCTCCCTCTGCCTGGCCCTGCCATGGGAATTGATGGCAGGTGGCCGTCAAGCCCATCACCACTTCGGAGTCTGCTTCCCGGGAAGCCCGGCCTGCGACGCATGGTGCCAGGAGTGGTCTAAGCATACAGCCATGGAAATGGGACTGGGGAGTTGATCACCCACCCCCTAGCTGGCTATGACCCCTATTGCTGGGTCCAGGTGGAGCACAGGAAGCTCTGGTGGGAGGAAGACCTGCAGTCACGGAAATGCTCACCAGGGCAGACGGGGCTGGTGTTTGGTGAAGGGGAGTGGGGGTGGTGAGATGCAGCCGGCATCTGGGGATACTTGGGGATCCGGGGAAACCGCAGCTGTAGGGAGAGGGGAATGGGATGTGGCTGTTGCACAGCTCAGTCAATGCTTGACTGGACGTGATTAACCAGCAAGGAGAGGCCACGTGTGGGGAAAGCCACCAGGCCCCCTTGGCAGGCCGCTGATCACAGGACTTAATCATACCAAAGGCCGAGTTTCCGCCCCAGGCAGTTCTGCTCTGCCAAGGTCAAGACCATGGTTGAGAACCATTAAGTCCCTGACACATGGGACAGTGACTTCTGAGTTGATGCAAATTCCCAGAATCCCCTGCACTCCTGGAGCCTACAAAAGTCGCCCACTTGTCCCTGCGAAGGGCAAACGTCACTGCTTGCAGAATTCTCCTCACTACAGGACAGCAGGCACCCCCTCAACACTCCCCTCCACCGACCCTCCTGGCCTGGAGGTCAGGGCGCAGCATAGCTCCTCCAGGATCACGGTGGAAAGGGGAGGGGACCGGACTGCAGAGGATTTGACACTTGGCCAGCACAGGACTGGATTCTGAGGTGCTGGCCACGGGAGTGGGACATAAAGTTGGATGAGGGAGTTTCTCGCTCTGGGAGCACTTTCCTAGGGTGTGGGATAGAACACCCTGGCGAGCAGCATGGGGGATGGTACAGACACACTGGCAGAATGGCACCGAGAAGCACGGAGAAAGTGGCAGCCCACACTAAGGGAGGTGTCGATGCCAGAATTGCTGTGGCAGATGGTGGGAGGATTGAGCAAAAGGTTCAGAGATGTGGGCGTGTTATCACGGGTACAACGCAGAAGGCCGAAACGTCCGCCGGACAGCTACTTTCCATGGGAGGACCTGGAAGATGCACCATTTACCAAAGTACCCAGGAAGGAACCAGCACCCCTGAGAAGCTCAGCAGCGGCTGTCCTGTATAAGCTGGGACTCACTGGGGAGATACCCTTTCAGCCAGGCTCACTGGCAGCAAAGAAGCTAAGAGGGTCCTGAAACAAGAGAGGGAAGAGGGCTGCGCTTCACCACTGAAGCCAGGGGAAACAACGACTGTAATGAGCAGCAAGGTCAGACTGGCAGCCGGGGGGCCATGCAAACAGTTAATCTAGCCAATAGAACATGGGCAAAATGGGTGGGCAGCCAATGAGAGTCAGGCACAGTCTGCACCATGAAAAGAAATCAAGAATGGGCCATCAGGATACTGAAGACAGTGGCCCCAATTAAAGGTCACAATTCTTGGCCCAATTTCTGATCCTGAGACAGTTTTTAGACCAGGATCCATTGACTGAAGGTGCAGCCAGTCCCCAGGAGGAAGGACCCTGGACCACCACACGTGTACGTGGTAGTAGCTCCCCGGATCTTCCCCGTATGAATCTAAGGCGACTTATCTGAGTATCTTTACACTGGGGAAGGGAGAATGCCCAACCATTTGGAGACTGTGGACACGGAGTTTAAA
Organism: Homo sapiens; assembly: GCF_000001405.40. Lineage (NCBI taxonomy): Eukaryota > Metazoa > Chordata > Mammalia > Primates > Hominidae > Homo > Homo sapiens. The sequence goes on from NC_000014.9 coordinate 101,510,887, forward strand.
GTGACTCTGACACCAGAGACTGAATGATCCTGTTAGAATGAGGCCTGTGAAGCCTACATAATAAGTTGGGTCCTGACCCAGGTGGGGTCCCCATGAGTCCCTTGGGTCTGTGGACCTACCCAGTAGTTACTTCCCTGCTTCTTACAACCCTCACCTTGGCCTTGTCTGAAACTATCTTCCCCCACCTGGGTCAAGAGAGTAAACTAAAAATAACATCACTAACAGGGGAATGGCACAAATGAACATCATCTTTAAAGACCTAAAGGATGCAAGGGTGGTAGTCCCAGCATATCTCCATTTAATTTTCTGGCCTGGCTCCAGAAAAATCTGAGGGATCTTGAACAATGGCAGTAGATTAATACAAACTCAACAATGTAGTTGCCCCAACTGCAGTTTCTGTGCCAGATGCAATTTGTTAGCAGATTCATATGGCTTTGGGTGCATGGTATAGGGCCATTGCATTCTTTTTGAAAGAGGCTAGAAGACAATTTGCATTGACCTGGAATGGACAATAGTATACATTTACAGTCTTGTGATGGGGCTGTGTTCTTGCTCCCATCTCTGCCATGTTATAGATAAAGGTAACCCATAGGTAAGCCATGGAGGTGAGCAGAGTGCAAGCTGAGGCTGAAGGGAACTTAGACAGTAGAGAAGGAAGATAATGAAGGTCACTTGCAGCCCTAAGGCCAGCTGCAGCAGAAGGGCTAGAGTTTGTCCATTTACCTTCCTCTTCTGTGTTCCTGTTAGGAAGAGAGGCCACCAGAATCCTGAAGAAGTGGTCCCAGAAGGCATGTGAAGAGGTGATTCTGAGCAGTCAGGGCCAGCCTGTCGTGAATGCTGGTAGCTAGAAGGGCTAGTGCTGCCAGTCCACCACCCTCAGCTCTCAGGCCTCTGGGACTGAGTTGGCTGAAGAAAGCTGCACATGGCCATGCCTTCTCGGGGGGCAGCCCACATCCAGTGACTGGTCAGTGTGACAGCATAAAGGCCACCCCCTTCGGCCATACTTAGAACCATTCTGAAGGGCTGTCCCAGCTCCCGAGACCCCCATGGGGTTGCGGAGGCCTTGGTGAGACTTCATTGCAGCTCAGCCTCCCCCTCTGCAACATCTGCTTCCTTCCTTTCCTTCCTGGCCCAGAAAAGCCACTGCCAGCCCCTCACAGACCCGTCGGGTAAGACGGCACCAGCCTCATGGTTCTCATCACCCCCCACCCCGGCCCAGGTCCACCCCATGCCCCACAACCCCCTAGCGGCTGGATTTTCTCCCCCTGACTCACTGAGGTGTAAAGTGAACTGCCTGAGCCGAGCTGGGCAGCTCCTTGGCCAATTTCAGTGGCGTGTGCTGCATAAACATTCCCGCCACTAATGAAGGCCTCTGAAGAGGCCTGCTCCCGGGGGACCCCCGGCTTCCTGCTCCTCGGGTGTGGTGTGGGAACAGGAACATCTCTCGGGCGTCCTCATTGGGGGGCAGCTGGAGTCCACGGCAGCGGAGCAGGCCGTGGCTGAGCAGGCCAGGCAGTGGGGGCAGGCCAGGAGGAGAGCCATCCCAGGCCTCAGGAGTGCCAAGCCCACCGCATCCGCTCAGCCTGGCCACGCTGAGCAGCTGCCGTCCACCAGGCCCTGCGATGGGTGCAGGAGTTACAGGTGAGGAAGCCCAGGCTCAGGCCAGGGACCACCCAAGGTTACAGAGTGGGGAAATAAAGGACCTGAGACTGGAACCCGGGCCTGGCTGCTGATGGTGTTCCCTCCCCTGCAGCTCAGTGTGGCCGACAGGCCCCAGGTGGAGGACGGGACCTTCTCCACACACCTTCCCGATGCCCAGGGAAACCTGGTCTTAGGCGTCTGGGGCACTGCTAGCTGTGTGTGTGCCAGCATGTGTGATGCTGGTAATGCAGATCCCACACCTGGGGGTCCTGCCTGGATTATCCTTCCAAGCCCATCTGGGATACTGGAGTCCCTGCCTCCAGGAAGAAGCACGAGAGTCCACGAGCTTTAAAGGAAGCAAGGGATGCTCACCTCTGCCCACAGCTGTTGCTCTGCTGGTAAAAGGCTGTGACCTGAGTTTCCGTCCTCTGCCTTGGTCACCCCACAGGGCAGATGGTGTTGGGACCTCAGCTGTGCCATACTCCTCCTGGGTGATTGCAAGTAAGGGACTCTGCCTCTGTGGGGCTCAGTTCTCACCCAGGAGAGCCACCAGGGCTGCAAGGCACTCAGGTACCTACAAACACCTGCTGGTCAGGCGTTTGCACGTTAGACTCCTCATCTCTTAGACGGCCCCCATGTGGCCCGAATCTTCTTCCAAACTGCGCCACCTTTGCTGAGAGTTGGATGGGATGCACCTGGGAAGGCATCTGGATTCATCACATGGAGCAGGGGACCCTTTCAATCAGAGACCACTTCCAGAAAGGTGCGGAAGCAGCCACTGAGTGCTCTCCCGCTACCCGCCCCCGTGGGAATCTGGCTTTAAGCCTGGATCACAGTGAGGAGGGCCTTTGATCTTGTCTGGGGCCAGAATGGACTAGAACGTCCACATGCAGGGGACCCACAGCAACCCTGCAGGATGCGCCTCTCCCGGGATCTCATTCTCCCCAGTGAAAGCCTCTGAGGTGCTTGGGGCCTCAGAATGCAAGAGGGGCCTGGGAAGTTGGAGGGGATTAGGATTTGGGGCCTTGAATACCAGTCTGTGGAGTCTGCGCTTCTCATCGCCACCCCACCCTGGGTCAGCCTGCAGGAGCAGGCACCACAACGCCAGCCCTGCAAAGAGAGCACCCACTGAGCTGTAGGCCGTGTGGGGCCCCCAAACCCAGTCCCAGAGGTGAAGGACAAAGTAAGGTGAGGTCAAGCATGTCCCATGCTGCTGCTGTCTCCCTAGAGGGCCACCTATCGCCCTGAGATGGGCTCCAACCCTTTTTGCATCCAAATACTGTTCCTTTGTGGAGTGACGGTACCAGTCAAGGGTAGCTGGCATTTTGTTTTTGTTTTCAATGCTCTTAACTTGGCAAAATACGAACTTGGCACCCTACGACAGGAACTAAAGTTGATTTTTGAAATTTTAATTGTTTGCGAAATCCACGGGCCTGGGACTTCGTCTGAATCATCTCATTTTGTTCCTACAACAGAACCCACAGGATGGGGCACAGGGTGCCCACATTGCAAGTGAGGAGATGATGGGAGGGAAGGGCCTGCCAAGGTCTCACACCATGGGGGACGGGGGTGCGGCTGGAGCTCCCCTCCCTCCCTGACTCGGCCCCACCCCACTGCTCCCTCCTGTCCTAGGACCAGCCCCCACCCTCCTCAGATGGAGGCCTCTCTGGTCCCATGCGGCCAGCAGCAGATGGAAGGACAGACATCCTGGCATTGGCCTCCAATGTGGATCAGCCTGCCCTGACTGAGGGCTCCCCTGCACCTCCCTTAGCATGTGGCTGCCACAGTGAGACCCTCAGCCCCATTCCTGTCTCCCCTGGCAGGTTGGAAAGCCAGCCCCCAGAACAGGCACTGCGCAGACTCAGCGCTCCTGGCCCTGCCAGCCCACGGGCCCCCTCCATGTCCAGGCTCCAGCCCACAGACACGGAGGCTTGGCCTGGGGTAGTGAGCCCTGGGTCCTGGGCTGCCCTACCTGGGCTATAGGCAGCCCCACTAACCTGAAATGGCCTGGACAGACTAAAGGGTCTAACTGCAGTTACTCAATGAGAATGAGGACAAGTTGTTTGCTGTGGCTATGTGCCAAGGGCTCCAACTGAGGTCTTGCCTCTCCTCGAGAGACATCTGGGAAGGGAGAAAGCGTGTCTGCACCAGGCCCCTCAGGGGCAGCCCCATCCTCACCACTCCATGCTCTTCAGGGCAAGGGCGAGCTCACACTGGCCAACCTGCTCCCTCCAAGCTTTTCCAGTAAACACCAGACTCCACAGACTGGTATTCAAGACCCCAAATGCTACCCCCCTCCAACTTCCCAGGCCCCTCTTGCATTCTGAGGCCCAGCCAGATGCCACCATCCCCTTCACTCATGCTGTCCCCTGTGACCGGAGTGCCCCGCCTCCCCTCCCCCTCACTTACTGGGTCTGTTCACCCCGCCCGGTCCCAGAGTCAGCCCAGCAGCACTCCCACCTCCCTGGTGCCTCTCTGGTGCCCCCTCTGGAAGGTCTCTTCAAGCTCTGAATCATGGTGGCACCTTCTCAGAGGCTCCATGTTTTCCTCTGTAAAGCAGGCACGGCAGTAGTGCCTAGCTTGGAAGGCTGTTGTGCGGGCCAAATAGGCAAGACAGTAGATGTCAATCTCAGTGACTCATGCTTATTAGCTGCTCAGTAAATGGGGGGTTGATTGGGAACATGATCACTGCTCGTCCCCCTTGGCTGTGGGAGGTGCTCCCTTCTCCACCCACTCCGCAAGTGCTGGCCTTTCCTGGAGCTCTCTCTGTATCCACTGGCCTTCTTCCTCTGCCACTCTCCCTGAGCAATCTCACCCTTTTCATGGCCTTAGCCACCATCCATGTCTGTCCTCAGCAGCCTCTCTCCTGGGCTCTACAGTGGCGTGTCCAGCTGCATTCAGACACGTTCACCTGGATGACCCTTAAGGGCCTCGAGTCAGCATTTCCAACACAGACACGCTATCCATCCCTTCTGACCTGGCAGTCTCTGCTAGTTAGGTGCTACAATATTGTTTCCAACACCACTCTTGATACCAAATCCTGTATTCTTTAGGAATGCCTTTGGCTACAAATAACAGAAGTCTCAGTGAATAACGAGTGGCTTCAGCAGAGTGGTTTGTTTTTCTGGCATAACAAGGAGCCTGTGGGTCGGTGCTTGCTGGCATGGGTCTCCCGACCTGAGGCCGGGCCCTATTGGCTTCTTCTGGCCTTAGCTTCATTGTTTCAAGATGGCTGCCCCCGCTCCAAACATTCAAACAGTGTTCAAAGGCAGGAAGTAGGAAGAGGGGCGGGAAGGGCACTCCTCTTCACATAGCTTCTGTCTTGAGGGAAGACAAGTCTTCCCTAGAAGCCCCCAGTGAATGTCCCCATAGATCTCATCAGCCATAACTGGCTTACATGGCCACTCCTAGCTGCAAGGGAGTCTAGGAAGGCAGCATCCACAGTGGTGATCCGCACTGCCCTGTCACTCTTGCCAGAGACCTGTACCCTCCCCAGCCCCACCTGAACAGCCAGCACCCCCACTGCACTCTGCCTTCGCCCCCTCCTCAGCATCACTGATGCAGAGTTCCCCCCCCGCCACCCTTTTCTGACACACTCTGGGTCCCCTTCAGCTCTCTCCTGGCCCCCAGTCCACCTGCTCCAGTCCATGAAACAAGAAAAGTGATATTTTTCAAATCCAAACCTTTCCACAACCTCTGGCTTCTCTGGGAAAAGTTCAAGCTCCTTCATCTGTCTTCCAAGTCCTCCTGAATGGGCCCTGCTTATCCTTCCACCCTCACCTCCCACCATTCACCAATAACACCCAGACTTAGTATAGATCCCCCTTAAGCCAACCCTAGTCAGGGAATGGAGTGCTTGTGGTTTTGGTGGGCAGGGACCCCAGGAAGGGAGCAGGAAAGTTAGCCGGGCAGGAAGGAGCTAAGAAGAGCGTGCTGAAAAGCACCTCACCAGGTGGGGAACCCAAGCTGATCCCCGGTGCAGAACGCTCATGAGGGGCAAGGGAGCTGAGTACTTACTCTCCTCTCTCAAAGATCACTGGCCGACGGCTGCTTCTTGAGGGGCAGGGTGGGAGTGAATTCTCTGGTTCCTGTGACTTTCCAGACTGACTGCTCCCTCGGGCAAAGGGTGCAGACTCTTGCAGCAGGAGCGTGGGAGAGCTGGCCAGCCCACACCCCATGTGAGGCCAAAGGAGCACAACGGGCATGGGACAGCAGGTTCCCTCCCAGGGTACCCACCTCCTCCAGCATCCCCATGCTGCTGTTTGAGGCCCCACACCCCATCCAGTCTCTACCTGCCCCGCCAGGATGTTCCCCTCCCCGTCGGCCCCACCCACCTTCAACCCAGCCCAACCGAGCCTCACTCCTTCTCTGGGACCGAGAACTCACTTCTTCCCCCGGTGGAACCCCATTCCTGCCCAACCGCAGCCCAGTCCTGCCTTGAGCCCTGGGTCAGTCTTCAACCCCTGCCCCTGCTGCGGCTCTGGGCCTAGGGACTTTCCCCAGCTCCCTGGAAGGGGAAACAGAAGAAGGGAGGGAAATGGAGACCAGAAAACACTGCCCCTCCCAGGTGCTGGCTCCAGCAGGCAGAAGAGCAGAGACTTGAGGGTCACCCACTCCACTGCTGGGAGTTGGGGAGGGGAACTGGAGACTGTGGCACTGAGGAGGGGGAGGACAACTTGGCCAGGACAGACAGAAAGCCCAGCACCTCACTGCAGCGTAGGAGACGGCTGACCCAACAAGGAAGGAGCAAGGTCTCTGGAGCCACCAAGGCTGGGCTCAAACCCCTTCACCTTGCTGGGTCTCAGCCTCCTCGTTAGAATGGGTACAATCACCCCACATCATAGGCTGGCTGTGAGGAAGGCACAAACTCAGAAGGCCCAGGCAATGGCCAGCAAGCCAGGCTCAGCCCAGACCTTGGAGGGCCAAGAGACAGGCTGCCCCAGCCTTCCTGACACAGGTCCCCAAACAGGCTGGCCCACCCTGGCTGCATGCCTTGCTTCCAAATTGGAGCTCCCGTTCAGTGTGCAAGGCCAGGTCCAAATGTTGTCTGACTGGGGCTCCAGGCAGAAAGGGTTGCTTCCTGCTCAGGCCTCCTCTCTTCAGTTGTCCCGGGGGGTGCCGGGGTCCATATCCTCACCAGTCCACCCCCAAGACTGGCAGCTCCACCAGGCAAGCCTGCATCCCCACTCTCCCCCTGGGGCCCAGCACAGAGAGTGCTTTCTCTGCCAGTGTTCCAGCGGGGTCGGGTCCTCGGGCTCAGCAGCCCAGCCCACGTGTGAGTTCCGTCTCAGGGCTTCTCCTGCACAGACAGCCCCACCCCAACCCCAAAGGGCAGGACAGGGCTGAGGGCGTCCCAGATTCTGGGAGTTCAGGGACCACGGGCCCAGGGATCTGTCCCCTCGTGGGCCAGGGCTTCCAGGTGTGTCCTTTGGGCACATTCCAAGCCTGCTTCCCCAGATTCCCTCGGAATCCAAGCGACGGGAAGACCCTGAGAGGCCACCTGAAGGTGGGAAGGTGGAGGCACCAAGAGGGCAGGGAAGTGTCAGACGAGGCACGAAGAGGCCACACTCGGGCTGGAAGCTTCTCCCTCCAGCCCAGGAGCTCCCTCCTTCCCGCCTTCTCAGCCGGTGCCCTCGCTGAAGCAGAACCAGCCTTTCAAAGCTTCCTGGGCTGCAGGAAGGAGCCTGGGGCCTGGGGCCAAGGCCTGCAGCCATTCTCCTTCATTGAGCCTCAGTTTCTCCTTCAGGAAGTGGCCATCGGGGGCTCCTGGGAGACCTCCAAGCTTTAGCAGTACACACTGGGAGGGAGGTCGGTTAGAAAGGGCATGTGTGGCCTGGGGTGCCCTATGATGGAGAGGAGACCCTTCCCCAACTCTGTGTGTCCCAGGCCCATCTAACTGGCCCGTGGCCTCTGGGTGACGGAAGGCCAGTGGGGACAGGCGCAAGCACAGTGCAATGGAAGCAAGTTCCCAGGCCTCCTCCCCACTCCGAGGCCTCTTCCCCTGTGCCCATCCCTATCCCCTGGGGTTCAAGGGCTGATGGGGAAGGTGACTGAGGGCTGGAGAAGCTGCAAAGCCCAACCTCTTCTGACCTCTGCAGCCGGGTGGCGCCCGCGTATGGGCACGGGAAGGCCGCCAGTCTCACCAGCTGTGCCCTGGGGTGTGGGCCGCTGTACACCCGGCCCATGAGGCGGTCCGTGGGAGCAGCTACTTGGGCAGAGGTGGGGCTGGGAAAGCCCCAGGCTGTAGGCTGGGTTGGTGACAGGCGGCCCAGTGCCCAGGCCGAGGACAGGACACTGTGTTTTGATTATTTCCAGTTTCCTGACCCCCAAGTAGTGATTTAATGTTCCTGTTTACTCCGACGGTTAGAACAGGAGGCGGGACCACTAAGCCGGCCTCCCCTGGCGTCACCCCCAAGACTGCCAGTAGGAGTTTTGTGGCCAGAGGGAGCAGAGGATCCCAGGGGGTAGGCACGAGGCCTCTGCGTACATCAGGAACTCTTGCGATTGACTCAAAACTGAGCTTTGCATACAGCAGGTCCCGGGGAAGCATTGCAGATTGCAGGGTATGGCTGCCCACAGGAAGTGAGGCTGGGTGACCCGCCCCAGCAGGCCCGAGGGGCTCCCCCACTGTGGGGATCCAGGGCCACAGAGCTCTCCTGGCCTGGTTAAGGATGGCTTCACCCTGGACCTCCCTGACATTATCCAGGGCTTGGACTTCAGCCGGGCCCATCTCCCCCATGGCATCTGAGTGTCTGGAAGGCGCTGCTAGGCAGGCAGGGCCAGCAGCCCGTGGCTGGCTGGGAGGGACTCCAGAAGTCACAAGCCCAGCCCCTAGCTTCTGAAATCTTGGCACATGGGGCCGGCTCTGAAAACCACTGGAAATACAGTTTTTCATGGCATCCTCTGAGCATGCATCTACATACAGCAAGCAAAGGGTGTTCATGCGGGAAATGATGACCCATGGGTTTTTTTTTTAAACCAACATGAGTTTGTATCATTTGTTAGCAGAATATTAAAATGTCAATAGGTTTCAGCATAGGCATGTCCTACCCCACAAGGTCTATGCCTTTATTCAGAAAGCATCCACCTAGCAGGCACTGGGACCACGCAGACCCGTAAGAGGAAGGAGGGCGGCGAGGGAGGCGCGGAGGAAGGGCCTGGCTGGGAAAGCCCCTCTTGGAGAACCCCTGAGGGAGCTGCAAGGTGAGCACCCCAACCTCTGCCTTCAGCCCTGCCAGGTAGTGGGGCCAGAACAATCGCCGGCCCAGGCAGAAGTGAGGGGGCGAGGACGGTGCCTGCGTCTAGTGCTGCCACGACTCCCTCTTCCCCTCTGTCCACTACCGGGGTGACAGCGAGGTCATGGAAGGCAGATGTGGGGAGCCAAGAATCCCAACAGCATCGGGTCCCCTTGAGGATGACAGGGACCAACTTTTCTTTGCCATTTCCAGTCTTCAGTTGGCCTTGGACAGAGCCCAAGATCTCATGAGGAAGGAGCAGAGAGGCCTTTTGGTGTTGCTGCAAACATCATGGGGCCCAGAAAAAGACGTCACTGAGATCCTGGGACGGCAGCACTGGAAGGGCCTAGGACATCACAACCCCACCCTGCTCCATCTTGACCTCAGTTTCCCCATCACTGGAACCAAACATGAGCTCAGGCTCATGTCCCCGCAAGTCCCCAGTCACCCACCGTAACTGAGTGGGATGGAGACGGAGGGGTTCGTTTTGGGGGGCACCTTGAGAGGCCAGACATGACCAGGCCCTTCACGTACAGCGGGGCTGTTCCCCAACCTCCCACCTGGGACAGAGGCTGGTGGTGATGCCCCAGTTTGGCCTTCTTCACACCAGGAGTCACACAGATCTGGTGTCCAGCCCCTGCCCCATCACTTACAGCTGTGCGGCTTTGTGTAAGCACCTTGACCTCTCTGAGCCCGAGGCCACTGATGCGTGGAATGGGAATAAGTCATCACTAAGTGGACTTCAGAGTCTGCAGCGGCGCCCTAGATCACAGCGGCTCTGAGAAGGACTCAGAAACTGTGAAGGACGTGCACCTGGGAGGAATCCCAGCTACCAGGGCCGGGCTCGCCTTCCCTGAGCACGCAGTGATGTGAGGCGGGGGCTGGGGGTGCAGACCCAGCCTGGAAGCCCAGTCCTGCCGTTCGTTCGTCAGGTGTCTGCTCCTCTGAGTGCTCAGGGTGGGGCTAGAATGATACTGGAGACCAGCGCCAGGCCTGTGCCCCGCACACAGCAGGCGCTCGGGAAGTGCTCAACCAGAGCAGGCGCACGAGCAGAGCGGGCTTCAAGAAGCAGCCCAAACGCTACGCCCTGGAAACCTCCAGGCCCAAGAGGTCAGACCTGCAGAACCCAGGGAACCACGCAGCCCTAGCCGCAGCCCCACCTCAGGGTGACCCCTGGGCTGCCATTATGCCTGGAAACACTTGGACGGGTACCTAGCGGGGAGCTGTGGAGCTGTTTGTGGAAAGAAGTGAAACAATGGAAGCCAGCTCATTCTGAGCTGAGTCCCTTCTTCCAGAGTGGTGATTTAGAAGGAAAAAAACATTGCCCAAATCACAGCGGCAAAATCCTGCAATTGCCAGAGAAACAGAGGTCGGTGGCCAAGAAGGATTGCAACACAATGGCCTGGGAAGACGTTCACTCGTGCCAAGCCCTGAAGGACCGAAGCTCAGGGCACCTTCCTGGCTGCCTGGCCTGGCCCCGGGGCCTGGAACCTGGACCCCTCACCCTGGATGTTCAAGTTCTACCCCCAGGGATGGACAGCGTGCGACTAGGGTGGCCACAGGACTCCACAGTGTGCAAAGGGGTGCCCCGGGAGACTCCCGGAGCCTTTGAGCGTGGGGGTGGGGATGAGGACATCTAGAATCAGGAGGTGGGGGAGGGGCTCGGACAGGTTTCAGGGATGGCTAGGGAGCCAGCTGTCTGCCTCCACATTGGCACCAGCGGTCCAGAGCTGTGGGCAGGAAGCCTGGAGGAACTGAGAGGGGCGGGGGGCCCTGTTAGGAGACACGGGAGAAGGGAGGGAGCCGGGCATTGCATTCCTGGAAAGGGGCCCTTGGTCCATACCCCCCCAGACCCCCATGGCCCCAGCATTGTAGCCACAGCTCAGCCAGCCACCCCCGCCAGCCCTCCCACGGCAGGCCTTCCTGGCCATCCCCTGAACCGCGTGGGCCCGTGCTGCCAGGCTGCCCGGACTGGCCAGCTGAGCTAGGGATCATTTCCTGGACCCATTAATCACTGGATCGGGTTCCATGTCGGCAACAATAGCTCAACCCCAGGCCAGTTGGCCTCCGAGTCTGTCGACCCCCGCTCTGATGCCCCAGCTCTCCAGGTCTTGATCAAGGCGGTGGGGTTAAAAGTGGCCATCGTGACTGTGTGCTGCCCACTTACTGTGTGCAGGGCCTGGGAGATCCCAGAAGAGAATGAGGCCAGTGCCCAGTGAGGACCCGGGGGCTCATGTGGGACAGGGAGCTAGCAGGGATGTCTAACACACAGCAGCACCCACAGCTCGCAGGAGGGGCTGATACTCACCAACCCCACTCTGCCGTTACCTCCCTCCCCAAAACCCACATGTCTGATGCCCATGGCCCTCCACCAATAAAATACCGGAAAGGGAAAGGAAGGAAGAGGCTGCAAGTTCATCTGATGTCCAGACACTGGGTGTGGCAAGTTTCCCAGCAAGTGAGCTCACAGTTGGGAGTGGAAGCCCCCATCCTTCGGACCAAGGTCTTGAGAGCTGCAGCCTCAGGTGCCAGCCACGGCCATCACCCCTGCAGTCCACAGCTGCTGCCAGACAGTCTGAACTCCTGAGCGGAGTCTTGAGTCTCCGGGTGGGAGCAGAGCTGTTCTGGATGGCCAGTCTCTTCTAAGCAGGGTCTACAGAATCGTCCGTGGTGGGCAGTAGCCACTGTGGCAGGGCCTCCAGAGTGCAAGTGCTCAGATTTGTCCAGAAGCCCTGCCGGCCTCCAGAATCCTCAGGTGTGGAGGACATGGCATCTGCAGGCCTCGAAGGAGAGCAGGATGGAAGGGCAGGGGTTCCACTTCAGGTGTAAAGCACAGCCCAGGCAAAGCCAGGAGAAGGAGCTGTGCCCAGTTGAGAACCGGTGTTGTGGGCACACAGAGAGGGCTGCGGCTCGTGACAATGTGAGCAGTGGAGTCTGGGGCAGGGTCCCAGCGCCGTGGGCCCAGGAAGATCCCAGGAATGCTTGCACTATCCCGGAAGTGTTCCTTTGGGGCAGTGTGGGGTGGCAGGGCCTTCCTCCTAACAGGGCTGCCACCAGATATGTGCATGTCAGGCCTCAGTGCCCTTGTACTTGGGCACACGGAAGCCCAGAGAGACAAAGCATTTCCCCAAGGCCACCCAGGGCCCTCGCCACAGAACTGGTCCCCACATGTTCTCCCAGATAGACGCTGCAGCCATCTGACCTGGCCATCTTGCTCAGCTTGTCTGAGGGGCAGGATCTCACAGGCAACAACCACACAGTTAGCGACTAAGGCAGTCACCAGCCCCTGTGATGCCTCTGTGATACTTAGAGAAAGGCACCTCCCCCAGGAGGAGGTAGCCCCCCTGGGGCCCACAGGAATGTGGGGATGGGCTGCATCCAGTGCCCTCACCCCTGGCTCAGCACACCCCCACAGTAAGAATCCTGCCACGGTGGCGGCTGTATTTTAATGCTTACCATGCAGCAAGGCCTTGACGGTGCTTCCACAGGGCCCACCTGTGTACTGGATTCTGCTTGTTCAGGAGTGATTATATGAGCAAAGTTTGTCTCCCTGTAAGCAATGTGCAGGAGGATCCGGTTGTGTTTTGCTCAGCTGTGTATCCCAGCAACAAGTGTGCCCAGTAACAAACACTCCACAAACACCTATAGAACGAAGGGTCTCTTTTAGCCCTAATCAACCCCATTGTACAAATGAGGTTGGAGAGTTGACATGACTTGCCCCATTCATGCAGCTGCAAGTGGGGGGGCTGGAACTCCCAAAACCACCTCTTCCAGACCCACCTGAGATCCCTCTGCTGACGGGGGCAGCCTCCCAGCCAGCAAGAAAGAGAGCCCTGTTCTACCGTTGACTTGTGATGTCCCTACTCATCCCTGAGCCTCAGTTTCCCCTTCCATAATACAAGATGTTTCAGCCCAGTCATGTCCAATATCTTTTCCTGAGACTCTGCACTCTACAGTTTGAAACCGGAATACTAAACCTACAGCATGCATGCCCTAGCTTGTACCCTCCGTACTCATGGCAGACATCATCAATCAATCACCAATCAATCTTTCTCACTAAGCTCATATTAAACAACAGAATCCTTCTCCACATAGTGTACAGGGCAACCATTGGATCAAAAATGACACATAAGATAAAACCTCTCAGCTGGCCAACATGGTGAAACCCCATCTCTACTAAAAATACAAAAATTAGCCAGGCGTGGTGGTGCATGCCTGTAATCCCAGCTACTCAGGAGGCTGAGACAGGAGAATCACTTGAACCTGGGAGGTGGAGGTTGCAGTGAACTGAGATCGTGCCACTGCACGCCAGCCTGGGCAACAGAGCAAGACTGTCTCAAAAAAAAAAAAAAAAAAAAAAAAGATAAAACCTCTCTACCATCTCTGGCCTTCCCAAGGGAAGTCTCGGTGAATGGTGACTTCTGACTCCTGCTGGCAAGGAGCCCCAGGCTACACTGCATCCATGCCTGTCTCCCCATCAGACCCAGAGCCCCATGACCCAGCCACAAGACCCAGGCCCTGCATGCACCCTCAGAAAAGCTTGCCAAATTGTTGTCTCTGATGATTCCTTATTTCTGAGTGTGTTTAATGCTAACACCTCCTTAAGTATGAACTCAGATTTCATCTCGTCTGGAAATCCCCCTAAGATTTCCTCTCCTGTGTGAGTTAGGGATCCCTGTTGTGCCTCTTCTAACAGTCCTGCTCTCCTTCAGCTGATCAACAAACACACAGTGTTGTATTTAGGTCGGTGCAAAAATCATTGCGGTTTTTGCCATTAATTTTTTTTTTTTTTTTTTTTTTTTTTTTTTTTTGAGACGGAGTCTCGCTCTGTCGCCCAGGCCGGACTGCGGACTGCAGTGGCGCAATCTCGGCTCACTGCAAGCTCCGCTTCCCGGGTTCACGCCATTCTCCTGCCTCAGCCTCCCGAGTAGCTGGGACTACAGGCGCCCGCCACCGCGCCCGGCTAATTTTTTTTTTGTATTTTTAGTAGAGACGGGGTTTCACCTTGTTAGCCAGGATGGTCTCGATCTCCTGACCTCATGATCCACCCGCCTCGGCCTCCCAAAGTGCTGGGATTACAGGCGTGAGCCACCGCGCCCGGCCTTTGCCATTACTTTCAACGGCAAAAACCGCAATGAATTTTGCACCGACCTAAGTGTTTGAGTCTGTGAAGACACTGCGACCGTTCTCCAAGCCCAAAACCCAGGCTAGAGGAAGGTGAGTGAGCCTGCAGTGAGTGACGGGGCCGACTCACCTGCAAGCATGCATGGCTCATTCATTTATTCATTGACCAGGTGCGTGTTCCTGGGACACACAGGGATTCCACGCAGGCACCATCCTTGACCTCTGGAACTTACACGTTGGTGAGGAAGAGACTATTTAAGAAACAGTTATACATATAATTAAGTGGCCATAAGTATGAGACTGTTTAAGAAGGGGACTGCGAAGGGGTGGCTCCCTGAGGCTCTGATGTGTGGTCAGAGCCCACCTTCTTTCATCGGTCTTCTCAACCACCACTTTGCAGAGGCCCCAAGAGGGGAGCATGCCCAAGGGCCCCCAGCCGGGAAAGAGAGGCAGATGCGGGTACCCAGCCCCCAGCTTCTCTCTGCGGTCAGACCCCACACTCCCCCTCAAGGAGAAGCATCCGGCACCAAGCTGGGCTCCTCTGGGTCTGCCTCCAGCTGAGCTGGGGACCAGGAAGCCATCCCCTGGGAAACAAGGTGCCCTGTGGGTGGGAGTCAGCCCCAGGCTGCCGGTTCTGGTGGCAGGGCTGATTCCTTGTGCAAGGGTGACTTCAGCTCCATGAAGAGGGTGGGCAGGAGCTGGCGGGGGCAGGGGAGAGTCCCCACTCCAGCCACACCTCGCCAGCACAAAAAGGTTGGCAGAGGAGTCTCCCCCGGGCCCCTTCCACCAGTGCCACTGGGTTCGTGCTGCCGTTGCGGTGCAGGGAGGCGCAGCGAGCAGGTCTGACAGCTCCCCCACCCACCCCCCTGCCAAATTGTACTTAATTATAATGATAAATGATGGCAGGCATCCACGACCACATCGCAGAACATGACAAACACTCCACGTCGCCGAGCCAACAAGCCCCGCTCCCCCCACCGCCGTGTTTCTGAACAGGAGGCTGAGAGGGGGTTATCTGAGGCCACGGCTGGCTCCAACGGGGCCTGGCCCAGTCTGGACGCTGCCTGCCGGCTCAGGGTGGGCACTGCTGGGTAGCTGAGGGCCTGAACCCTCGCCCACCCCGTTGTCCCCGAGCATCACCTGCTCCTCCTAGCAAAGCTTGCCTCTGCGCATGAAAAAACAGCCCACCGCCCTCGGGGAGGAGCTGAGCGAACACACTCAGCAGCCACTTTCTGGAGCCACACTGCCCACACAGGCGTCACCAAGGGGACCCTGAAAGGCTCTGGGGAGGCCACAGAGAGCACCCAGGGTGGGCGAGGCCTAGGAGCTCCTCTCCCTGACCGCAGCAAGTCTTCCTCACTCCACAGGGGTCGTGAGCATTCCTGGTACTGCTGGATCGAGAAAGGCATTTATCTCCCCTGGGAGAAGTCCCTGATGTGGATTCCAGCTCTACGAGGTGGAGGAGGGAAGGGGCCTATGCCTTTCCTCCTGATCATTGCCGCAGGCAGGGCTCCGGGACAGCGTGCCGGGGTCCTGGTCCCACCATGTGGCTTTAACATGACTGACCGCCCAGTGCTCTGTGCGGGCGTGCGGCCTCATCCCCACCACTCCATCTGCGTGGTGAGCCTTGCAGCGTCTGAGAGACAATAATAATATGGCAGCTGCCGCGGAGGTGGCCCTTCAGCGGAGATGTGATGTGTCAGGCGGCGAACCAGCAGAGGAAGGGTGACCATGCAGATGGAGCCTGTGTTTAAGGGCTCAGGGTCAAAGACGGCCTCAAACACACACGGGCAGAAATCACCCGAGAGGGGAGGCTGAGTGGCAAGGGGCTGAAGAGGGGGCTTGCCAGGGAGGGGAGTGAGCCCAGGCAGGCCCCATGGGTGGCAGGTGGATGGCAGGAAGGAGCTGCCTCCATGCTGGGGAGGGACAAGAACCTGGCCTATGGAGATGGGAGCAGAGATGGCAGGTGGGGCCAGTGGAGGGCAGTCACAGGACTTGGGGACAGAGGGAGGTATAGCGGGAGGAGAAAGATCTGATTTGCACAACCAGGAGGATAGTGGTTCCACCCGAGAGATGGGGGTGGCCCAGAGAAGCCAGTCAGCAGGGTGTTTGGGCTTCCCAACCCCCGCCACCAGATATCTCAGCACAGGCACCCAAGGGGCAGCTGGGGACACGGGGCAGCCTGGCCTCAGCAGGGAGGCCTTGGAGCCAGCAGCATTCAGCACCTATCCATGTTCAAGTGTGGGCAAGGTGGCCCAGGCAAGGTGAAGGCAGCGAAGACCCAGAGGCCCCTGGGCCCAGCCCCTACAGGTCAGGAATGAACACCCCGAACAGAACCCCGCGCTCTCTGGAGTTCTGGGCTCAGGATGGGCCTGCCAGGGAGAAAGGAAACCAGAGCGTGAGGTCCCAGGCACCCGGAGAAGAGAAGGTTTCAGGAGGAGAGGTGTAGATAACCATACTGAAGGCCACTGAGAGGCCTGAGAAGGGACCCCTGGGTGGCAGGACAGAGGAGCCATGCCAGTCAGGGCCCATAGGAGACATTGGCCCACACAAATCAGGTGACATCAGGAACGCCTAGTAAAGAGGAGGGTCAGGAAGGTGTAAGGAGGGTGAGGGCAATGCAGGGCCTGCTTGTCTTCCAGGGTAGTGACAGCAGGCACAGCTCCTCCCCACCTAGGTAAAGAAGGATGAGGGGAGGGACAGTTACTGGAGGCTGGAACCCAAGGGTGGAATTGGGTGGAGAGGACCCCAGGAGGGTAGGTCCTTTGTTCAGGGGAGCAGCCAGCTCACAACACTCGGGCGGGGGGTGGGGGTGCTGGAGAATCAGTACCCCAACTCACTCTCTACCCTCAGTGTCTGGGCAAACCCAAGCGGAAGCCAGTGGGCCCGAGTGCCCTGCACCACCACGGGGCGACTGGGACCCCCTCAGGACACGGAACAGGTAGCAGGCCGTGTTCTTGGAGCGGTTCCCAGGGGGCACAGCAGCCATGGGCAGAAGCCTGCTGCAGGGAGGAACCCTGAGTGGAAGACCTCGAATGTAGATTCTTCCACAAAGAGGAGGAAGGAGCTAGTAGGAGCTGGGGAGGCGGAGAGTTGAGGGCAGGTTTTGCTTTTGTTTTCTAAGTGCCTGGAGAGCATGGATTCAGGAGCAGAGAGCAGGGACACAGTTGATTCAGAGAAGACGTGGGAGTTGGTGGAACTGACAGCGTGATGAGAGGGAGACGGATCGGGTGGGTCTGAACCCAGCGACCAGGCCACAGGGAGGGCCCAGGTGGGTGTGGTGGTTTGGCGGCAGGTGTGGCAGGGATGGTCTGCATCAGAGGGGAGTTTGCGCCCGCCGGCCCTGCCACCTAGCTCTGTGTACAGGAGGCTCAGGGCTTTCCCAGGGTGGGGTCCTGCCAGGTGGGAGTGGCAGTGAGAGAGCTGAGGACTGGCTCAGCGGGACCCGTCCAGAGGGACTTGACATGGCAGGGCTGGGTGGGAGGGAAACTCAGAGAAGGTAAGGGGGGACGGGGGGCTGAGGTGGCAAGAACCAGGTACAGGGCGTCCTGAGTTGGGGGTTGGGGTATGGCCAGGGGAATGTTGGGGGACCCAGGCTTTCAGAAGCAGAGCACGCTGGTGTTGATGGAGTGTGGTGTGTCATGAGAGGGATGGGGAGGCACACGGGAGGGCTGTGGGAGCCGCGGGGCCTAGGACTGAGAGGCCAGAGTGGTGACTGAGGCACCCACAGGGATGTGGAGACTTGGGGGACAGCCAATGCAGGGTGAGAAGGAAGACTGAGGCAGGGTGGGGGCAGGCTGTGGCTGGCAGAAGGGTGGTCACGAAGCCCCAGGGGAGAGGAAGGCAGGGGTGTGGGGGCTGGAGCCACAGGAAGGTGACCTGGGGAAGGAGGAAGAGGGGTGGGCCTCCCCAGAGGGGCCGGGAAGACGGTGTTGACTTGCAAGGGGGGATGGGGGGGCACATCCAGGCTCCCTGGGCATCCTCAGCCCACTGCACAGATGGGGAGACTGAGGCTCACAGAGGCAGAAGACGAGTGTCCACCCCCAAGGCCTAGACCTGCAGAACCCAGAAATGCCTCTCTGAGACCCCACTTCACACACAAGTCCCCCACTAGATTGTTTCTGCTCTTGTTGGTGGGGGAGGGAGAGGAACACTGGGGCAGGGGGCCAACCAAGGGCCTTTGGAAAGCCCTGCCTGCAGGACCCGGGGGTGGGGAGCATGGCAGGGGGCAAGCCCAGGCCTCGTGGGGGCAGAGAGGGGGGTGTGTCTGTGTGGAGGACAGAGCATGCTGGCTGGGCAGGTGATTGTGAACGCAGGGGTGCCCGGTGTCTTTTGGGAGGAGGTTGCAATTGTGTCTCCAGGCAGTGTGGGCAGCGGGAGGGGAGATGTGGGGGCACGTGGGGTCAGCTGCTGTGAGGGCTCTCTGCAGAGGGCATGGAGGGCCCAGGGTGGCCAGGGGCGCGGGGTGATCTGGGGTGCATCGGCAGCATGCACACACGTGAGCCTGCGTGTGGGAGGAGGGAGGATGCGGGTGGGTGGGAAGTAATTAGCTGGAGCCTGGTCTCCCTGTAGAGCCTGGACGCCAGCCCATGTCTGGCAGCCTCATCTCTGCCTGCACCGCCCCCCACCCCTCAGTCTTACTGTGGCTCCCCCATCTGCCCCAGAGCCCCTGGCAGCCCACCGGGGACAGTCAGGCAGTCCTCACTAGGGTCTTCCCATCACTGCCAGCTGGCATGGGGCAGGGGTCAGCACAGAGATGATGGAGGAGGGCAAGGGAGGCTTCTGGTTTATCTCTGAGGTTCACATCCCCACGCTGGCTCCTAGAAGGCACAGGGGCGCTACCCAACCAGCCCATGATGGTCCACATGAGAAGCCCATGGTGGAGGGAAGAGAAAGCACTAGCCCAAATCACAGAGCGTGTGGGAACAGAACCAGTTCTGCAGACCACCCCTACCCCACCCACACCTCTATGCTCAGGATCTTCTGGGGAATTCAAGCTCCTGGGCCAGCCTGGGGCAACAGCTGGGCTATCTGCCTCAGACTGGTCCTGCCTCTGCTCCTAAGGTCACCTAATGCTTACATCTGCCCCTCTGAGGCAGCTCCTCCCCTCTCACCAACCCCAAAGGCAGCTCCCACCCCTACCTACCTCACAAAAAACAAGGCAAACAAAGAGTTAAGAAAGGCAGGAAGGACTAACCCAGCCAACCAAGTGCAAAGCCGAATGCCCCAGGGAAACAGGAAAGGGGCCCCAGTTCTAGGGCTACAGGGAACGAGAGGTGGGCTCTTCCCCTGGCCCTGGCTCCCAGTTGTCCTGGAGCAAGCACGGGCCTCTGGATAGAGCCAGAGGTCATCTAGGACCTGGGAAGGTCATCTAGGACCTTATCTGCCCACACCCCTCCACTCCTTTCCACTCCATTCTATGTGATTAATATCAACTCAACAACTATTCAATGCAAGAAGCTAAGGTGCATCCCCAGCCATTTCTCCATCTTCCATCATCATACTGCCATCTGCCCATCTGCCCATCTGTCCCTACACACCTCAGTCCATCAATTCATTGGTCTCACCAACCAGCTGGTAAACATCCTGTGATTTATCCAAATGGGTCCATCCATCTCTCTGTCCATCCAGCCTCCCATTCCTGTATATAATTCTGTTCATTCATTGATACAGCCAACCACTGGTCCACTCAGCCATCTGTCAATTCATCCAGTCATCCTTGGATTCCTCCACCTACCGATCCATTATCCACCATCCACCCACAGTTGACTCATCTATCCATCCATCCATCCATCCATCCATCAGTAGATCCAGCCAGCCAGCTATCCAGCCACCCATGTGCCCATCCTGGGACCCTTCGCCCATTCAGTCATCCATGGGTCCAGACATCCATTCATCCACCCACTCACCCATCATGAACATCAAGCACTCGGGCCCCTTCAGAAGTCTGAGGAAGGCCAAAGCCCATTTTCTTCCTGGCCCCCTCAATTGCGGCTGACCCCAAACTGTGTGTCCTTTCCCATCGCCTCTAGGCTTGCTGTCTGTGTACAGAGGTTGTTCTGTGGGTTCAGCCTCGGCTTCCCTCCTGGCCTACCAGACAGAAACCAGGAACAGCAAGTGATCCCACAACCACTTCCAGTGAAGGTGGTGACACCGCCCTGCCCCTGGTCCCTCTGACCGTATCCATGCATGACGAGCAGGGGACCTCCAATCCTCAAAACCTCCTCCCCACTTTCTGTCCATGCCCTGGATCCCATTGTAATGGCATCACATCAGCAATCATCACCCTCATGTATGTGGCACTTACTTGGGCCAGACCCTGTTCCGAGCACTCTACACATATCTGCTTACTTGATCCTGGCCATCACCCAGTCGCCCAGTCATCCTGTGAGGCTGGCAGTGCTACTACCCCCATTTTACAGACAAGGTGCAGACAGGTTAAGAGATGACCAATGATGCTGGTGTTGACTGGGCCCTGCCTACATGCCCGGCTATACTATGCTTCACATACATCATCCACTTAATCCTGGTGGAAATGGGAGTCCCTATTGCTGTCCCCATTTTACAGCTGGGTTCACTGAGTCCCAGTGAGTCATCCCAGGTCACAGACCTGGAAAGCGGGGATGCCGGAATTTGAACACAGCTGTCTGACTCCAAAGCCCATGCGCTTCACCAGCCAGGTTCCTGCAGTTGCTGCTGCAGCTGATATGTGCCCTGGAAATGGGGTTGTGGGGAGGGTGGCTGAGAGCCCAGGAAGCATTGCCCATCCCATCTGCAGGGAACACAGGGGTCCATCGGACCCCGGGTTGGAGGGCTAGGGAGATCTGGGGTCAAAGCAGGAAGTAAAGCCAAGAGGGAGGGAGGTAAGACAGAGCCAGGGCAGAGCGAAGAAGGACACTGCCAGGGGCAGAGTGGTGACGGAGCCAAGGATCTAGCCAGGTGATGGGCAGAGGCCTCACAGAGGGTGGGGGCCCCACAGAGCCCCCTGGCTGGGTCAGGGTCTCAGAACTGAGTCAACTAATGGGCCTACTACAGGAGTAAGAAGTGCAAGACAGGCGCCGGCATTTTCAAAACCTGTTCCAGACCTGAGCACCGTTCGGGAGGTCTCATCAGAGCCCTACCTTGGGAGCAAACCCAGGCAGGGATGCCTCAGGTGGCATTCAGGAGGCACTCAGCAGTCACTGGGTACCACGGATGCCTGGCCTCCCCAGGGCTGTGGGCATCTGGAAGTTGCAATAATTAAATCCCTCCTGATTATTAAAACAAGACATAATACTGCAGAACCTTTTGGGAAATGAAGGAAAATGTGAAGAAGGAGAAAAACTCATCTGTGACTTGTGCCCAGGAACGCTGCAGGCTGCTGAGACGTGGCTGCTGGGATCTTAGGAAACGGCTCACTCAGAACCAGCCCGGAGACTCCGCCAGCCCAGAAATATGCTCGTTTCCCAGAGAGGGCTGTGTAGACACCTCCTCAGGAGAGGCAGTCTCCACCCAGGCCTCTGCTTTTCACATGCCCACTCATTCCTTCACAAACATTTATTAAGCACCTGCTGTGTGCTGGACTTTGGCCTGCCGGGGGATCTCCTGGCCAAGACAGGGGTGGGGATGGTGACAGGCATCGTGGTGAGTGGTGGCTTCCAAGCAAGCAGTTTCGAATCCCTGAGACCTCATACGGTAATGTTTTTGAAGGTGTGATTAAGTCAGGATCTTGAGGGTAAGAGGTGATCCTGACTTGTCGGAAAGGGGCCCTAAACACCGTCACCAGCATCCCTATGAGAGCCAGGCAGAGGGAGAAAGAACTGTGAAGACAGGCAGAGACTGGAGGGATGTGGCCACAAGCCAAGGAAGGCCAGCAGCCACCAAAAGCTGGAGGAGGCATCCTTATGGGTTCCCCTCCAAACCTACCAGGGTGAGCACAGTCTGCAGACACCTTGACTTGAGCCCAGTGAAACTGACTTTGGACTTCTGGCCTCCAGAACTGGAAAAGAACACATTTCTGTTGTTTTAAGCCTCTAAGTTTGTGAAGATTTGTTAGTGGTTGTAATAGTCAGGGTTCTCTAGAGAAACAGAACCATCAGGCTGTCTAGGGAGACAGGTTGAAAGAAATAGAAAGAGATTTATTGTAAGGAATTGGCTTTCCAGATTATGGAGACAGGCAAATCCTGAGATCTGCAGGCAAGCCAGGGACCCAGGATTGCCGATAGTGTGGTTTCCATCCAGAAGGCCAGCAGCCTCGAGACCCAGAGAGGCTGATGTTTCAGTTCAAATCCCCACCCCCACACTGGCTCCTAGAAGGCCCAGGGGCGCCGCCCCATCCAGCCCATGACAGCCAAGTCCAAAAGCAAGAAAAAGCCAATATCCCAGCTCAGAGACAGACAGGAAGCATTATCTCTTACTCAAGGGAAGGTTGGCCTTTTTGTTCTATTTAGATCTTCGGCAGATTGGAGGAGGCCCACTCACAATGAGGAGGGCAATCTACTGAGTCCATAGATTCAAATGGGAATCTCATCCAAAAACACCCTCACAAGCACCCCTGGAATAATGTTTGTGTGAATATCTGGGCACCCTGTGCCCTAGTCAAGTTGACACATAAAAACCAGCCATCAAAGCAGCTGAGGGAAACGAACACAGCTTCATGTGCCAGGATAAGGAGTTCTGCCTTGGTCCTGAGGACAATGGGGAGCCATAGAGGAGTATCCAGCAGGGGGTACACCAGGGTGAGGCTGGGCAGGAGGGAGATCCTGTGTGTCGTGGCTGAAAGAGAGATGGGGAGGACGCCCGGGCCTGACAGAAGGGTGGAGAGACTCTACATACATCTATCTAGGAGGTGGGATGAGCAGGTCTGTGTGGTGAGGGAGGGAGAGTGGGGGTGACATGCAGGTTCCTGGGGCAGGTGCAGGCAGATAGCACGGGAATTGTGGGTTTTGCTTTGCAGGGGTGACCAGGAAACCCACAGCATTCACCTCTCCACCCCACATCTGCACAGACACCCATCACGGGGATGTGCTAACCCGGCGAGTGTGGCCACCAGATACTGGCCCATGCGTCGGGACAGCCACCAGCCCCGGCCTAGGAGTGCTAGCCCTTGAGGGCGTGACCTTAGCCAAGGCCCAGATCACCTTAAAACTCAGGACTGGGGGTGGGGGGGGCACTGGGCCTGGGGGAGGAGAGGCTGAAAAGTGTCTTTTTTCCTGAAGAAGACAGAAATCCTCGCCTCACCTCAGCTGTAATAAGCTAATTTTCTCTTCTAAATGGGGCGTAATCAAATTCAGCCCCATAGCCTCATTTCCAGGCAACTTTATTCATTGTTATTTTTATTCCAAGAATTCCTTGGCATTTTCTGGGAGCCACTGAAGTGTTTAATAGCTGCCTAAGTAACGGCGTGCCCTCTTTGGAGCAAAACTGAGGAGCAAAGATTCCTAACTGGGGAGGTCCTGGAAGGACATGTGAGGTCAGCTGGCCCAGGTGTGGGAATGAGGCCAGGGTGGCAGGCGCCAAGGGGCACCTGGCTGGCTCAGTGGGCAGGACCCAGGCTGGGCCGGGGCCTCTAGGTGGTTCTGAAAAGCCTGAGAGCTTGGGCAGAGGAAGCAGTCAGGGGCCTCTGGGTTGGTAGGGAGATGAGGCAGAGGTGCCATACCTGCAATGCAGAAAGTAGGGGGGTCCTCAGAGCTCCCACTCTCCATGAAGACAGGGCTCCAGGGAACAGGGGGCTAGCATCTGCAGCTCTGAATCTCCATTAAGCCCAGCTTTGGGGACCACAGGCTTCTTGGGGTGGCCCCAGCCCCTAGCGAGGAGTCGCCAGGCCTTTCCCACGCCTTCTCAGAGGCCAGACCACAGCACAGGGTGGAGGAGACCCTGTCCTACTAAGAGTGGGACAAGGTCTGCACCTCCTCTGTGTCCAGGACAGGGACACCGGGCAGCAGCAGAGGGCCAAGGATGAGCAGACAGAACAGAGGCAGCACCAGAGTCCAGCAGGGAGGCAGCCACCATGGTCGGCAGGGTCTGGGCTGTGGTGGGGGGACAGGGGAAACTTCAAGGCAGACCACACAAAGGTGGCGAGTCCACCAGGCCGAGGGGACACTTGGATGTCCACAGCTTAGATACAGAGGAGGGGGCAGTGGGTGGCTGAGATGGACTAGAACTAGGCATCAGGGGAGGTTGATGGAACTTTGAGGAACCTGAGGAGGTTGGAAATGCTGGAGCCGAGAGCCGATGGGGCAAGAGGTTAGGGCTCACCTGGCTAGGGCTGCCCAGCCACTGCCAAACTCCATGTCCCCTGACCATCCCCTCTGACACCTGTGTCCAGAGACAGGGCGTCCACTGCCCCCAGGAGTATTTTTTAGCTTCTCCGGGTCCCCTCCATCCCCACTGCACTTGGCCACCAAGCCCTCCTGGGCACTGTAAGGAGCTGTGAGACCACGGTGGGTGCGGCCAGTATGGTTCTCATTCATGTTGCTTAAATCATTAACTGGCTCTTTTGTAAGAGTCATCTGACGTTCAGGAAGTCTTTTGATGCCTTTCAAAAGGCTTTTTTATAAGTGTTTCTAATCCTTTTCTCTTAAAAACAGGAAGTTACACTTTGCAACCCTAAACACCAGAAGGTCAGAATTTGGTTGGCGAGGCAGATGCCACAGGCTCCGGATGGCTGTTAAATCTGCCCAGCCCTGGCCCAGTTCTCGGACTGAAGACACAGACAGGGGCCCAGGAGGAAACGGCTGGGCCCAGACCACCTCGTGGGTGATGCCTCCCCAAGAGAAGATGTGGCACACAGGTCTTCTCCAGGGCCCCTCCCCAGACAACGGACCCCCCGCTGCCCAAGCCAGAAAGCCGGGTGTCGTCCTCAGAGTCCCGTCTTCCTCAGCCCCACCCCCTGCTGCTGCCCTTTCTACTCCCTAGATCTGGCCTCTCCCTCCCTGCCCACTGCCTGGAATGGTGCTCCAGGGCCTTCACTTGCCTGTACAGGGCCCCCCAGGACTGGGTGGGGGGCTGCTTCTCTCTCCTTCCTTCCCACCTTTCACTCTCAGCTCCAACCCCAAACCACACTGTGGTCGCCTGGCTATGCCGTACCCTCACACACGCTGTTCCTCTGCCTGGACACCCGGCCTCCGCTTTTCCATGCAGTGAACTCCTACTCACCCCTCAGGGGCCCCTCCTCTAGCAAGTCTTTCCTCTTCTAGACTCCCTTTCCCCTGGATCCCAGGGCCTAAGTGCCCTGCCCTGGGCCTCCTTAGGAAAGAAGGAGGGTTGTATCTACAGCCTCTGTGCCTTTCACATCTTCTCTTCAACATGTCTGTGGGAACTGAAGCAACCAGCTCAACTGATGAATCTTAGCAGGAAACTATCTCACCAAAAGAACTTGGCCTCCACTCCATCTGTGCCCACGCCACCCCCACCCCCAGAGACCAGCCACTCTTGGCCACATTCCCCAGGGCCAGGCCTGCTGCAGCACCTGCTGTGTAGCAACTCTGGTCCAGCCATCCTTTCCAGGGTGGTGGGAACCCAGCCCTGCCCTGGAAGAAGCAGCCCTTTCCCCTGTTGCAGGATCCAGGCAAGTGCTGGGGCATCCAGGTCAGCCAGGCCAGCAGGGAAAGGGGCTGGAGGATGCGCAGCTCTGCCGAGGACGGTGTTCAGTATGGACAGAGCTGCCCAAGGCAGTGAAAGGGGGCACCCCATGCCCAGAGGTGTGCCTGTCCTGCCCCATACACCAGAAACGCAGTAAGCATGCATGCCCTCGATAGGAGTTGGATTTGAAGAACTGCCAGCTCCCTTCCAACTCACGAGTTGATTACCTGTTCATTCATCAACAAGGAGGTGCTCAGCCCTGTTGTGATAGATCAGAAGTTGGACCTGGTGGCTGGGGAAACAGAGGTGGACCAGGGACAGTGCTGCCCTCCAGGAGCTCCCAGCCCATGGACTAACAGACCCAGAAATAAACGATCTGTCTAGAACGCTAAGCTCCATCTTGTTCACCACTGTACCCCACAATACTAGGCACAAGGGCTGGCATACAGTAGGTGCTCAACAAAGGTCTGCTGAATGACTAAGTGCTGTGATCGAGGCCCCACCAGGGGCTGAGGAGCCCCAACAGTATGTGGAGGAAGGAAGGTGAGGAGAGACCTCCTGGAGGTAAGGTCCCCAGGCTGAGCCCTTGGCATTCCCAGCTAATGGATCTGCTGGTCCAGGGCCAGCCAGGAGGCAAGGAAAGCAGGGTGCAGCCCCGAAGACACAGGTGGGCTGAGCAACATGACTGGGATTCTGTGGAGGGTGCTGGGAGACCCTGGGGTGCGGGGCCAAGGAGCAATGGGACCAGGTTTGTCTTGTGGAACAAGGATGGGCTGCAACATGTGGGAGACTCTGGGGCTGGGGACAAGGACAGCCCTGAGGGGATGCAGTGGGTTTGGCTGCATGTGGCAGGCCCAGAATGACAGTGGTTTAAAAAATAAGTTTACCTCTCACGGAGAAGTTTGAGCTGAAAGGTGCCCTCTGCTCCCCCAGGTCACAAGGGCCTGGCCTCGTTCCTGTTTCGGGGACTTCCCAGAGCGGGGCTCCTCCTGGGTGGGTAATCTGCTCCTACCCCATTGGACAGACAGAGTCACATGGCCACATCTAGCTGTAAGGGATGCTGGGAAAGGAATCTGCCAGGGCAGCCAGGTTCTGAGAGGAATTTTGTTGTTAGGGAAGGCGAGAGAGAGGCTGTTGAGGGACAACTGTCAGAGGCTGTATCATGGGCACTGATTAGGGAGCACCTCGTGCTTTCCCTCTGGAGGGGAAGCATGGGGCCTGGGCCGAGACTGGCCAGGATGGAAGGCCTCTAGAAGGTCCCTGAGTGGGGCTGGGGTGTGGTGGGGCTGCCCATGAGATGAGGAGCGCCAGAGCTGTGCAGGCAGCGTGGGATTTGGCAGAGGGAGGGCTGCGGGTTGCAGAGGTGAGTTGGGCCTTTTTGAGAGCGAACTGCCTAGGGAACAGCCCTTGGAGGTGTCCAGGTGAGGCTGAGGTGTGGGACCCACCTGCAGGCAGAGGGCTGTGCTAAGGGTGGCTGGGCCAGGAAAGGCTGGAGAGAGAGGGGACCCTCCGGGGTTCACAAGAAGGAGGGTAAAGTGCAAAGGGGCCTCCCGTAGCTCCAAGGAAGAGGCTGGGACCACTGCGAGAACGGGGAGGGAAACCGTCCCTGAAGACAGTTTCCAGGAGGACAGAGGAAGAGGTAGAGGCTGGGTGGGAGGGGCAGCAGTGTCCCCTTCTCAGTAAGTCCTCCTACAACCTGCCTGAGAGCTCCCTCTGGAAGAGGTGGGGAGGAAGACAGGAGGGGAGGCCCCCAGATGCAGGCCGGGAAGCAGAGCCATCGACCCACCTGAGAACAGCCAGCCCTTAGCCTGAGGGGCTGGGACAAGGTGTATAGCCTGGTTCACTCCTTGGGACCCCGAGACCCCACTCCCAAGCCTCAACATCCCAGGCCCCTCCCAGGTGACAGCTGGGCTGGGGAAGGGGTTCCAGATCAGCCATCTCTTTCTCAACTCATGGGGGAGGGGTGCTAACCCCCAAGTGGGATCCTGTACAAAGGCTTCATATCCACAATCTTATTTGACCCCACAACAATCCATCCTACAGAAGAGGAAACCGACGCCCAGAGTGGTAAAAGGCTGCCCACGGTGGCCCACTTAGGCAGTGTGGAACCCTTGGCCGGGTGGTGGCACGGGATGAACACTCCCATTCCCCTCTTAAAGTCAGGGAAGCAGAGGCTCAGATAGGTGCACAGCCTCCCTCCAGGTCACACAGCAGGTCAGGTCTATGCCAGTGCTGGCGCGGTCACCCCAGCCGCTGTCTTTCTAGCAGCACCCTAGCTCTGTGCCATGTGGCTGCCCCTCAATAACCAGGAGAACAGAGCAGCCTGGGTGAAAGGGAGGGCCGAGGGCTTCAGGATCCTTCAGGATCCCCCAGGGAAGCCCAGCTGGTCTGAGAACTCCATAGGGGTTCATCTGGGGACCAGAGAACTGGAGGGGGGCTGTGCACCTTCTTCTTTACCCTACTGCTCCACTCCCCTCCTGCCAACAATGCCATAGCCTGGGCTGCCTCCACCACTCCCCATGCAACTCTGGGGGCCTGGCCTGGCCACAGACCACCACTTCCTGGAAAGAGTAACTGTTCCTGGAAAGCTGGAACTGCTGCCTCCCCAGCCCAGGTCGCCTCAACAGTGTGCAGAGGTCAGCTCAACCGGCAGCCCCGGGCCCCTCTGGGATCCCTCACATTTCCAAGAAAATTGCAAAACACGTAAAGAACAAATGGTCCTCATATCCCTCCCTCAGTGGCTTAAAAAGGAGTACTGGGGATCCGGGAGAGAGCTGGGAAGATGCCACAGGAGGCTTCCTGATCCCCCAACCAAGTGCATCCCCAGGCATTCTGCAGCCAGGACACCCTGGGAGTGTGCAAGGTGGGCAGGGGAGGGCAGGGAGGAGGCAGCCAGCTCCGGGGGTGGGCACCTCCTTGGGGGAGGGTGGCTGAGACTCTGACGCACTGGAACCTTCCTGCAATGGAATAGACAGAGCCTGTTCCCACCCTCGGCTTCTACCTCTCCCAGCCACAGGCCAGCCTCAAAGGGCAGGAGCCAGGATCCATTTACCCTGCGGGGATGGGGGAGAGCAGCTCTCAAGGATGGCCTCTGTTCTGGGGCCTCCCCCTGTGTAAGCCCTTCCCCCTGAGGGCAGGCTGCACCCTGAGCTCCACGTCCCAAATGGGACTGGGCAACCGGACCAGAAACTCCCAGATGCTTAGGTACAGCACACGCCCTCGTGGAGCCTCCGTTTCCCCACCCGGATAGTCCAGAATTTCCCAAAAGGAAGTAACAAGACAATTTTGAAGGGTATCCAGAAAAAGTTGTTTTCTATTTCAATAGTTATTTATCTATATGGGTTGAGAAAAATACATACATAACTAACATATCAAACCCAGGGCTTCAGAACCTATCACGTAGGTCATCAGTATTTAAGTTTAAAAAGCAAGTTGATTTTTTTAAAAATTAAGCAAATATTCAAGTTGACGATACAAGAATACAACATAAATCAAGTTGTGAGACTCCGCTGACCTGTATTTGTTGAGCAACGACTAAAATCTCCCCATGTCTACGTCACTGTTATTTTGCATCTTGTCGTGGTAGCCAACCTGGTTGCCTGACTCACGCCAGAGACCACGCAGCAGCCTGAGGAAAGACGTTCAAAGCAGAGAGAACAAAGAACTGAGCCCTCTTGGAGCCTTGCGGCTCTGCATTTGCTGAAGATGCGGCCCTGGAGTGCTGCTGGTGGAGCACCTCGGAACAGGACAAGAGGGCTGAACAGGACAGGGCCAGGTGGTCCAGAGCCCACCAGCCTGGCCTGCCTGCCCCCTCCCTGTGGTGGCCCTTGAAGCGTCTATTCATTCTGTGAAACTGTCTGTGTCTGCAGAGGCTGGAAGCCCCCCAAGGGTGAAGCCTCCCAGCACTCACCAACAGCTGAGTGCTGTTATCAGCCTCCCAGCACTCAGCGCCCACCTGGCAGAAAAGGTCTCAATGGATCTCGCTGAATAAATGAAACAGGGAGTCTGGGGACCTGCGAGCTCTGCCTCCAAATACCCAGTGGGCAGAGGGTCAGCCATGTTTGGAGGGCACCAAAGAGAGCCAGGAGAGCCTGGGTAGCCAGGGATCGTGGGCTCTCTTCCCTCGGAAGTGTGGGAGCAGAGGCTGCCGGGGGCAGGGCTGGGAGCTGAGGCCGAGAGTTGCAGCTCACAGCACTGAGTAGGACCAGGGAGGAAGCAAGTGCGGGGAAGCGGCCCCAGGATGGGGTTGGGGCAAAGATGCTGCCACTATTACCTCCCCACTCTGGGGCTCCCATGAGATCTCCCTGTCTGTCCCTCCTCAGCCGCCAGGGCCTCTGGGGCCACAGGCTGGTTCAGCTCAGGGCAAACTACACCTGAGAATGAGCAGAGAGGCCATCCTCTCAGCTGGCGATCCTGGGCCCCAGTTGCCCTCAGGGGACCCGCTGCCCTGCCCCGGGCCCAGCTTGGCCATATTGTCTTCTATTGCTCAAGAAAAAATTGTCATCTTGGGCTGGGGGTGCTATCAGGCCCCCATAATCCATAGATTCAAGTCCAGAGCCCGGAGCAGGGCCTCTGGGGCCCTCCCAGTGAGCTGGCTGACCCCACCCTGCTCCTGGCCCACACTCCAGGCTCCAGACCCCAGACCCTCAATAGGTCCTCAGGGCTGCCCGAGGCCAGGCCCTGCTCCCAGGAACTCACAGAATCGAGGACAGAGCCTCACGCTTCAAATCATGCCGCACAGTAGGTGCCTGGAGAAGTTGGGGAGGGAGGTGAAAGGACCCTGCAGACGGCGGCTCCACGGCAGGGAATTCCTGGGAGTGCAGCTGGTCTGCACAGCTGGCTGGTGAGGCAGCGGGTGCAGGCTCCCCAAACACTGAGGGTGGGCACAAGGCTGGCAGAGCCGCACCTGCACTCCTCGACACACTGCTCTCAGCTAGGCCCTGCACTCCCCTCCGCAAGTTCCCTTCCAGCTCCTGACATGCTTATCCCTGCTCCCAATCACACAGAGCCATCTGATTGGCTTAGCTTGGTTGGTTGGTCTATTGGGCAGAGTCCAGCCCTCAAGTCAGGTGCCCATCCTCATCTACTCAGAGGCCTCCCCTAGCTCTCCGAAGAGCCCACATCTCCTGGGTGGTCAGGGTAGGTACCAGGCAGGTGAGGGCGTGGAGGGCGCAGTGAGTGGAGCTTCTCAGTGCCTGAGCTGGGCCAGAGCTGATTGACTTTGATTTCTAAAATGACACCCGGAGTGACACATCCGCAGTGGCAGAGGCAGACCTTGGTGAGCCTGGCAGGCATCTTTCAACTCCTCTGCTCCATGATGGAGTGGTTCTGGGTCTCAGCCAGCAGTACCTGTAGGTGGCCCCTGACTCCTGGCTTCTGAGTCCCTTCCCTCCCCTGCCCATCCTGGCCCCCAGCCCCTCCCCAGGCCAGCCCCCTCCTCCCAGCTGCAGCTAGTGCTTTCATTCACCCTCTGAGCATTCATTCACCCAGCCCTTTTTAGGTAAGAGGCTGGTTCCAGCCCTGAAGGAGAGGAGCCTCTCCCTGCCCCGTGGAAGGGCATTAGCAACAGCCATGTCCTAGCCCCTCCACCCGCTCAGCCTCCAGGCTGAGGCAGCCTGGCCAGGGAGTACTGACCACATCCACATCTGGCCATGGCCTTCCTCTTCCTAATGCCTCCCATGGCTCCCCATCACCCTCAGATAAGGCCAGACCCTGTGGCTAGACTTGTGTGTGCGTTACCTTCCATGGCCAAAGGGATTTTGCAGAGGTGAGTAAAGTAGGGATCTTGAGATGAGAGACGATCCTGGGTTATCTGGGTGGGCCCAGTGTCATCACAAGGCTCTATTCAGTGTGGAAAGGGAGGCAAGACAGCAGGAGTGGCGTCAGACTCCAGGGCGTCGCTGGCCTTGACATTGAAAGGGGGCCATGGGTCAAAGAACACAGGTGGCTTCTAGAAGCTGGAAAAGCAAGGGAATTGATCTCCTCTGGAGCTTCCAGAAGGAACACTGCCTTGCCAATCCACTGTGGACTTCAGACCTGCAGAACTGTAAGGTCATAAATTGGTGTTGTCTTAAGCCCATTTGTTTGAGGCAATTTGCTATTACAGCAACCATAGGCAACTCCTTGACGGGTCCCCAGGGCCTTTCTGATTCAGCCCTGCTGATGTCCCAGCCTTGGGCGAGCCCCTCCCCTCCCCCTTGCAGTGAGCTCCCTCGTCCCCGTTCCCGCTCCCGCTCCCCTACTTCCTGGGCTCACCGCACCTTTGGCCTTCGCTCAGGCGGTCTCCTTGGCCTGATACAACCCTTCCCAGGGCCTGGCCAGCAGCTCCTCCCCCACACACCCATCCCAATGTCTCCTCCTCAGGAAGGGCCCCCATCCGCTGAGGGCTTGGCAGTAACCATCCCCAGGCCCTGGATCACCACCCAAGACTCAAGTTCTGCCTCATCATGGGCCACGTGCCCACCCGGGTCAAGATGGGGTGAGGCCCCTTAACTGATGGCCCTGCCCTGATCTAAGGGCCAAGGGAAGGGCTAGAACTTCAGGAATGCAGAGTTAACAGGTGCCCCTGCCCTCTCTGGTCCACCTCCCAAGGCTCGGTCACCTCGTCAGAGTAAGTCTCGCACTGGCACCCCTGTGTGCCCTCACCCAGCTATGGGTTCCTGAAGGGTGGCTCCTGGGTCAGAGTGGGGCCTGTTGCAGTTTGGACTCCCCCAGAGCAAAACCTGAGACGAGGATGTGGGTGCAGGTAGTGAACCCAGGAAGCTCACATGAGAAAGTGAAGACGAGGAGGAGATGGGGGTGGGGGCGGAAAACCAAGAGAGGTGCACTAGGCAAGTGGGGCTCAGCCACTGAGGACCCTCACATGGGCCCACTCGGGCCCCTGGTGGCTGAGGGTGTCACCTGCTGACACAGACTGCCTGGCATGTTCCTGAGCAGGCTGGGCAGGGATGCGTCCAGAGGCAGGTGCTGGAGTGAACCAAGGACACCTTGCCAGGAATCGTCACCTGCAGCTGCAGGTCAGCTCAGAGGCTGAGGTCTCAGGAGGGGCATGAAACTCCCTGCAGGAAGACAAGGCCCTAAGTCGGGAACAAAAGAGGCTGGGAGTGTGGATTCCCTGAGCACACGCACCACAGACCCACAGAGGCCTCCAGAAAAGTCCCTACCCTCTCTGGGCCTCAATTTACCAGCTGTGAAAGGACCACCTCATATCCTCCCAGAAAAAGAAAGAGGAGAAAAGAATGATGGTGAAGATGAGAGACTGGAACTCTTGTGCACTAAGTTAGTGGGGATGTGAAATGATGTGGCCATTACAGGAAACAGTGTGGCAGCTCCTCAAAAAAGTAAAAATAGAATGAGCCTATGACCCCGCGATTCCATCTCTAGGTACATGCCCAAAGGAATCGAAAGCAGGCTCTGGAAGAAATACTTGCGCACTCATGTTCTCGGCAGCATCGTTCACAACAGCCAAAAGGTGGAAGCGACCCGAGTGTCCCCAACAGGTGAACAGATCAACAAAATGTGGTAAATCCATAAAATGGAATATTATTCAGGCCTGAAAAGGAAGGACATTCTGAGACATGCTGCAACACGGTTGAACCTTGAGGACATCAAGCGAAGTGAAACAGGCGAGTTACTAAAGGACCAATCCTGCAAGATCCCACTGATGAGAAGCACCTGACGTAGTCAGACTCATAGAGACAGGAAACGGAACGGTGCTCGCCGGGGGCTGGGGGAAGGGCAGAAGGGAGAGCTGGTGTTCAATGTTTCAGTCCTTCAGTTTTGTACAATGGAAAGAGTTCTGGAGATTGGTTATCCAATAATGTGAATACCCTTAGCACTACTGAGCTGCTACTTAAAAATGGCTAAGACAGTAGCCAGGCTCAATGCATAATCTGGTCACCCCAGCTACTCAGGAGGCTGAGGCAGAAGGATCTTTGAGCCCAGGAGTTCAAGCCCAGCCTGGGCAACATAGTGCTCATTGTTTTTATCTTAAAAAATGGATAAGACGGTAAATTTTATGTTACATGTATTTTACCACAATTAAAAATTTTAAAAAGGTAGTGGCTTTGAACTGCACTGTCCACTCAAACTAATTTTGTACAGTCAAGGAACTATCAGTTGATCACTGTATTACACCGAAGCTGAAGGGAACCCCATTCCCAAAGCAGGAGAAAGCAGGGCTGCCCAATTTGGAGTGGGGGTGTGTTAGTTCGTTTTGTGTTGCTAT
This sequence comes from Homo sapiens, assembly GCF_000001405.40. NCBI lineage: Eukaryota > Metazoa > Chordata > Mammalia > Primates > Hominidae > Homo > Homo sapiens. The sequence continues at coordinate 101,544,676 of NC_000014.9, forward strand.
GAAGAAATACTGAGGCTGGGTAATTTATCAAGAAAAGAGGTTTATTTGGCTCATGGTTCTGCAGGCTGTACAAGCCTGGCCCCAGCATCTGCTTGGCTTCTGGGGAGGCCTCAGGAGGTTTTTACTCGTGGTGGAAGGCAGAGTGGGGAGCAGGCACACCACACGGTGAGAGAGGGAGCAAGAGAGGAGGAGGGGACGCCCGGCTCTTTTAAACAACTAGGTCTGCCACGAACTGATAGGGTGGGAACTCACTTATGACCGTGGAGAGGACGCCAAGCCTTTCGTGCGGGATCCACCCCCATGACCCAAACACCTCCCACCAGGCCCCGCCTCCAACACTGGGGAATCACATTTCAGCATGAGATTTGGAGGGAACACACATCCAAACCATATCAGGATGGGACCTCAGAGCCCACCTTCTCAGCCCCTCACTCTTACCTCCGCACCGGGTGACCCTTGGCACTTGGAACTCCCATCTCCACACCTCTCCAGCCCCTTCCAGGCAGGTGGGTCTTTGAATCGAGGGCTCCAAAGGTAGACAGATGCATCCTTTCCTGACTTTCCTGGCCAGAGTTGGAGGAGCCCTTTGTTCTCCCCTGGAGGTTTCCGAGGGATGAGGTCTGGCCCACAGAGCCAAGAGGTATGGGTACAGGGGAGATGAGGCAGATGGGGCAGTAGGTGGGACTCACCTGAAGGGGCAGCCGGGGCTAAGGGAGCACATGGGCAGCCTCTAGGGGCCCATCTTTCTGCAAAATTCAAAACTCCTAGAAGGGAAACCCCGCCTCCTCCTCTACAGCCATTTCCAGGGATTCCAAGGTCGTTCATTTAAGTGTAAGAAAAGTCCTGGTGGAAAATATTTGTTGTTACAAATGGAATGTTTCCATTTGGTTTCATTAAGTCCACCCCCTCCACCCCACCCCACTCCGGGGAAAGCTGGGGATTGCAAGGAAGAGGAGGGTGGAGGAAGAGGGGTGCTCCCAGTAAAGCCATTTCACCCGGAGAATTCAATCTGGAGAGGAACCAACGTGCAAGAGTGCCTCTGTCGCCATGCCCTTATGTGTGTGATGTCATCCGAGCCTCATTCTGCAAGGAGGACTGTCACCCCCATGTCACAGAAGAGGCATCAGGGCCACTGAGCCATTACTGACTTCCCCAGCATCCCACAGTTACGTGGCACGCCCAGCACTCAAACACACAGACACATCCCTCTGTGACTCCAGAGCACCACAGGCCCTAAAAAGCAGTCTCCACGCCGCGGCTCGCCAACCTCTGGTTAGTAACCACTTGATCATTCTGCAAACAGCTGATCAACTTCTCTATCTGGATCTATTTTAACTAGGATACATTTTGGCTACTGTAAGAAATGCCAAAATAACAGGATTAAACAGGACAGCGCCCCCCCACCCCCACCCCGCCCGCCCCCCGCATAGCAGGCTGAGCTTCAGCAGTCTAAAGCTAGCGTGGTGGTGACACGGGCACACAGGCTTTTTGCAGCTTGTTGCTCTGTGATCCTCAACACCCAGCTTCCCTTCCATAATCCCACGGCTGCCCCACTCCTGCCATCACCTCATTAATCCAACTGTGGGAACAGGGAGAAGAAGCGGGGGAAGGCACCTCTCTTCCCCCTAAGGTCAGGAACCCGAAGTTTCACAGGTCACTTCTTCTGCGTCATTGGCAAGGATTTGGTCAGATAACTACGTGTAGCTGCAAGGGAGGCTAAGAACTTGAATCTTTACATGAGCAGCCACGTGTCCAGCTCAAAGCTGGGATTTCTTTTACTTTAGAAAGAAGAGGAAAACGGATACTGGGGGCAGCCAGCAATCTCTGCCACTGGGACACAGTCTTCACCCCTTTGCCAGGACCATGGTGAGCCAAGGTCATGGGGAAAAGGTAACTGCCATCTGGCGGGGAGAGAGGTGATTGGATGAGGAATCGGAGGAGGCTTCCTGGGAGGTCCGACATTTCGGCTAAGCCTCGAAGGACAGGTAGGGCTTGGGAAGTTGAGATGAAAGGGAGCTCCAAGAGAAGGTGCAAGTAGCCAACTTGTATGGGTGGGAAATTCTAGCTCAGTGAGAGAGCCTGAACTTTGAGCCAGGAGACCCGAGTTCGAGTGCTGATGCACAGCCCACACAGCCGTGCACGGGTTTCCTGAGCCTCAGGTGGCTTCCTCACTAAACGGCTGGGGGTCCTCAGTACGTCCCCTTGCAGGCCTGCTGGGGGGGGCAGGCATGTGGCAGGGCAGCTGTGGCAACATTTCCCTGGGCGGCGGGGGTGTCAGTTCAGTGTCAAGCAGGGACAGGGGCTGGAGCTGAAAAGGGAAGCAGAGACCCCATCTGGAAGCCCTGAAGGCCAGGCCAAGCAGTCTGGATGTTTTTCAAAAGCTGCAGTCCGTTCCATGGTAGGGCAGCCCCGCAAGCAGAGAGCGACTCTAAAACATGAAGACATCTAGAAGACAGAGAGGAGGAGATGAGATCAGAGATGTAGAAACCCAAGAGGAGGCAGCTGCAAAGTTCCCAGGGAGACAGCATGGAGGGGATCAGGCCAGAGCCAAGGAGCCCTTCCATCCCAAGCAGGCAGTCAGGGAAGACTTCCTGGAGGAGGCAGCCCGAAGCTGTCCCAGCCAAAGCAAGAGCTGTTTAGAGCCCAGGGAGTGGGGCTGCGGGGAGGGTTTGCCCTGGAGGGGACCAGCCACAGAAGGAGGGACCAGCCAAAGCCAGGCCATGCCCAGGGACAGACAGGCCCCACCGCTGCCTCGAGATACCCCTACCCCAGCCAATGTGAGCACCTCACGGAGCACAGGCTGCACCTGGCACCACATCCCCATCCCAGTGAATCTTCCCAGTGACGTCACAAGGTGCAGATCCTTGCCCAATTAATGGAAGAAGAAGCTGGAGCCCAGAGAGGGTCGGCCACTTCACTGAGGCCACACAGCAAGGATTTGGGTCCGGCAGTCAGAACCAGTGTACCCAGCACTATTTGACCCTTCCTGGGGCCGGGGGTGTCATTCAGAAACACTCTGACATTATCGTCCTGGTCTCTGGAACAAGAACTGCTCTATCCACATCCCATCCACAGCCATCCCTTACAAGACAGGGACAGAGATGGAGTTACCCCATTGGACAGAAAAACAAACTGAGGCTCCAAGAGGTGAAGTCGCACGCGTGGGTCCGCGGCCCATCGGTGGCCGGCAGGACTTGAGTCCAGGTCCTTCTGACTCCGTGTCCTGATTCTCGGTGATTCTTGCTGAGGCCTTTCTCTCCCCTCCTACCCCTCCTCCCCCCCCCCACCATCGCTGTTTTCCTGGCTCCCTCTCAGGGAAAAGAACATGCTCTGAGTCTCTGTTTCCCTGGGAGAAATCCATTTTCAGAATCTGGAGGTGTTGAAATGTGTTCTTTTTTCCTCTCCAAAGAGCCCTTCTTGAGGACAGAGGTGCCCCCGGAATCCCTCCAAGGCCAGCACCGGCCGGGTGGGGGGTGGGGATGCTGCCTGTAGGGGCCAGGTCTCGGAGACCCTTATTCACCCAGGACAAGGAGCAGTGGGGGCACTTCAAGAGCTCAGAGCACACCCTGGCCCCCCAACCCAGGACCACCCGCCCTGGCCTCAGAAGACCCCACTTGCTATCCCTGCCTGGTTCCTGGCAACAGGCTTTGTGGCTCCCAGTAGCAGGGCAGTCACTGAGCCTGCCTGGTGGAGGTGTCCAGGGGAGGGTCCGTGGTCTCCACCAGACTGCCACCCTCCCCATGACAGCTGGGCTCCAATGGTCGCGGTCGCAGAAGTCTCTTGCTGTAAGGAGCCCAGCCCTCTCTGTGAGCATCTCCTAATGCGTGCGGAGCCAGGCCCTGGGGAGCACGGGCTGGTGGGTGCAGGGGCTGCTTGCCACGTGGGGAAGGAAGGAAAGAGGCTGGGAGGGGCAGGTGGGAAGGGGCACAAGTGGATGAGATAGAAGGGGAAGAGGGAAGGGAGGAAGAGACGGGGGAGGGCGGAGGGAAGGGAAGGGAGGAAAAGGCAAGGAAGGAGCTGGAGAGGGAAGAGGAGGCGGGGGGAGGAAAGGGAAGAAAGAAGGAAGAAGCAGGGAGAGAAAGAGAAGAGAGGGAAGGGAGGGGAGGAAAGGATGGGGGAGGGGAGGTGGTGGCTTGGTGTCCGCATACACCATCATCCTTCCTTCAGGCCCTCTCTCCCAGTGCACTCCCCTTACACTTGCCCAGATGCCTCCCTGCCCTTCCTCTTTCAAAATGCGCTCCAGCCTGGGGCCTGGGCAGCACCCCACCTGTCCTGGCCTCTCCACCCAGTGCTTGCATCTCCTGACCACAGCTTCCTGCAGCTGGACTAATCCCTCTCAGGGTTCCAGTCCCTTCCCCCAGGCTGCCCTCAGCTCCTCCAGGTCCCCACTGTACTCACCCCCAGTAGGGACCCCCAGGAGGCCTCGGTTCTCGGGAAGCAGTTCCTGGGTCTCCTAGAACCTATGTTCCAAAATTGTGAACCCGTGGATCCCACAGGCCTGGAAGGCCCATCAAGGCCAACCTACTCAGGACCCACTCCCCAGACCCCCACAGCGTCCCCGAGGAGGGACTCCCGGCCTCCATGTTCCGAAAGGAACGGACAGAGCTGGAGCTCAGGCACAGCGAGTCCATCGCCCCCAAGACTGCATCTCCGGGGACAGCCCCGAGCGCCCGGCACCTGCCTGGGGGATGACACAGGCCCCATCTGCCTAAGCGTGGTGCCCAGACCCTGGGACTGCAGCCTTTCCCATCCACGTGGGACATGTCCCAGCAAGCGGCAGCCTCCTCGTCCTTCAGGGTAAGTTCTCCAGGGCTCTCCAAGAGATTCTCCCTCAAATGCGCCACGTCCCTTCCCTCCTGAGGGACTTCCATGCTCCTGGCCTCCCAGCAGGTCTCCCTGAGAAAGCTCCTGGCCACCCTGAGATGCCGGGATTTTATCTCCAGGGCAACAGGAATCACTAGAGGACCTGAGGCGACAGCACCGTGGGAGAGATTTGGTTTGTGAGGCGAGGGAGGTTGTCACTAGAGACTGGGTCCGTGCCCGTGCTAGGGTCCCACACGCTGCTCCAGCTTGGCTCACAGCACTCCGGCCCAGCCACCGAGGACACCAGGGGACCCAGGGCCAGGATGTCCATGGTGGCCTCAGGGAGCCCCACTGCAGGTGGTCATGAGGCTATTCTGCCGCCCCCCACCCCACCCCCAGTGCGAACCCACAGAACCCTCTACATCCCCAAATGCATCACACTGAAACTCCAGCAGAGTGATTGCTGTACGGGTCATAAAACTACCTGTAGGAAGCAAGTCCCTGCAGAAGCCCCCAGTATCATCATCCTGTGCTGCTGGCCACAGGGGAGAGAATCAGGACCAGGCTGTGCACGGGTTTATAAGGACAGCCACACAGTCTTCTATGGGTTACAGCCCCACCTCCTCCCGGACCCTCAGTCAGTGCTCTGGGGCCAGCATCCAAGCCAGCCAGTCATTCCAGCACTCACCTCCCAGACCAATAGCCCACAGAATAGGCTCTAGTCTGGGTCATCAGAAAAGTGAAAGTGCTGCAGATGCCAAATGGATGGATGGATGGACCGGTGGGTGGATGCAAAGATGGATGGATGGATGGATGGATGGATGGATGGATGGATGGATGGACAGGTGGACGCAAAGACAAATGGATGGATGAATGGATGGATGGATGTACTGGTGGGTGGATGCAAAGATGGATGGATGGATGGATGGATGGATGGATGGATGGATGGATGGATGGTTGGATGAATGGACAGGTGGATGCAAAGACAAATGGATGGATGAATGGATGGATGGATGGACCGGTGGGTGGATGCAAAGATGGATGAATAGATGGATGGATGGATGGATGGATGGATGGATGGATGGATGGATGGACAGGTGGATGCAAAGACAAATGGATGGATGGATGGATGGATGGATGGATGGATGGATGGATGGATGCATGGACAGGTTGGTGGGTGGGTGGATAGATGGATGGATGGATGGATGGACGGATGGATGGATGGATGGATGGATGGACTGGTGGGTGTGTGGGTGCATGGGCGGATGGATGAACTGGTGGGTGGGTGGGTAAGTGGATGGGTGGAGGAATGGCCTGAAGGGTGGGTGGGTAGACATGCTATTCTACCTCTCCACCTCCTGGTTGGACTTTGGACACATGCTCCCCTCAAAGAGCCTTCATTCCACAGCTCTGCAAAGGGCACAGAGATCCCTACTGCAGGATTAACATGTGAAAACACACTAAGCTTAATATCTGGCACACAGTAGGGACTTAATTAAAGTTTGAAAACATCCCTGCTACTTCTGCCTGCCAGGCAGAGTAGTCTGTGCCCCCATCACTGTGCTCCTGAAAAATAACTCAGCATGGATTTTCCACAGTCATCCGGGTAACTCCATCTCCAGCATCTTGAACTGCTTAACTGCAACAGGCTCCTGTCCCAAATAAAACCACCCGCCCCTCCCAGGAACAGCCACCCCCTAGGAAGGGAAGGGAGACAAGGCTACAGAGCCCTGCTTCCAAGGGACCCCCTACTCCCACCCCAACCCTTCTGCCCACAGAATTACCCTGCAGACCAGCTCCCAGGCTCTTAGGGTGAGGCCATTAGAATCATGGAAAAGGGTTCACATCACATACCCATCCCCCAACCCTCAATCCCTGCACGCTCCACCCCCCACCTCCACTGAGGGGGGCTTGCAGAAGAGGAAGAGGCAAATAATTAGAGGCAGAGACTAGGCCTGTCCCCTCTTTCTCTCCATGGCTCACTCTCACCCTTACTCTGTCTCTCTACAAAGAGACTGAACCACAGCCCTGGGTGGTACCTTTCAAATCCCAAGTCCAGCCTCTATGGTACAGATGAGGCCACAGAGGCCCAGGGGGGCAGGACAGCACCCAAGTCTCCTGGCAGGACCATGGCCAAGAGGGATGCTGGGTCATTCCCTGGTTTGTCCCATACGTCTGTGCCCTTCGGAACACAAGAGACCTCTAGCCTCCCACCCTGTCCCTGAAGCTGCCTTCCTACGGCTATGGAGTCCACCAGCCTTGGCTGCGGTTGTGGTAAGTGACGTGGCAAGGATCTGTCTTTCCCTCAAGACAGGCCTAGGTCTGGTCCAGCTGGAGCACCCGGATGGTGGGTGACGAGCACATGATCACCATCAGAAGTCCCAGGGTGACGCCCTGGCTCACTCCCTGTGACAGATTGCAAAGAGCCCTAATCTTCACTTCTCCCTGCACCAGACCCTTGGCTGAGCAGCCTCACCGGGCCCTCTGCTCCCATGTGAGTGCTCCCCCATGACTGCCGTGAGCCCATGCGGGGTGAGCAGACACAGCACAGGCGGCTCCCTGCCGCTCATGTATGGGGGCTGCTTTCTTCATGTGCCTCTGCCATTGCGGTGAGATCAGGCCTGGGCGAGTCTGCAGATCAGAGGCGTGGAGCAGAGCAGAGCGGCCACCACCCCAGCCGGGTCCGCCAGGGAGCCTGCCCTCGCTGACCCCTGGACCCACTAAATCCCCCGGCACCTGAGAAACGAGCACTCATTGTTTCGTGTTTATTTGTTACCCAGCATTACAGTGACAAAGATGATGGACAGAGCCCTCAACTCACCAGGTAGCGCTACCTGCTCTGAGATGTGCCAGCACAACCCCTCATGCAACGGAGGCTGAGGGAGGCGAAGGCCTTGTTCAAGGTCACACTGGAAGTTGGTCCAAATCCAGAGGCCTCTTGGGACCTGCCCCCACGGTGAGCTGGCCTGGCAGACACAGGTGAGTCCAACTCTGCCCTGTCATCCTGGAGCCACAGTCTGGTGAGGAGGATTGAGTTGGGGAGGGGTAGGTATATTTGGGAATGTGAGGAGGAAGGGGCAGTTGTGCCAAGCCCTGAGGGATGAGATCAGTTTCTGCAGCTGGACAACGAAGAGCAGGAAGGCCCAGGCTTCTTGGTGGAAGGACCATCCTAGTCCACTCTGACCTCATAGCTACAAGTGCTACTGCATTCACAGCCCCTGACGCTGAGGCCAGGTGCATTTCGCCTGCCACCTTTCCATCAGGCCCGTAGGACACCTGCAAAGGAAAAGCAGGTAACTAAGAGCTGCAGCTTGAGCCCTGTGTGCTGCCCCACCCTCCATATCCGAAGCTCCCCATAAACCCATAAGGAGAGGCTACCATGACTCTTTCACAGATAAGCAAACTGTGGCCCAGAGAGGTTCCAGACACGCCCAAGGCCACATAGCCTCTAGGAAGCAGAGTCGGAATGTGAACCCCTGTCTGTGAGATTCCAAGCATCCCTCAGAAAGGCGTGGTCCTCGACTGGCGTTGGTGCCCTGGCACAGCCCAAGGGCCTTGGAAATGCCATTCTCAAGGTGTTTGCCCTAAAACAACGGCCAGAGAACTTCAGGCCCTGTGTCTGCCAACTACAAGGGCCTTGAACCTGTGGCCACAGTTGTAGACACTGTCACAGGCCCAGGCCGCAGCTTCTGCCATGCAGGTTCTGGCTGCCTTCTCCACCAAATGGGAAGTGCTTCCTGTCAGCAGCCGCCTTCCCCCCACCACTGTGAAATTCCCAAAGCAAAGCAAACAGCCATGATTCCCAGGATGCCGAGGCTCATGCCTCTGACCCCCAAATCCCGAACATCTCCTGAGGACCATGGGCACCTCCAACTTAGCATATGTGCCCAAAAAACTCAGCAGCCTCCCCCATAAACCTCCTCTTCTCCAGGGTTCCCTCCCCATTGTGCAAGCCAGAGGCCAGGTCCTGGTGTCCCCTCCTCTTGGCCTCCCCTCTCCCCACCTCTCCACCTCCCTTCCCTCACCAGGCAGGCTCCTTCTGCCCCCAGACTACCCTGGTGAAACACCTCTTGCTAACTTGTGAGTGTGAGTTGTGGGGTCAGACCTTAGCTATGCATCCATAGGCAAATCACTTCACCTCTCTGAGCCTCAGTTTTGTCATCTGTAAAATGGGGATGATAAAAGCCTCTCTATATCCTTAAAAGGTAGAATTTTCTGGCACACGTCATAACTTCTCAAGAAAGAGCAGCTTCTACTATTGTCACTATCCTTGCAGGGAGTGCAGTGAATGTGTGTGTATCTGCCAGCATCTCTCCTTCCCCATCCAATCCAGGATCTGCTCAGTTTCTGTGAATGGGGACTTTTCTCTCCCAGAGATGGGCACGAGACCCAGATCCGACCAAAGAGAGCCGACCCCCTCCCTCCTGTTTCCACCAGATTTCTGCCATGGGAAATGATGCTTTCTCATCTGGGGATGGCCAGGACAGGTGCTACAAGGACTCCATGAGCCAGAGCTTCTGGGGCCATCTCACCCATGTGCAGAGAAATCCACCTACAGTGACGTGGACGCAGCAGAAGGCAGGAGCTGACAGCCTGCGGGGCAAGGTGTTGGCTGCACCTGTTGAGTGCCTGGATACACCTGTTGAGTGCCTGGATGCAGCCGTGCCTGAAGGCATGGCTCCTCCTGGACTTTTCACTGACTGGAGCCAGTACATTCCTTCTTCGCTGAAGTTGGTGTGGATTAAGTTTCTGCCATGTGCAACCCTAAAGGGTCCTAACAAAACACATGAATGGGGGATAGGAACGTGCTTGGGACCAAGAGGTGTCACAGAGCTGGGCTTCTGTGATGGGGAAGCCCTGTGACTTGTTGACCTGGCAGGGCCCTGGTAGGAATTCTGTGGGAAAGGAGTGGCCAAAGGTGGTGGCCCCTGGCCATAGCTTGTGAAGTGCCCAGAAGCAGGAGTCGTGGCTCTGGCCCACGGTGCTGGCTTATGTTGGGGGCTCAGTGCCAGCCACTACTATTTCCCTACAGAGCACTCTGGTGCCCTGGGCACTATTCTAGGGGCTGTGCGGACGTGCCCCCACCTGTCCTCACAACACCCTCCCTAGGAGGTGGGCTCGGATGTGCCACCCATTTTACAGAAGACGAGATGGAGGCGCAGAGTTCAGGTAACTTGCCCGAAGCCACCCAGTGAGGATGTGGTGGCGTGGGCATGAAGCGGCACCTGTGCCGGGACACAGCCGCACAGGCACAGCCTCCTCTTGTCCTTCGCTGTCCCCCACCTGCTCAGAAGGTCCTGCAAATGACTCTTGTCCCCCTACGAGAAAAGAGCCCACAGTCTCCTACCCAGGCAGGTGCAGCTACCACAGGTCTGTTGCCAGGCGCCGGGCTTCAAAGGGGAGAGGCAAAGAACTGGAAGGCTGTCCCTCTGCCCATGGCCACCTCCTGAGATGCCTCCCAATTTGGCCCCACTTACCAAGTGTCCCTGCTACCTCCTGGAGCACCCCCATCCCACCCCGCCCCACCCTGCCCTGCCCCTGGGCCCTGCCAGGCTGGGGGGCTCCTCGGGGGCAAAAACATGCCTGACTCCTTGTGTGCCCAGAGCCCCTCCAGGACCAGTGCTTGAGTGGAGGAGGCCTCCCTAAAGGTCAAACGGTCCAGGAGGACACCTGCCACCACAACACAGCCCTGGGCCTGCAGTGTAGCATCATCAGTGAACACACCACCACGCACATCACCGTCACCTCTTGCAGGCATCTCCGAGCCACAGCCACAGCAATCGAGACTCCCTCTCCTCTCCGAGCTCTCTCCGTACACCTCGTCTCACTAACTTCACACAACCCTGGGACATCTGTGCTCTGAGGATCCCAAGCTTCAGGCTTCAGCCAGAGCCCTGCGTGCCTCCCAAGCAGAGGGGCTGGGTTTCCGACCTGGCGTGGCCATGCACAGGCATGCGTGTGGCTCCGCTGCACCGCCCGTGTTTATCTTCTGGACACCGGGAATCATAGCCAATCAGACTTTACCACCAGGGTAATCAGGGCAAAACCTGCAGCTGTTCCATGGCCCAAGCGGAGGACACTGCGGCTGTACTTTGTCCCCTTATGGGAAGTATATCCTTCCTCTTGTTTTATTTTTTCTTCTCACTTGTGGTATCTTCTGGCATTCCAAAGCTTCTTAGAGGAATCCTGAAATCCACTCTGGAACAAGGCTGGGTTTAAGTAAACAGACACACACACACACACACACACACACACACACACATACACATACACACACATACACACACATACACACACATACATACACATACACACATACACACGTACACACACGTACACACACATACACACATACACACATACACACACATACACATACACACATACACATACACACACATACACATACACACATACACACACATACACACACACATATACACACGTACACATACACACACACACGAACTCACACAGGCACACATATAGACTTTACACTTGCCCCTCATGTCATGGTGAACACAACACATTCAAACATTAGGCCCGCCTCTCCAGTGAAGAAACTGAGGCTCAGAGAAGCACATGGACCTGGGATGCCTATCTGCTGGTCGGTTGAACCCCACCTTTTTCCAGAGAGGATCACAGATGGAAAGGAGGGACTGACTCGCAAGGTGGCCCTCCAGCCAGCCTCAGGGCCCGGCTCAGAGCAAGATCTGTCTTGGCACAAGTAGCCCAGCATCCCAGTGCCCCACCCAGCTCCAGGCAGGACCCAGGCACCCACAGGCAACCTCTGGCAAGGCATCATCCTGTGCCCTGGGGTCTGGCTGAGCACCAGGGAGCACAGTAGCACTCATGCCAGGAACAAGTCAGAGCCCAGGCCGGGCTGGAGGGCCCTGAGCTGCGGCAGGAAGCGGGCAGGCGAAGGCGGTACTGGGTGGAAGTGGCAGAGCATGAGGCCAGGTAGGACCAGCACTGGGGCACCTTCGTCCTCAAGTGGGGCTCTCAGCAGCCGCAGAACAGCAGGTAGGGCCAGAATAGCGTCTCCTAGAACTTCCTAGGACCTTCTGGCGTGCAGAATGACCCATGGGGAAGGCACTGGAAAGTCACCACCCAACCCACTCCTGATGCAGACGAGACCTGAGGAAGGGGCCAGAGATGCACAGGGTCACACAGCAAGTAGCCAGGGCACTGCCTCCTAGGCCTTCTCCTCTCCTTGGCCGGGAGCCCCAGACCTTCTCCAACCCCCAAATGCTGCCAAACACCTCTGCTAGATCCAGGCCCTGGGGCCCTGACAAGCTGTCCTGGCTGGGATCCCAGCCTGCCCAGTCACCCCAGAGTCCCGCCACCTCCCCTGTGCCTGCCTCAAACTCCCAGAGGGATGGAGGTCTGCCATGTTGAGGACACCGCTCAGACCAGAGCTCTGGGTCCCTCAGCCATCTCCCACCCCATCCCCTGCAGGGTGTCCCCATGATCAACCTAGCCAAGTGTTTGGATAGAAGAATTCATTCTTAAAGTAAATGAGAAGGGTAAATACCTCCGTGGGAGGGCCCAGGTACCCGTGGGAAGACCTGTTTAGCCCAGAAAGGGAAACGGATTGGCCCAGTGACCAGGTGATGGGTGCATTCACCAGACACCACGCCCCAAGGGGACTTCCCAGGAAGTGTTGTCTGCTCACAGCGGCAGGTCCTGACCCACCGTGCTCAGCCCTGGCTGCCAACATGCCGCCCCAGCTCACTGCTGCAGGTGCGCAAAAGGACAGAGTGAAATACCCTGAGTTTCTCCCCAAACAAGGAGTTTTCAGTAAGTACACACCGCACTCATTTACTCCATTCACAAAGGTTTATTGGGTCCCTGCCTGGTGCTGGTTTGGGTTAGTCACTGTAGAGGATCCATCTGGGCCAGCCTGGGAGGGGCAGGTCTGGAGTCCGAGGCAGACACGAAACCGGGGGTGACACCCAGGGGCTGTGGAGGCTGCCATGCTGAGGACAGCTCTGGGAGGACCGCTGAAGAGGATGACTAGCGGGTGGGGAGTGGGGTTCAGCCATCTCCCGGGAGCTGGGAGGGCCCAGGTGGAGGTGAGGGCAGCAGAGGAGGAGGAGGAATGGGGGTCTCCAGGTAGAAAAAGGGAGCAGGGAATAGCATGAGTGGAAGCCCAGAGGAAGGAAAGTACCCGGAGGGTCTCTGTGCTTCAAGAGGCCAGTGGAGGGGACAGAGACAAACGGCCAGTGGTGAAGCAGGGCTGACACCCTGGCAGCAAGGACACTGAGGCACACACCTGCCATTCACCAGCACTCTCCTCCAGGTGTGCACCAGCTCCTGCCCGAAGCCTCAGGAGGTCCTCCTGCAGGGGAACACAGGGCCACCAGAACCCACCCCACCCCAGAGGGAAGTCTCAGTGACAGCCTCTCTGGGCCCTGGGAGCTGCTCTACTGGAATGGAGAGAGAGGCTGTACCCATTGCAAACCCGCCTACCACGCCCCGCACTGGGGCAGTGAGGTCCGGCGGGGGGGTCCGCACCAGGGTTCACCAAACCCTCCCTTTCAAGGGAAGACTGCCCCAGGAGGATGGGCTTGGGATCAGAAGGCCATCCAAAGGCCAGCCCTCCCCTGGCTCTGCCAGGGCCCTGCTGCCTGTCCCCTCCCCGCCTCTCTCCAAGTTGTTCCTGGACACCAAATGGACCCCATCCAACTTGTCCCTCCTTTTCTTTCCCCTGCCCGCCCCCTGCTGGAGTTGTAAGAGGGCAGGCAGAAAGGGAGGTGGGGGAGGCCCAGCCAGGCTGGGGGACAGGAGAAGCAGCCCCAGTTCTAACTCTGCTTCCCCCACAGCAGAGCCTGCCAGGCCCCCGAGGGCCGGGACCTCTGGGTGATGCCTGGCACTCCCCTAAGTCACAGGTGGAGCTGGGCCTTTGGCCAGTACTCTCCCTCCTGACCACTGGGATGGGACAAGACAGTAGGGGCAACAGGTAGGAAGGGCCAGGTCTAAGGTGAGCTGGGGGTGCAGCCCTAGAGAGAGGTAGGAAGGAGGGACAGGGGTTGCTCTGGAGGAGAGAGGGTTGCTCCAGAGGCAGAGGGAAAAGACAACTGGAGTGGGAGTCAGTGAGCCAGGTTCTGTGTTCCAAAGGCCAGCATTGCCTGGACCTTGGGTCTGTCCTCACCTGCATAAGAGGCTGCAGGAGCCAAATGGGCCTTCCAGCCTTGTCCAATATTATGGAGTCCCGAGGTGTGGAGTGTATTCTGTGGGCCCAAGAAACAGCAACAGATCCCCAGAACAGATGACAGCCCTAAAGAAAGGCTGCTTTCCTGAGCATCCCTGGGGCTAGAAAGAGTGTGGATCAGGTGCTTCCTATTGGGCTGGGCCTGCAGAGGGGACAAGAGGGGCCAGTCTTACAGCCACCCAGACCATACTTTCCACACACATGCACATGCGCACACACACTTGCACACACACACACACACTTGCACACATATGCATGCACATGCCACCAGATCTCAGCCAGCACAGAAAGGCTCTCCCAGCCTTAGGTGGCTTATGCATTTTCTGAAACTAACTGTGGGAAAAGGGCTTGGGGAACCATCCCATGTGCCTGCACCAAATGCTGTGTGGGTGGGGCAGGACACAAGCCCTACACTGACACCTCCCAGAAATCAGGGAATCAGAGCTTGAGAGATTGTCCAGTAAAAGTTGGAACCCTCAACACCCCTTGACTCTGCCCAGGAGGAGCAACCTCAGAAGCCCCCCCAAACCTCCTCTCAGAGACCTGCCGAGTAGGAGGCTTCTCTCTCTACTCTCCTCCCCGCAAAAAAGAGGCCAGAAAAGAGGATGATTGGCTAACTCAGAGGTGCCCTGATGGAGGGGAGCAAACAAGGGGACTTCCAAGGAGAATTCCCTAGCCCACCTGAAAGACCCCTACCCAGAGTGGTGAGGGGCAGCTTAGGAGCACTGACGCAAGGGGGAGAGACCAGGCTGGCTTCCCTCTACGTAGTAAGTTCCTGGGGTGTGCGCCCCTGCCCCAGACAGCAGAGAAATCGCCTGACTGGGAGATGGAGAAGAGGGGCCACCTTCTCATGCCACCCCGCCGCCAATCCTCCAGGCACACTCGGGCGCTTGACCTGCTGAAGCCTGTAGCCTCAGGTCCAGTGAGGAGCTCACGGGACAGAGGGCCCTACCAGAGCCACGAAAACCGGAGGGGGGGACCTCCGCCCAAGGCAGGCGTCTCTGCGCGCCCGCTGGGGCCCTGGTCCTGCAGTTGGCTTCTCCCGACACGTTCCTTCGCTGCCGAAAGCGATTCGCCCGCGCTCTACCGAGCCCAGCCAGCTCCTACCTCGGCCCGGGCGGCGAGCGCTGTCTCCGTCCCGAGAAGAAGTTTCGCGGCTGGTCCCGGGGCGGCAGGCGCACGGGACGCTGGCGGCGGCGGCGGCTTCCGACTTGGGCTCAGACCCCGCCGCTCCAGACAAGTCCCCGCGACTGCGACAGTGTCTCGGGCAGTTCAGCTCCCCAGACGGGAGACAGACCCTCGCGACCTGGTTCAGGCCTTGCCCTGGGGGACACTGCAGTCCAAGGCGAAAGGAGACTTGCTCCCGGCCTCTGGGTCCCTAGGTCAAGGCACCTCCCCGCCCCGCCGCCCCTGAGCCCAAGTCGCCAACCCCGCGCCGCGCGCAGCGAGGGATCAGAAGGTCTCGGACGCCGCGGCAGGGCCGGCCAGGGCCCCACGAGTTAGGGAGTTGCCCCGCACCCCTAAACGCTCAGCACCCATTTACGGTTGAAAGTACGCACTTGACGCGTCCGGGCGCCTCCGCGGTGAGTCGCGCCGCCGCTCTCGGGGTCCGCGAAGGTGGCTCAGTTCGGGCGCTCCAGTCTCGACGTTCCCGGGGTAGAGAGCAACGTCCGGGGACGAACGGGACGGGTGCGCCCAGCGGCCGGGGCTGCGCTGGGCGAGGCAAGCGGCGAGAGGGGAGCGCTCCGGCGTTCAGGCAACAGCTACCCCTAGTGGGAGAGCCGCCCGGGGCCGGCGCCGCCCCGCGCCCGCTGCCCCGCGCCCCACGCCCGTGGCGCCCCGCGCCCGGGTCGGCTGGGGGCGCAGGGCCGGCGCCGCTTTCCCCAGCTCTCCGGTCTCCGGCGCCCGGCGGTAACCCGCCCGCGGGCTCTGCCCTCCGCACCTCTCAGCCCGGCCCCGGCGGCCGCTGACCCAGGAACCGCGGCGCCCCGCTGGAACGAGATGGGACGGGGCGGGCGCGGCCAGGGCGGCGCGGGCTGGGGCGGCGCGCGGCAGCCTCGGGCAGCGGCGGGGGGCGCGGAGCGCGGTGTGCGTGGCGGGGCGGTGCGGGGGGCGGCCGTGTGCGAGGCGCGAGTGTGAGCGCGCGCGGGAGGCGGGCGGGCGGGCTCCGGCAGGCGAGCGGCGCCCGCGGGCGAGCCAGGAAGGCGGCGGGAACGCAAAGTTGCCTCCTCGCTGGCCCGCGTCCTCGGTGGGGCGGGAGCCGGGGCCACCGAAGCGGCGGCCGCGGACCCGGCCTCCCGCGGCACCTGGGCAGCGGCCCCGCACGAGCGGCAGCGGCGTGGGCGGCGTTGGCGGCGGCGCGCGGGAAGCGAACCGGAGCTCCGGCGCGGCTCGGCGGCCGCCGGGGAGCTCGGCTCAGGTGCGCGGCGAGGGGGGCGCGGGCCGGAGCCAGGCGGCGGGGACCAGGGCGGCGCGCAGCGCTCGCGCCAGCTGGAGGACCTCCCCAGCGGACGCCCAGGTCCCTGGTCGGGCTCCCGGTCCCCAGCGGCAGCGGCTGCCGGAGTCCCCCGCCCCCGAGAGCTGGCTGCGGGGCCCGGGCCCGCCCCCACCGGCCCCAGGCCCGGCCGCTCCGCCCTCCGCCCGCCTGCGCCCGCCCTCAGCCCAAGATTTCTAGGGCATTGGCCGCGCTGCTGGGTGATCCCTCCGGGCTCAAGTTGCAAGGGGGCGGGCCGGGCCGGAGGTGGAGTCTCCCGCCAATTGAAGCCTCCGCTATAAATTGAACTCCCTGCACTGCTGAAGCCCAGATGCCTCGCCAGGCCACGTCGCGGTTGGTGGTCGGAGAGGGCGAGGGGTCCCAGGGGGCTTCGGGGCCTGCAGCCACCATGCTCCGCTCCCTGCTGCTTCACTCCTTGAGGCTCTGCGCCCAGACCGCCTCGTGCCTCGTGCTCTTCCCGCGCTTCCTCGGCACGGCCTTCATGCTCTGGCTTCTCGATTTCTTGTGTATCCGCAAGCATTTCCTGGGCCGCCGCCGCCGGGGGCAGCCCGAGCCCGAAGTGGAGCTCAACAGTGAAGGCGAGGAGGTGCCTCCCGATGACCCGCCCATCTGCGTGTCCGACGACAACCGCCTGTGCACCCTGGCGTCGCTCAAGGCGGTGTGGCATGGCCAGAAGTTGGATTTCTTCAAGCAGGCGCACGAGGGCGGTCCGGCGCCCAACTCCGAGGTGGTTCTGCCCGACGGCTTCCAGAGCCAGCACATCCTCGACTACGCGCAAGGGAACCGCCCGCTGGTTCTCAATTTCGGCAGCTGCACCTGACCACCGTTCATGGCGCGCATGAGCGCCTTCCAGCGCCTGGTCACTAAGTACCAGCGCGACGTCGACTTCCTCATCATCTACATCGAGGAAGCGCACCCCTCCGACGGCTGGGTCACCACGGACTCTCCCTACATCATCCCACAGCACCGGAGCCTGGAGGACCGGGTCAGCGCAGCGAGGGTACTGCAGCAAGGTGCACCCGGCTGCGCTCTGGTCCTCGACACCATGGCCAACTCCAGCAGCTCGGCCTATGGCGCCTACTTCGAGCGTCTCTATGTCATCCAGAGTGGCACTATTATGTACCAGGGCGGCCGTGGCCCCGACGGCTACCAGGTCTCTGAGCTGCGCACTTGGTTGGAACGCTATGATGAGCAACTGCACGGCGCTCGGCCCCGGAGGGTGTAAACATCCAACGGACAATTGACTGAACTTGGTGGGCTGGGCCTTCGAGCCTTCGAAGCCCACGTGCAAGCGCCTCAAACCAAGTCACGCTTGGCGAGGCCCCAGTGACACTGATGTGCTGAGCCACCATTTCAGACTGAGTCTGCACCCTCAGCCACATGAACAATCTCCCCTACCTCCCTGGGACTCTGCTTCTGTAACTGTCTCATTCACACCTGCCTGGCTCACTGGAAATCCTCTTTTGAGCGCGGGATATGGCTTGCCCTTGTCCGTGTGCCCCCAGGACTTTGCCTCTACAGCATTTTCTTACACCCCCTCCCCAGCGTGCCCTCAGCCAAGTGCTTTGGCCCGGTGCTTCCCGCAGCTGCACAGAGACCTTGGCCACGCCCGCGCGCCCTGAGCGCAGCTGGGTTCCAGGAGACTCTCAGCTCAGCTGAGCTAGTTGCCTGGCACCCACCTGTCGCGCGCGGAGAGGGGGTTCCCTGTTGCTTTTGTGTCTGTTTCCTGTCCCTGGTAGGGGAAGTGATGTCGTGGATGGGGAGGGGTGGGCAGGGTAGTTTCCCCCGCTTGTTTTGGGTGCACAGGAGCCCCACTGCTGATGACGAACTATCTCTAACTGGTCTTGACCACGAGCTAGTTCTGAATTGCAGGGGCCTCAAAGCAGCACCTAAACCTTGAGGGGGAGGGTGCTCTGGGTTTCCGTGAGGTAACCACCTTAAATGGGAGGGAAGTTGGGGTGTCTGCTTTGGGACCAGAGGAAGATAGCTTGAGAGGCATTGGCGAGGTTCGCAGCGCCCCAGGGAGAGAGAAAAAGCTGAGACTCCTGGGGAATGACGTTGGGGTGATGGAGTCCGGGGAAAGAGAGGTGGGGGGAGAGCCTGAGGTCCCCAAGTGAGGGGAGTCCTAGGCAGAGCTGCTGATTGTGGGGCTGGGAGGTGGAGGGCCCCTGATTCGAAGGCCATTTGGTGAGTGTTTTGCTGGAAATATTTCCTGTATATAAACTTCTTTCAATCTACAATAATAAAGGCTTGAGGTAAACTGCTTTCTGGTTGCCTTTGGTCCCTTTATTTTCTTTTCCCTCTGAATAGCGGCAGGAATTAAACACAAATCCCTCCCTCGCGTCCCCATAGTGACCTTGGGAAGCGGGACGGGAAGGAGCCTAGGCTGGCAGGGGCGCTGGAGGAGGATGGAGGAGGAAGAGGGTCTGCGGCGGTGCCCGGGGCGCTCCTACAACCGCACGCACCCACCTGGACGGGGAACTTAGCTGCGGGAGAAGAGCGAGGTAGCGGAGCGCCGCGGGATCCTGGAAAGCGGCGGGAGAGGCAAGGGGGCCCTCTCTTGCTCCCGCGCGCGCACACACAGACCGAACAGATGCAGCTGCCCCTGCAGCCGCCGATCCAACTTAACTGAGTATCCGGCGGTGTGTGGAGGGGGTTGGGTGAGGTGGAGGGCGAGAGGGGCTTTGGACCCGGTACAGCCTGGCTCCCGACCGCTGCAGGCACCACTGCGCACCTGACTCCTCCCTGGCCCCCTTCCGGCACCTGCAACCTTGCCTCTTGCCCACCCGCTCCAGGCAGCTGAGGTCCGCTGGAGGCGCGCCTTGGCAGAGGGGCGCCCTCACTCCAGCTGCGGCTCCTACTGCCGGGCCAGCGTGCTGCTGGGTGCGCCCCCTGCCCAGGACCCCCCTCCTCCTGTCCCTCCTCCGCTTCCCCAAGCTCCAGTCAAACCCCACCACCCGCTCCGTGCTGGGAAGCAGAGGTGGGAGGCCGCTGGGATGAAGAGAGAGAGACCAGGGAGAGGTGAATGGTGGATTCCAGGGCTGGGGCGGGGATTCGGGGCCTTAGGCACAGGTCCCCTCTTGCAGTCACGGCCAGGGGCTCGCTCTCGCGCAATCCCCGCCCTCACTGTCTCGCCTGTTGCGCCCGGAGTGAGGGCGACCCGGGGGACGCGGGATTAGCTTAGCCCGCAGCCCCTGTGCCAGCGAAACCTTGAACATTAAGTGAAAGGTGGGGGACACAGTGAAAGCCGCTGAGGCGGGAGTGTACGGATCCAGGTGAGGGGACTGGGCACGGCAACTTCCCTGGCGCGCCAGGACAATGCCTGGGAACCCAGGATTGTCAGGGTCGCCGGGGGTGGGGGTGAGTAGTGTCGGTTTGCGCGCTTGGATGTGAGCGCGGGTGTACATGGCAGGGTTGGGTAGGGGTGCAGAGGGGCGCGGCAGGCAGGATGGAAGAGACGCCCCCGTTCAGCCAACGGCGTCCCTAATTCTGCGCCCAGCCCCCGCGCTGCTCCTCCGTAAAAACTTTTTGAAACTGACATCCTAAATTTGTGGATTTTTTTTTCCTTTAAAAGTATCTCAATTGAAAAATAACTTTAAAGAAAACTTTGGCACCCACGAAATTTCTGCATCTCCTCCCCACTACCACCAACCCCTACCTACCTCCGCGAACGCTCCTTCTCATCCCGAAACCGCCAGGAAGCAAAGGAGATCGCGGCAGGGACGCGGCCCGGCGCCTGGGAGAGTCCTCCCTGACCTCCCCGCACGCGCGGCTGGCCGGGACTGGAGCTTGGTGGCGCGGAGGGTGGCCTGGGACAGCGTCAGCCTCCCGGCCCAGCAGAGACCGCTCCAGCCGCTCCGCGTCCCTACCGGTGGCTTGGGGGTCCCCTTGGACGCGCCAAGCGACCTCTCCTACCCGGAAAGCCTGCGCCCCCTGGGCTTCCTGGAGCTTCCCAGATCGAAACTCCAAAAAGCGCTTTCGCGCCGCAGCGCCGGGACCTGCAGCGCCAGCCACTCCCCGCACGGGCCGCACTCGCTCTGGTCGCAGCTCCAGGGAAGTCCCACCACCCCCACTTTTTTTATTTCTCTCTTCTTCCTTCCCTTCCTCCCTGCTTCCCCTTCATCTTTCCTTTTCTTTCTCTCTTACTTTCCCCTCCTTCTTTTTCTGTTTCTTCCTTTCCTTTCTTCTTTCTCTCTTTTCCTTGAAAATGTCCCCTATGAAAGCAATGCAAGCTCATTGCCGATACAACAGAACTCCGAGAAGGAACTAAAACCAACCCAACTCTTCCTGCGTGTGGAGCCCCCTCACTCCACACTTGTCTCTCTGTGTCCCTCTCCCTCACACTTGCAAATACATATTTTGAAAACAAGGGCAGGGTGGTGTTATACTTTTGTAGCCTGCCAGTAACTTCTTAATCCCAGGGCGCCCCTTCTTTCCTGCACCCTTCTTTCCGTGTCCATAAATAAGTCTTGAATAGCCGCGCATCGCACTCAATTGGATGACCAGCAGGGGTCCATGTGTGGGCATCCCAGATGTTAGGGATGTTTCATTATTACAAACAAAGTCGGGGTCAGCAGCCTATGAGCGCAGCTCTGTACCCGGTTACCCCAGCTAGTAACGTGTCTTAAAGTGAAGCAGCTCCGACGAGAAGTATGTACACCTTTAAAGAGATCTGTTTTGCCGCATTTTGCTGAGCTGCCTTCAGGAAGCCTGTTTGACTTTTATTGTTTTGTATTTTCCCATTGCTCCCTCTCTCTCCCTTTATTTTTAAGTGAAAAATTACAAAGACAATAGTTGAATCCATCCTCCATATTAAATTTTAAAAACAGAAGAACACAGAGCAGAAAATGCAAACCCTCCCTCAGAGCAGGAGCTTTCAAACTATAAATCAGGGCCCAGCAGCGGGGCATGAAATCAATTTATCAGATCAAGTCAATAATCTGTCAATAATTGGAATCAAGTCAATAATCAAGTCAATAATTGGAAGAATGAAATAAAATAAACACAGTAAGAATAGCAGCGTACATTTCACCTAGGGTAGCTGGAGTTTCTGCAACTTTGGCTTCAGTTATACCTATCACGTGTGAGTGAGTGTGTGTGCATATGTGTATGTGGGAGTGTATGTGTGAGCATGTGTATGTGTGTGTACCAGGTGGTTGAAATGAAGCGTATTTCTCCTGAGGGATCAAAAATGTTTGCAAGCCACCACCTGATCATCCCCATTCCTCCCTCAACCAGGACAGCCCCTGGTGACTGTTGGGTGCGTTTCTCTCCAGATTCTATTTCACATATTGACCATCCAATATGTAATATTCTCAGATGAGAACAAGCACATTCTCAAACATATTTTCCCTAATTGCAATCATGCCACATAGTGTTTGATGACACCACCACCCCCCCACCCACACACACACACATACGTACTCTGTTCTCATGCCGTTCCTACCCTGGCCCCCTCACCTGTCAATCCATCTAATCTGAGCAGGTCTGCACCTGTAGGTTGATTTGTGCCTGGCACCATCTGGATGGCTGAGGCCCCTTGAGGAATGCTGGGATCAGTGGGGAACAGAGTGAGGAGACAGCCATTGCTGGTGTCGCAGTTGCCATCACCCTCACAATTAGTATCTTTTCAAGGTCCAGTGTGGCCTTAGCAGATGGTTTAGCCTTGAGCAAGGAGAGAGAGGAGGGGCATTAAAAGAGTTCATAGAAAGGGTCTTATTTGCCCCTCGAAGGCACAGGTGGCTCCCCAGGACGGCATAGATAGAAGGAAGGGCATCCCTGGCAGAGGGCACTGCCAGTGCAAAGCCCTGGAGGCCTGAAGGTGTATGTCATGTTCAGAAAGCAAGGAGTCCTCAGTGCGGCTACAAAGCAGGAGGGTGACAAGGGCAATGAAGAAGGGGAGAGGCAGAAAGGGGCCCAGCCAGCTTGAGAAGAGCTTTAGGCACCAGCTTGCAACTCTGCTGAGCCTTTGGGGACAGAAGCCTCTGACAGTAAGGTGGGGCAGGCAGTCAGATGGGGAGGAGCCATGGGAGGCCTGAGGATGGGGCTGGGGGCACATCCATCTACCCACCCCGATGGGGGTGGGCAGGTGCACTTTCAGGGCTCAGGCTGGCATCTCCACCTTCCATCCAGCAACTCTCCTCTAGGAACTTACCTGGAGGGAATAACCAAACTGGTGAGCAAAGGGGTGAAGAGGTACCAGGAGGTCCATGGCCCCCTCTGATCCACCTGCAGGGGAGCAAGAAGAGCAGGGAGTGACATTGGGGCACTTGCTCCGGGGGCCAGGGGCCAGGCAAGTGAATTATCAGGACGACCTGATTTGGTCATCCTAACACTCCTCTTACATGAATATGACCACTCACCCCATTTCATCGACGAAGACACTGAGGCTCAGCATGTTTGGAGTGAGCTGGGCAAGGCATCATGGTCTGACCTGTGTTCCTCCAAAGACTTTGTTCCCCAAAAGTCTTTGTTCCCCCAAAAGACATGTTGAAGTCCGCATTTTTGAGGAAATGCGGGTTGTTTGGAGATAGGGCCTGGAAAGAGGTGAGTACATTGAAATGAGGTCATTAGGGTGGGCCCTGATCCAATATGACTAGTGTCCCTAAAGAAGAGATCAGGATACAGACACACAAAGGAAAGACCATATAAGGACACAGTAAGAAGGTGGCCATCTACAAGCCAAGACAGACCTCAATAGAAACCATCCTGGCTGACATCTCGGTCTTGGATTTCCAGCCTCCAGAACTGTAAGAAAATTAATTTCTTTTGTTCAAGCCGCCCATCTGCGGTATGTTGCTATAGCATGCCCCAGCAAACCAATACGCAAGGTCATGTACTACAAAGTGTTTTTGACCATAGGCCCGTCTGACCCCAGTGTCTGGGGGTTTCACTTCAGGCTCCCCAGCATCCCTTGCAGAGGCTAAAACAACTCAGGACACTGAGATTTTGCAGTCTAGAGTGACAGGAAAACTCAGCTTATAGGACAACAGGCCTGAACCGGGGCAGTGAGTGTGTGCTCTTTTATAAATATCTGCAGAGACGCTCACACACATACAGCTCTAGAAAAATCTACCCCGAGGTATTCGCAGTAGTTGTCTTTGTGTGGGTGGGATTATGAGTGTTTTCTTACTTTCTTCTTGTTGCTTCTCTGTAGCCTGTGATTTTTCTGTAGTGAATGTGTATTCCTCTTATGGCAGAAAAATAAAACGCAAAACAGCAAAAACAGTGGCTTTGGTAAGTGGAATCCTGGAGGCGGGGAGGCCAGGCCATGAGGCAGACAGAGGTTCTGGCTGGAGATGGTGGGTTCTGGGCTAGGCCTTGGGTAGGAGATAGAGAGGTGGAGCCGGGGGAAGGGGAGAAGGAGCAGGGCAGTGCTATGGCAGTGAAAGGCTTGGGGGCACTGGGGGCATGGCAGGGGTAGGCCTGCTGAATAAAGTACAGGACACCCAGTTAAATCTGAATTTCAGATAAACAATTAATACAAAATGTTTTTAGTATAAGTATATCCCATGCAAGATCTGGGACACACTTGTGCTAAACAATGATTTGTTTTTCATCTGAAATTCACATTCAGCTGGACAGTCTGGATTGTTTGTTTATTTTTCTAAATATAACAGCCCTGAGCGGAGGAAGAGTGGACAATGGTATAATCTGAGGCCCTGGGAGGAGCGGTCTCAGAGCTCAAAGGATGGGTTGAGAACAATGAAACCATGGTCCCTGAGGTCTTCGGTTCCAATTTCCAGAAATAGTTGAATGCCTGTGGCCAGACAGAGGCCCCCAGACTCTCCAGAGACTGCATCTGATGACCTGGGGCTAAGGAAGAAATGACTATCAGCACAGCCAGCTACATAAGCTGCAGGGCTCAGTGCAAAATGAAAATGTGGGGTCCCTGTTCAAAAAGCAGGGGAGGGTGCCACTAAAGCTACCCCATATAAAGCCTTTTCCTTTCTTCCATGGCATCTCAACTCGTCATGGTGTTTATTTGCTATATAATTCATTACAAATAAAGAAAAAGTAACATTTTAAATTATGTGTTAGTCTGGGTTATTCAGTGAAACAGAGCTAATAGGAGATAGATAGACAGATTGATTGATTGATTGATTTCGATTTACTGCAAGGAATTGGCTCATAAATATGACCCCAAAAGCACAGGCAACAAAAGCAAAAATAGACAAAGGAGATTGCATCAAACTAAAAGGCAAAAGAAACAATCAACAGAGGGAGGAGGCAACCTAAGGAACGGGAGAAAATATCTGCAAACCATGCATCTGATGAGGGGTTTATCTCTGAAATAGACAAGAAACACAAACAAGTCAATAGCGACAAAACAAATAACCCCAGTTAAAGAAAGGGCAAAGGCTGAAGGTGGTGGCTCACCTGTAATTCCAGCTTTGGGTGGCTGAGGTAGGGGGATTCCTTGAGTTCAGGAGTTCAAGACCAGCCTGGGCAACATGGCAAGACCCCATCTCTAAAACAAAAAAAAATTAAATGGGCAAAGGACCTGAATAGACATCTTTCAAAAAGAAAACATACAGATAGCCAACAGATACAGCTGATCCTTGAACCATACAGGTTTGAATTGCAAAGGTCCACTTATCTGTAGATTATTTGCAATCAAACACAGGTCGAAACTACAGCATTTGCAGGATATGAAACCTGCATATACAGAGGGCAAACTTGATTTTTTGTATATGTGAGTTCCACAGGGCCAACTGATTTTGTAAATCTGTGAGTCCTGGACCCACTCCCCTGTGTACACAGAGGGGTGAGCATATGTGAAAAAAAAAATGCCCCACATCACTAATCATCAGGAAAATGCAAATCAAAACTACAATGAGCCATGACCTCACACCTGTTACAATCGCTGTCAAAAACCAAAAGAGATAACAAGCGTTGGGCCGGGCGCGGTGGCTCACACCTGTAATCCCAGCACTTTGTGAGGCCAAGGCGGGCAGATCACGAGGTCAGGAGATCGAGACCATCCTGGCTAACACGGTGAAACCCCGTCTCTACTAAAAATATAAAAAATTGGCCAGGCGTGGTGGCGGGCACCTGTAGTCCCAGCTACTTGGGAAGCTGAGGCAGGAGAATGGCATGAACCTGGGAGGTGGAGCTTGCAGTGAGCCGAGATCGCACCACTGCACTCCAGCCTGGGCGACAGAGCGAGACTCCGTCTCAAAAAAAGAAAAAAGAAAAAACCAATGTTGGCCAGAATATGGAGAAAAGATAAACCTTGCAACACTGTTGGTGGAAATGAAAATTGGTGTAAATTGGTGTAAACTGGTGTAGCCAATATTGAAAACTGTATGGAGGTTCCTCAAAATATTAAAAATAGACTACCATATAATCCAGCAATTCCACTTCCAGGTATATATCCAAAGGGAATGAAATCAGTGTGCCAAAAACAGCTCTGCACTCCCAGGTTCACTGCAGCACTGTTCACATTAGCCAAGATACAGAACCAGCCTAATTGAACATCACTGAATAAATAGATAAAGAAAATGTGATACATATATGTAACAGAATATTATTCAGCCATAAAAAAGAATGAAATCCTGTCACTTTTGACAACATGGATGAACCTAGAAGACATCATGTTAAGTGAATTAAGCCAGACACAGGAAGACGAATACTGCACAACCTTGCTTACATGTAGAATCTAAAAAAGTTGAACTCATCGAAGCAGAAGGTAGAAGAGTAGTTACCAGGAGCTGAGGGTGGTGGAGAAATTGGTAGATGTTTGCTTGTCCCTGGGCTAGACACTGTACAGGCAGCAGTGGATGCTCGCCACCACAGTGCACCAGTACTCAGGGAGGCCATGGCCAGGGCTGGGCAGAGGAAGATACCAGAGAGACGTAGCTGTGTATGCAAAGGCCAGGAAACTGCAAAACACATCATTCAGTCAGATATGTAATGCAGGTGTGTGCCTGTGTGTGATGTGTGTGTTATCTGTGTTCATGTGTATAATGTGCAAGTGTCTGCACATGTGTATGTGCTTTTGTGCATGTGCATATGTGATGATGCATGTGTGTCTGCATGTGTGTTTGTGTGAGGATGTGTCATGTCTAACGTGTACATGTCTGTGCACGTGTGTGTGAGAACGTATGGGGGTATACCACACAACGCCATCACTCTCTACAGCCTTGCTGAGCCCCTGATGCTCAGCAGGCATGTCCCTGTCCCCACTGCCATCCTAACAGAGCAGACAGGATAGCTGGAGAAAAAGAAATCAACAACACAGAAAGCCTGAGAGGTGGGAAACCCAAGGAGGGAGGTCAGGGAGGGCTTCCTGGAGGAGCTGTATCATGAAGAAGAATTGGGGGAAAACCTCCGGAATGGAAGAAATGTCATGTATGGTGCCTTGGCAGTGAGGGTCATCCTGGCAGGTGTGGGCAATGGCAGTGAAGTCCACGAGACCAGGGAGGGAGAGGGCATGGACAAAAGGTGACGCTGGAAGGCACTGTGTGGAGTTGACCCTTTACCTTGAAGGCCCAGGGGAGAGATAGGAAAGCGCCATACACATAAGCAGAGGGGGAAGGAGGAGGGTATCTGTGCTGAGGGGCTGCTGCTACATCATGATGGCCTAATCACCTGAAGGAAGATGCTGGGTTTCAGCTCTATCTGGGCCACAGCCCTGTGTTCTCTGGCCTGGACTTCCTCCTCCACTTTTTGGAACTACTGGGCCCAATCATGATGCTCTGGGCAGAGCTCAGGGCTGCCAAACACAGCAGTGAGGGCAACACCAGGCTCCAGCTCCACGTGCACAGCAGTGAGGGCAGCGCCAGGCTCCAGCTCCACGTGCACAGCAGTGAGGGCAGCGCCAGGCTCCAGCTCCAGGTGCACAGCAGTGAGGGCAGCGCCAGGCTCCAGCTCCACGTGCACAGCAGTGAGGGCAGCGCCAGGCTCCAGCTCCACGTGCACAGCAGTGAGGGCAGCGCCAGGCTCCAGCTCCACGTGCACAGCAGTGAGGGCAGCGCCAGGCTCCAGCTCCACGTGCACTGCAGTGAGGGCAGCGCCAGGCTCCAGCTCCACGTGCACAGCAGTGAGGGCAGCGCCAGGCTCCAGCTCCACGTGCACAGCAGTGAGGGCAGCGCCAGGCTCCAGCTCCACGTGCACAGCAGTGAGGGCAGCGCCAGGCTCCAGCTCCACGTGCACAGCAGTGAGGGCAGCGCCAGGCTCCAGCTCCACGTGCACAGCAGTGAGGGCAGCGCCAGGCTCCAGCTCCACGTGCACAGCAGTGAGGGCAGCGCCAGGCTCCAGCTCCACGTGCACAGCAGTGAGGGCAGTGCCAGGCTCCGACTCCATGTGCACAGCAGTGAGGGCAGCGCCAGGCTCCTGCTCCATATGCACAGCAGTGAGGACAGCACCAGGCTCCTGCTCCATGTGTACAGCAGTGAGGGCAGCGCCAGGCTCCAGCTCCACGTGCACAGCAGTGAGGGCAGTGCCAGGCTCCGACTCCATGTGCACAGCAGTGAGGGCAGCGCCCGGCTCCTGCTCCATATGCACAGCAGTGAGGACAGCACCAGGCTCCTGCTCCATGTGTACCGCAGGTCCCAGCCCCCCAGCACCCTCCCTGGGGAAAGCACTTGAGCCCTCTCTAACCACCCCTGCCTGTGGCTGCACCCCAACCTTCACAGCCATCCCTATGGGGACCCATCCTCCTCTAAGGGCAATACAGAACCAGAAACCACAATGCACTATTCTTGTATGGAATACACTGAAACCCCAGAGTAGATTCCACTTAAAAGTTCCACTGGTTGCAGGAGTTTGCATACTGTTGGTCTTCCCAGATTCATCGCTAAATCCAATGCAATTCCACACAAAATCCCAAGAGGGTTGTTTACAAGTATATCCCAGCATTCACATGAAAGAGTAGAACCAGGCATAGCCAGGAGAAATTTTGGAGAAGAAACAATTGGAGAGACATTATGCACCCACTCCTTCCTTTGACAAATATTTATTCAAGGCCTAAAATGAGCCAGTCATGATTCCTGCTCCACAGGAAACAGAACCAGCAAAGTCCCACCCAAATGGAGCTCACACTTAGCTTAGGGGAGAGTAATAATAAACACATAAGCTTTGGGTGTTAACAATAAGTCAACATCAAATAGTTTGAAGGTGTTATGAAGAAAAATAAGGTCAGCATTTTTGTTATTTATTCATATGCAATGGATCACCCCAAAACACAGTGGCTTAAACCAACAGCAATTATGTTATCATCACTTCTTGTAGCTCTGGAGGCTGACTGGGCTCTGCTGGGTGGTTCGTGCCCGAGGTTTCTCTCAAAGTTGCAGTCGGATGGCTGCTGGGCTGGTGTCATCTCAAGGGCTTCACGTTTCTGGTGGCTGTGGCCGGCTGTCAGCTGGGAACTCCCTAGGCCTGAAGCTGGAATACCCACATGGTATCTCTCCAGGTGATCTGGCGTCCTGACCACAGGTCAGCCTGCCCTCTATGTGAGCATCCCAAGAGAATCCACGTGTGGCGGTGTGACAACTAAGCCTCAGAAGTTACAGAGCATCACTTCAGAAAATTCCATTTGTCCAGGCAGTCACAGGGGTCTGCCTGGCTCCAGGGAGGGGACATGGACCCCCATTTGATAGAAGTCTCAAGGTCACACTGTGGAAAGAGCATGGGGAAAAAGAAAGATGGCAGCTGCCACCTTTGGAAAAAACATACTGCCAAGTCCAGCATAAGGGAACAGAGCGACTTAGAGTCAGAATGAGGAGGCCCAGCAACATGCAGGATATACAGGTAGACCACAGGATAGAGCAGAGCCTGCAGAGAGGCTTGTCAGCATGTGGGGGCACAGCGTGCAGTTGAGGGGCTGTCAGCCATCAGCGGGAATGGAGGGCTGCTCCGTAAATCTCGTGGGGACCAATGAGGAGAAAAGCACAGTGGAGGAGTGCCACGCAATCCTCAGAAATAAGTAGCTCATGGATAAAGATCTGAATATGAACAACAAACTGCTCTAACTCCTAGAAAAATACATAGAAGAGTATCTATGTGCTGCAAGAAGACACCACCTCACACCCATTAGGATGCTACTATATTTTTTAGAAAGGCAGAAGGTAAGTGTTGGGGAGGCTGTGGAGAAATGGAAGCCCTTATGCAGTTTGGTGGGAATGTAAAATGGTGTGATAGAAAAGAGTATGGAGGTTCCTCAAAACACTAAAAATAGACTTGCCATATGATCACGCAATTCTACTTCTGGGTATATACCCAAAAGAATTGAAAGCAGGGTTTTGAAGAGATATTTGTACACTCACGCTCATAGCAGCATTGTTCACAGTAGTTTAAATGTGGGAGCAACCTGATATGGTTTGAATGTCCTGCCCAAATCTCCTGATGAATTGTGATCCCCACTGTGATCCCCAGTGTTGAAGGTGGGACCTGGTGGGAGGGGTTTTGATCATGGGGGCGGACCCCTCATGGTTGGGTGATACCCTTGCAATAGTGAGTGAGTTCTCGTGAGACCTGGATGTTACAAAGTGTGGCATCACCTACCCCTCACTCTCTTTCTTGCTCCCGCTTTCACTATGTGAAATGTTTGCTGCTGGTTCACCTCCACCCGTGAGTAAAAGCTTTCTCAGACCTCCCCAGAAACAGATGCTGGCACTATGCTTCCTCTACAGCCTGCAGAACCAGGAGCCAATTAAACCTTTTTTCTTATAAATTGCCCAGTCTCAGTTATTTCTTTATAGCAATGCAAGCATGGCCTAACACACAATGCAAGTGTCCATTGACTGGTGAATGGATAAACAAAATGTGATCTGTCCATACAATGGAATATTATTAAGCCATGAAAAGGAATAAAATCCTGACACAAGCTGCAACACAGATGAATCCTGAAGACATTATGCTGAGTGAAATTAACCAGACACAAAAAGACAAATACAGTATGATTCTACTTATATGAGGTACTTAGAGTAGTCAAATTCACAGGAACAGAAAGTAGAATGCTGGTTGCTGTGGGTGGGGGCAGAGAGAGAAGGGAGAGTGGAGAGCGATTTAATGGGCATAGAGTTTCAGTTTTGTAAGATGAAGACAGTTCTGGGGATTTTTAATTTACCACAATTAAAAATTATGCATATACATGCATACATATATATATAATAAATTGTGTGTATATATAACAAATTGTACATGTATATACAATTTTTTAAAATAATGTATTCATGGTCTTACATAATCTCAGGATAGGGAAAATTGTCCTATTTAAAACAGGAAAAAAGCACTCATAAAGGAAATATTGCTATATGACCAAATTGACATTTTCTCTGGAACAGAAGATGCTGTCACAAAGCTGGGACATGCACTGTATTTACCCTGTCCCTGCACACCCGTGGTCACCTCTGCATCTCTCTGCCCTGTGAGACAGGTGGCCATGTGGACTCTCCAGCCACAGCTCTCTTCCTTGGGCCCTGTAGGAGGGCTTGGGACTTGACCAGCAGGAGCCCAGGCAGGAGGCTGTAGGACTGAGAAGGGCCAGGTGAGGAATCTTAGTCCCAGGACCCTGCAATAGCATCACGGGGGCTTGCATAAGACCAGCTAGGCAGCTTTCTGCACACAGCTCCATCTCCCTCCAGACCTGGGGATGGCAGGGCTGTGGCTCGGTGCCTGCTTGGGGAACTGCAGCAGCCCCTGTTGGTTTCTCAGCACCTTTGCCGTTAGTCCCTCTCTTAAACTCTCATCAAATACCCAATTTGAGGGTGCCAGTTGTTTCCCTGTTTGTTAGAAAGGGATAAGGCCAACACTGGAAGCATATTCCTGGCAACCGTAACCCATGGGAGGATATGCAGCCAGCCCTCCATATCTGCAGACACTTCTGCATCCTCAGAGTCAGCTAGCTGAGAATCAAAAATATTTTTTAAAATAAATAATAATAATAGGCCGGGTGCGGTGGCTCATGCTTGTAATCCCAACACTTTGGGAGGCCAAGGCAGGTGGATCACCTGAGGTCGGGAGTTCAAAACCACCCTGGCCAATGGAGTGAAACCCTGTCTCTACTAAAAATACAAAAATTAGCCAGGCATGATGGCATGCACCTGTAATCCCAGCTACTCGGGAGGTTGAGGCAGGAGAATGCTTGAGCCAGAGAGGCGGAGGTTACAGTGAGCCAAGATGGCACCAGTGCACTTCAGTCTGGGCGACAGAGTGAGATGTCATCTCCAAATAAATAATAATACAAGTTTGAAAAATACCCTTTAACAACTACACATGTAGCATTTACATTGCATTGTCTATTACAATCTAGAGATGATTTAAAGTACAGGGAGGATGTGCATAGGTTATAAGCAAATACCATGCCACTTTAGATCAAGGACTTGAGCATCTGTGGATATTGGTATCTGTGGGAGGCCGGGAACCAGTCCCCCAGGATACCAGGGATGTCTGCACACAGTGAATATCTACAACACAATAGAAAGATGACAGAGTGAAAACTGCTGATTGCCTAAATTGGAAAAGCGAGTGACCTACAAACACACATGAGGGGAGAGTCGCCATCTGCACTCAGCAAAGATGTCCCATCCTAATCCCCAGAAGCTATTTATGTGTCACCGCGTATGGCAAAAGCGACTTTGCCGATGTGACGAAGTGACTTTGAGATGAGGCAAGCATCCTGGATGACCTGGGTGGGCTCAGTGTCACCACAGAAGTCTCAACAGCAGAGGAAAGAGATGAAAAAACACTGCACTGCTGGCTTTGAAGATGGAGGAAGGAGACGTGAGCCAAGGAGAGAAGGTGTCTCAAGAAGCTGAGAAGGGAGAAGAGAAACATTCTTTCCTAAAGTCTTCAGGAGGGTACAGCCCTGCCAACACCTCGCTTTGCCCAGTGAGACCCGTGTCAGACATCTGGCCTCCAGAACTGTAAAAGAATACAGCATCTATGTTGCTTTAAGCCACCAAGTGGTGCTGATTTGTTTCAGCAGCAACAGGAAACTCACACACCTTCACTAGGACTCATGAAGAAGCAAACAAAAATGAAAATGGCACACATTCCACACCAAACAGGCGACACCGAAGGGTCCAAGACACGGAGAAGCTGGAGTGTGGGACAGGAGGCTCGCTTGGGAGAACAGCTTAGCAGCATTCCAGGACACTGGACGCACCCACAGCCATGACTTGATGAAGCTACTGTGAGCCCTGTAGCCCAGTGTGGGGGCTGGTCTCGGGGATGGCCCCCAGTAGCCACGCATGTGTGGGCCCCTCCCACGTTGGTGCTGGGTGAGCTTGTGACTTGCTTTAACCAGGGGAAGGCACAGCCTGGGTGTCTGGGTCCAGGCCATAGGGAGGCCTGGCGATTTCTGCTTTCATACTTCTGGGGGCCCAGAGCCCTGATGGATGGGCCAGCTACTCTGCTGGAAGGGCCACAGGGACAGGGAGAGAGGCCCAGCCATCCCAGCGTCCCGCTCAGCCTTCCACTCTAGCCGCCATCTGACTGTGAGTGAGACCAGCAGAAAAACAGCCTGCTGAGCCCAGTTAAGCCACAGAAGCAAGAGAAATAATCAACAGGTTGCTTTAAGCCACTGAGTTCTGAGTGGTCTGTTATGCAGCATTAGGAAATCAGAGAATCTGGACTGGGGACCTTCCCCAGGAGCACAAGGAGAATCCCTCCACTGGTGAGGCCCTGGAATGATATGCAAGGGGGGTGGGCCTAGGTGGATTCACCTATGATCTACAAAGCAGTGGACTCCTCACAGCAGCTAGGATGAAGGAGCTGGATCAACACGTCCCACCACGGGTGAGCCTTGGAGGTATCATGTGGCTATCGGATGACTCCATTTATGTGAAATTTCCAGCAGAGATAAATTCACAGAGACAGAAAGCAGATTGGTGGTTGTCTGAAGTGGGACTCCGGGTCGGGGGGCCAGTGTACTGCTTCATTGTATGAAGTCTCCTCTGTGGGTGCCAGAAATCTTTCAGAACTAGATAGAGGTGATGGTCACACCACGTTGTGAATGTGCTGGGTGCCTCTCAGGCATACACTCTAGAATGGTTAATTCTATGTTGTGTGAATTTTACCTCAATAAAAGAAAATTATGTGGAGTGGAAAAAGCCATTTGCAGGAGGATATGTGCAAACTGATGTGTATGAAAAAGTACTCAAATAATCTCAAATGGATTTATGGACGTACACAGTAAAAACATAAAAACATCTACAGGAAAGGTGGTAATCAACCTCAAAAGAGTGTCTCATCCAGGGAGAGAGCGGGGAATGAGTTCTGAAAGAGGTCGGGGCAACGGCGAGGGAGCGGGGTTCCAGCCGAATCAAATGTTTATTTCCTGTTTAAAAACCAAAAGCAAACATTGCTCTGCATTGAATCTGAGTAGTGGGCGTGGACGGGGTTATACTTTTCTGTATGTTTGAAATATATCATAATTTAGCATAAAAAACAGAGCCCAATCCCATTTCCCTGCCCTCCCAAAAAGGAGGCGCCCTGGCGCTGGCACGTTGTCAGGGTTCTCTGAGAGGCCCTTCCGTGGGAAGATCTCAGGCCCTGCTGGCCCAGGGTGGTGCACGGGGCCAAGGTTAGGGCAGGCAGGCTCGGAGGAACTCACCCCAGGAAAAGCTGACACATGGTGCTTTCTCCAGCTGGCCCCCTAAGTGAATCTTCACAGCCACACTCCAAAGAAGGCCTGATTATAACTCCCATTTCACAGATGGGGAAACTGAGGCATGGGCAGTGACATGACCCAAGTGGCAGGAGACAGAGCTGGGATTCCACCCCAGCCAGCTGAGCTCACAAGGACAGGCCTGACTGCGTTTACTACCCTGCCTGGCACCCCAGACAGTGTCCCACCTGAGTCCAAGTGATTGCACACGTCTGCCTGGGCTGCACCTGAAGTCCTAGGGGTTGGCACTTCCTTTTCAGAATATGTGCTGCCCTCACCAACCCACTGCCTGTGAGCCTCACTTCTACAGACTTCCAGCACCCACCCTCAGACGAGCCAAAGGAAGAGGAAATAACAGGTGAACCCCACAACCCCTGGGAGCCCCCAGAAAGGGTCTGAGGGCTCTGAAATTGGCTCAGTGATCACCTTTGACTCCTAGTCCAGACAGCTCTCCGCTATGACACCTGGGGTGCCTTGCACTCAGTGTCACCCACAGACATGTACAAGGGAGGGTTTTCAAGCCACTCCTCTGAACCTGGTGGAGAGCTACCGAGCTGTGAGCCTGGGAAGCCCCTGACACCACTGCACAGGCTCTGAGTAGCAAGTGCAGGGGACAAGCAGCTGCTGTCTCGCCACGCCTCAGTTGTCCTCCCCAGTGAAATGGGGGTGGTCCTGCCTGCCTCACTGGGTGTGTAAGGACTGAATGGGCTGGTACCTGCAAAAAGCTCCCGGGGCAGTACGTGGTAGCCGGCCTTGATATTTCCGGATGTTGCCATTACTGATCAGGAGAGGTCTGGGCTGGGCATTGGTGAAGCGTTTGCTCTCAACTTTACTGCCACCATCAGTGTGCTGAGCTCCTTCCCTCCTAGACTCAGTGCTCACATCGGTGCAAGGGGTGAATAGACAGCCTGGAGGCAGAAGAGCTGCCCAGACCCTGCCCTGAGGCTGAAAGCCCTTCCCTCTTCCTGGGCCAGCTGGGATCCCTGGAGAGCCTGATGTCCCTGGAGCCCCTGTCCCCTCTGCTGTGATCCCCAGCAGAGCCTCATGGGCAATCCCCCCAGCTGGCCCTGCCTGAGCTCCCTGGCTGTCCCCCAGCAAATGCCCACAGAGCCCTGTGAGGTAGGATTCCTTCAACGGGGTGTCCATAGGGCTCACACTGCCAGGAAACTGCAGAGGTGGGATTTAAGCTCAGGGCTACGGACCCCCGAAGCCCAACTCCTTCCCCCTCCTTGGGAAAGAGCACAGTTACCACTGCATTCAGGCTCTGGGGCCAGGTTGCCAAGGCTGAATCTTGTGCTACCACTTATGAACTGTGTGAGTAAGGAAGAGCTTGTTCTGTTGTGCCTGTGTCCGCATTTAAAAAAGGGGGCACAATAGTAGCACTGATATCAAAAAACAAAAGAATGATCTCATTCTTTTTCTGTGGCTGCATAGTATTCCATGGTGTATATGTGCCACATTTTCTTTATCCAGTCTATCATTGACAGGCATTTAGGTTGATTCTATGTCTTTGCTATTGCGAGTAGTGCTGCTATGAACATACGTGTGCATGTGTCTTTATTATAGAACAAATTTATATTCCTTAGGGTATGTACCCAGTAATAGGATTGCTGAATGGAATGGTATTTCTGTTTTTAGGTCTTTGAGGAATCGCCACACTTTCTTCCACAATGGTTAAACTAATTTACACTCCCAGCAACAGTGTGTAAGCGTTCCTTTTTCTCTGCAACCTCGCCAGCCTCTGTTATTTTTTGACTTTTTAATAATGGTCGTTCTGACTGGTGTGAGATGCCGTCTCACTGTGGTTTTGATTTGCGTTTCTCTAATGATCAGTGACCCTGAGCTTTTTTTCATATGATTGTTGGTCACGTGTATTTTTCTTTTGAAAAGTGTCTGTTCATGTCCTTTGCCCACTTTTTAATGGGTTGGGTTGGCTGTTTTTCTTGTAAATCTGTTTAAGTTCCTTATAGATGCTGGATATTAGACCTCTGTTGGATGCATGGTTTGCATAAATTTTCTCCCATTCTGTAGTTGTCTGTTCACTGTGTTGAGAGTTTCCTTTGCTGTGCAGAAGCTCTTTAATTAGATCCCATGTGTCAATTTTTGCTTTTGTTGCAATTGCTTTTGGTGTCTTCATCATGAAATCTTTGCCCATCCCTGTGTCCTGAATGGTATTGCCTAGGCTGTCCACCAGGATTTTTATAGTTTGGGGTTTTACATTTAAGTCGTTAATCCATCTTCAGTTAATTTTTGTATATGGTAGAAAGAAGGTGTCCAGTTTCAATCTTCTGCATATGGCTAGCCACTCATCCCAGAACCATTTATTGAACGGGGAGTCCTCTCCCCATTGCTTTTCACCAGGTTTGTCGAAGATCAGACAGTTGTAGGTGTGCAGCTTTATTTCTGGATTCTCTATTCTAGTCCATTGGTCTACGTGTCTGTGTTTGTACCAGTAATCGTCTTGTATTCTTTCAAATATTGTCCAGGCCACTTGAGAAGGAAAAGCAGCCAGTGGTCAGGAAGAGGGAGCTCAGCACAATTCCTAGAGTTATAAATTGTCTTTGGATGCCTGAGTAAAAAGGGGCTTAGAGAGAAATTTGTCCAAGACCCTCATGTTACAGGGGATGCCTGATGTCTGAATGCTGTTGTGACAGGGCCACCCAGCAGCCAGTGGTTGGAGCCGGGATGTGATACCCACTACAGCCTTCTCCTGCTACATCCCTGCAGCCCCCGGCTGGCGGCAAAGGCGAGCAGCAGCACTCGTAAAAGAAAAATTATAAATAAGTGGGACTTTCTAAAGCACACAGAGGCAGGAAGAAAGCAGAGCAGTCACCCGGGGGCTGTGTCACACAGAGTCTGGCATGCTGCGAGCCTGATACAAGTGGAAAGAGGTTCTCTGCAATGCTGGGCTGGAGCCATCCCTGCAAGGTTCTTTCCCCTTCCTCTTGGAGGGAAAAGGGCTTTTCTTTACCTAATGACTTTCTTTCCATAGCCATAACTTGGGAGAATGTACTTCCTGTCAACAGGCACATCAGCCTGGGGG
The DNA here is from genome assembly GCF_000001405.40 of Homo sapiens. Taxonomy (NCBI): domain Eukaryota; kingdom Metazoa; phylum Chordata; class Mammalia; order Primates; family Hominidae; genus Homo; species Homo sapiens. The sequence continues at coordinate 101,581,844 of NC_000014.9, forward strand.
CTTCTGGGGCTCCTTACACCCTGTGCCACACAGCAAGGACGGAAGCGTCTGATCAAGTGGCCAGCTGCAGAGAGCAGAGTCCTGGGCGAGACAGTGGGCTCCAAGCCGTGCCCTCAAGGGGTCGGCTCTCGGCGGTTTGGTAGCACTAGCTTCATCTGGAATCTCTCAGGGCCAACCTGGTTCTTCCCATGTGCCCTGGGTCCCTGCTCCACACCAAGCCCAAGGCCAGGATGTTGGACAGCACCGAGTCAGGCTGGAGGAGCTGGTCTAAGGGAAAAAGCTCCCTCAGTGCTATACAGAGAGAGGCCTCGGTCAGAGTGGTCTCTGCCTGGGATCCAGGTGGGCCAACACTGGATGGCTTTGGCCCATGAGACAGTGAGGGAAAACATGTCAGAGATGTGGAAGGAATAGGGCAGGCAAGAAATGGGGCTGCAGTTGGCGGGGTGGGGGGGGCGGGGGGCAGGGATTTTGGCAGAACAGAAAATGGGAGTCAGGTGGATCTGCGCTTGTTCAGAGCCCAGACCTGGCACCTGCCTGCTAAGGTGACTGTGAGTATTCATGGGAGAGAATGCAGGCAACGGGCTACACAGAACAAGTGCTCATGGAAGGCCAGCTGCTATCACTGTGGCAGAGGGCCTGCCTTGGCTTCTCAGCAAGATGTCCTGCCAAACCCATTAAAAGGCTTACTCTGGGCCGGGTGCAGTGGCTCATGCCTGTAATCCCAGCACTTTTGGTAGGCCAAGGTGGGAGGATTGCTTGAGCCCAGGAGTTGGAGACCAGCCTGAACAACAAAGTGAGATCCCCATCTCCATAAAAAAATCAAAAAATTAGCTCAGTGTGGTAGTGCACGCCTGTAGTCCCAGCTACTTGGGAGGCTGAGGCAGGAGGATGGCTTGAGCCCAGGAGGTCAGGCTGCAGTGAGCTGTGATCAGGCCACTGCACTCCAGCCTGGGCAACAGAGTGAGACCCTGTCTTAAAAAAAAAAAAAAAAAAAAAAAAAAAAAAAAAGGCCACTCTGACCACAGCAGGGATCTATCTGTGGCAAGTGGCAGGTGTCTCCACTGAGGCCCATGTGCCCAGTCACCACCTGGCCATCTAAGGGAAACTGAGTCAGGGAGCGCCAGAATGCCCAGAGAACCGTAGGAAACAGTGTAAGATTTACAAGGTCTAGGAATTTAGGGGATCCCCAGGACCCAAGGTAAGAGGATCAGTGGGAGGCCCTGGACTGACAGCTCCTGTCAATAGGGGAGGACCTGGGCCCTCCCAAAGTTGGGAGAGCTTGCAGCTGAGGGCTAGGGAACCAGGAGCCGCCACTCCCATCCCAAAACTGGGCTAGTCAGCAGACCCACCCCCATCCTTCAAACAGCCCTCCTCTGAGGCCGGGGTGACTTTCACCTGCCTACCTGTGGCTTCTTGTTTTCAAAAATTCAGAAGCAGCTCCTGGGGCCCACAGCAGACAAAGATGTCTGATTATTTAGATATAAGTGGATCTAAGACGTGGAGTTCAGAGCCTCGAAGAGTTTCCCTTTCATGCAGAGCAGACTCTGCGAGGGCACCACAGCCCCCCATTTCTGAGCACACCGCCCCCCATGCTCAGGTGCTGTCTCAGCATCACACGCAGACACACGCTACATGCCGACGTGCAAGCACAGACGACACACGGGCCAGGTGTGCGCACAATCAGGCACACACACACCTCCTACACACACGTGCACACACCCTCATGCACTCACACAAACCCTCACACCCGCACACACCACACAAACATGCACACACACACCCGGCCCCTTTTACTCAAAGCCACAGACTTCCACGCTCAGGTCCCGCACCTTCCCTCTCCTCTCCTTCCTCCCTAGCTTTCTGGAACAGAGCCTGGGGGCATCTGGATGAGGGTGTTGGGCCCTGAATTAGCAAATTGAATCCTCACATGAGAGGACCAAGAGTATCCAGAGCTCAGGGCGGAGTGGGGGAATGCTCCTTCCTTGACTAAAGGCAAAAATGCTGTGATACCCTTACAAGAACCAGAGCCGGTTCAGACCACTTCTCCCCAAATCAGATAACTTGGCTCAGGAAGCTCCACCCATCATTCCGTATGTCCATCCAAAAACCACAGTCCATGCATCCCGTCCCTCCCTCCTACCCAACCCAAAGTCCAGTGGGCTGCAGCAAACATTTCGATGACCCCCTCACTCCGGGCTGGGCCCTGGGACGGCCGTGGCAGGTCCCCAGTCTCGGTGTCCCCTTAGTTGGAAGCTCGGGGAGCCCTGCAGTGGCTGGACTGGGCCGCGGCTCAGCCATGTCTGCAGATCCGGGCGTCTGTACAGTCCTATGGGGGTCGATAAGGAAATGGGATGCTTTTCACATAAATATGATTTGCACATCCTGGGACTCCATCTGTGCAGCAAAACCCTTTCTCCCCGGAGGCTGGAGGGCGGGGCCGACGGGGCGGGCAGAGGTGGCGCAAACCAGCACCCGCGTTCCCCAGGAGAAACATTTTTATCGCTTCCGGAAATACGATCGAGCTGTCAAAGCTCATGAACTCCGCTAGTAAATTGTGAAACAGACGTCTCAGTTCTGTTCGGAGCCGCAGAAAACATGACAGCTGTAATCAATTAGGGTGGTTCCTGCCTCAAGCGCCGGCTGCCTCGGATTCCAACGGCTTTCCTGGCGGCTGTGAGCGCCTCGGGATGCAGACCCTGGCCCCGCGTCCTGCTCCCTGACTCCTCCGAGCTGGCGCCGTCCACGGGCTGGGGGCGATATGACAGCAGCCTTTCCGCCGTAGCCTGCAGGCCTGGCGCCCTGCGCGGAGGAAGAGGCCTCGCTCCGGGTACCCTCCCGGACGGCGAAAAGTCTCAGGGCACCCTCCGTTTCATTGGCCACAGCTGAGCCACGTGACTCACCAGAGCCAATCACCTGCCAGCAGGGTAGGAGGCTGCTGATTGGCCTGGACTGGTGGCGGGCAATCGCCATTACAGACACTTCCGTGGGCATCTAGTGCAGCTCGTTCCCCAAATCTGTGTCCTAAGCCGGACATTTTTTTGTTTGTTTGTTTGTTTTTTGAGACAGAGTCTCTCTCTGTCGCCCAGGCTGGAGTGCAGTGGCGCGATCTTGGCTCACTGCAAGCTCCTCCTCCCGGGTTCACGCCATTCTCCTGCCTCAGCCTCCCGAGTAGCTGGGACTACAGGCGCCCGCCACTGCGCCCGGCTAATTTTTTGTGTTTTTAGTAAAGACGGGGTTTCACCGTGGTCTCGATCTCCTGACCTCGTGATCCATCCGCCTCGGCCTCCCAAAGTTCTGGGATTACAGGCGTGAGCTACCGCGCCTAAGCCGGACATTTTAATGGAACTGGCTTTCATTTTACGTAGCACTGTCTCCCTCCTTCCCTCCCTTTCTCCCTCCCCTCTTTCCCTCCCTCCCTCCCTCCAACAATGAGCCCCCTTTCCTGTAGGAAATCACCACATTCAGTGTGGAGAAGGGGCCAGTCCCAGCCCCACCACAGGACTGGGCCCCTGACCCAGCCGCGGCTCCTCCGGCTTCCTGGGGATCGGCTAGATGGACCCTTGGGAGATCTCCTCATCTGCTGGGATCATAAACTGTAACAAAAATACAGTCCCAAGACCTTCTTGTCCCGTGCACGCAGGAAGCCAAGACAGAGGCACAGAGCCCCAGAAGATGGAAAAAGACACTGAGTCCCTGTAACACCCTGAGCTCCTAGACTCAACAGTACCTGAAACCAGAGCCACACACTGAGCTCCTCATTTTGGAAGCCTGTTTTTCTTTGTTTGTTTGTTTTTTCCTAAACTAGTCTGAGTTGTGTTTCTGTAATTTGCAATAGTCCATGAGATACATTGTGGCTATGCTTAGTCAATAGACATTTATTGAGTGCCTGTTGTACGGCAAGGTCCATGCTGGACACTGAGACCAATGAGTAAGACCCACTTTCCCCATCCAAGCAATTCCATCTCTTTCCTCTTTCAGTGGCAGACTCTAACTGCTCTGTCGCCGCTCTGCGCCAAGAATTATTCTTGACACTTTTCATACATTTTCTCACTTAATTTATTACAGCAGTGCAGCTGGACTGCCACATAGACCCTTGAACTTGCAGTCCAGTTGGGTAAAGAGGCAGATGTGTCAACCCCCAGTGGGAGAGCCTTGCTCACAACAGAGTAGTCACAACTCTGTAGGGCTGGTCAGTAGGGATGGTCTCAGAGCAGACCAGTGTTGATGGATGGCTGAGAGGTGTCCAGGGGATTATAAGGGCAGGCATTGGCCCCAAGCAGAGAAAGAGCAGACCCGAAACGGGAAACGTTGCAGAACATCTGTGATAATCTTGTAAAATCTGCATGGTCTCAGCTATAGACAGATGGACATATGCCCATGTGCACAGTGTGCCTATGCAGAGAGAAAAGATGGAAAGGAATGCAACAAAGTTTTCACTGGGGTTCTCCCTGGTGGGTGGAATTGCAGGTCCTTTTCATTTCATTTTCTAGGCTCTTCTGTATTTTCCAAGTGTTCTATAATAAGTTTTTAGAATAAGTAAAGCAGCCTGGGATCCACAGCACAGGGCAACACCTTGGGCAGCACCAGAGACCCTCTGGGGGCACCTCTTATTCCAGCCACAACTGCAGTCACAAGTTTCACATGAGCCTCCACTCACCTGCAGTTGGGGACACCTAACAGGGCCTCAGGAGGCCCCTTGTCTCTCCTCCTACCCCTCCCCGGGGTCTTCTCTATGGAAATCCACTTTGCATTACACATGTCAACCCAAAGTATCTTCCCAGCACAGTGTAACAGAGCTGGGGACACTTGCTCCCTCTCACATCAGGGCGGAGGATCCTAAGACATGGCCACAGCCTCCAGGAGAACTTGGTGGGCCAAGCAGCCAGTGCCCACAGTAGGGGCTCCCCTCCCTCCTCTGTTTCACCCCTGACCTCCACTACACCCCCTGGCCACTTCCCAAATAAAGCTGCACTCAAGCTCGGTCTCAGGCTCTGCCTTGGGGGTTCCTGCTCAAGGCACAGACCCCCGCCACCCCGTCACATGCCAGTGTCGTCCTAGCGTCTCTGCACAGTTGTGTCCAGGAGTCCCTGAAGGCAGCTCCGTAGAGAAGGAACCTCCCTGTCGTCCTGGGTAACAGGAAGTTATCTTGTGTCCAGAAAAGGTCATCAGGGAATTGTTCTGCCCCTGCCTATGCCAAGGCAGAAGGTGGGGGGATGGAGAGGGGCAGGTGAGCAAGGCCTGGACTCAACCCTGGAGCAGTTCTCCAGCTGAGGAGGGGTCAGAAGTGTTCCTGTCCACAACAGAGGTGCAGCTGATGTGACGCAGCCCCTGGGTGCATGGGTGAACTCTGCCCAAGGGGAGGTGTCCGAGTTGACCCATAAAAGCGAGTGAGCAGGACAGCATCCCAGAGAGGAGCGACATTCAGGGCAAAGGCCTAGGCGTGGGAGGAGGGCTGCCCAGGGCCTGCCTCTGCCCCGTTCTAAGAACAGCAGGCCTGGTACCTTTGGGCTGGGGACACAAGGTGGCTGCCTGGAGACCTGGGTTTAAACCTCACGATGAAGACTTTGTACGGTTCCTGCAAGCAACAGGAGCTCAAAAAGAGGGCTGGAGGAGCTCGAGGCAGGGGGATCCCTGGAGTTCAAAAGAATCCATAGGGATTATCCAGATTTGGGGGCCAGGCACTGGGCTCGGTAATGCGGCTGCTTAAGTAACGGGGATTTGCCGTTTTCCAAGAACACTAATACGATAAATGCTCTCGCAGCTAAAACCGTTCTCTGCGCTGTCTAATCGTGCTTTGACGACGCCAAAGGCCTTGGAGGCTCGCGCAGCATTTCAGGACTGCTGTAAATACCCATTGTTCCCGTACAGTGAGCGGCGGAGGAAAACATGCGTGTGTTGTCGGGGCTTTGTTGGCGGTGCTGGTTGCTTAGACTCGGATGAATGCTCCACCGCTCCGAGGGGGCGCGGGCAGGATTTAGAGGCGGCAGGGCTGGCTGGGGTTTCTTTCAAGCGCTTGCCAGCTATGGAGCCGTGGGCAAGCCCTGTCATTCCTGAGACTGACGCTGGGCTGGAGTTCTGACTGGCACCCCCACTCCCTTATTGATGTGTGACCTGGGATCACCCCACTACCCCAGGCCTCAGCTGCTGCTTCTGTAGAATGGGAACAGTAGTCCCAACAAAAGCCCCTGTCTCTAGAGAAGGGGACGTGAAAGAAAATAGCTATCCTTGTAAAAAGCCCGGGGGGTGCATTCTCCCAGCTGTGGTTATCAGTGTCTTTTGCAGGACACCACTGGAGTTCTCTGGGACACCTTAGCTGCTTCCACCACCTAGGACCTGGACCAAAATCCCTTCCTGGGCCTAAGGCAGTGTCGTAGACTGCACACTTGCCTGCCTGTCTGCCTTTCTTCCTTCCATTCTTTCTTTCCTTTTTGTTTTTTCACCTCAGTTACAGAAGGTGGCGTTAACCTGGTGCCTCAGCCTACAGCTCATGGGCATTACTGGTGCATGCACAGCCCCCTGCTCACTGCCTGGAGCCCCTTCCCCCTCCCTCCCCACAAGGGGTGGCCCTGCCCACGTGTCTGGTGTGCTCTGTTTTCATGGCATGTGCTCCACAGACTGGTTCTTGGTGTTTTGTCTGTATGCGGTTCCAATGTGCAGAAGCAGCGCTGTGTGGCAGCTCAGTGCTTTTCCTTGCACGTCTCCACTCGGCTGGCTGTTTCTCACATCCCTCGGTGCTGCAGTGTCTGTTTGGTCCTGGCTGCTGCTCAGTTTCCACGAGGCACATCCACCACCTCTCACCCCCCCCACTCCCACCCCCAGCAGCACCTCTGAGAGGGGCATCCTGGTACGTGCCCCTCACCATTAGAATACTTCCAGGAAAGGATTCCTGCACACAGGGTAGGCACGGGGGTCACTCACCTCGCGTCTCTACAGAATATCTGCGCCAGTCTGCAAGTACGAGAGGAGGCTCCGACCAGTCCTAGATCCCACGTCCCCACCAGCGCTGGCCTTCCTCTTTCAAAAGTGACATTTGCAATTATGAAAGAAGTAATCATTATTCTAGCTCACATTTAAAAGGGCTTACTATGTGCCAGGCACTCACATCAGCAGCACAACAGCCCCAAAAGGGAGGTGCTTTCCTCACCCCCATTTACAGCTGGGGAAATTAAGTTTTGGAAAGGTTAAGGGCCTTGTCCAGTGCTTCCAACCCATTTCTCTCTGCATTCCCGTGTTCCCAAGTCAGAGAAAATGACTGGGAGGAGAAGAGACCTTGCCCAAGGCCACAGGGGGGACTGGCCCCATAGCTGGGACAACATCCGCTGGCTGCCTGCCTGCCCCGACCATTTTCCTGTTTCTCAGAGCACATTGTCCAGGCCTGGTGGTGGGTGGGGGGAGGGATTAGAGCAGTGACGCACTGTACAGGACTTCAGCCTTGGTGGCAGGCTCCCATCTGCCCCCATCCGCACCCAGGGAGTGTGTGCCCCACACTCCATGCCCCTCCAGCTTAAAGATAATGGAGAAGCCACCTAGTTCCCATGCAAACCGCTTTCCCCTTGGAAAGAGTTGCATCCTTTTCTCTCTTTCAAGGGGAAAGCTTACAGCTCTGACACCAGCTGTGTGCCAGGAATGATTCCTGATACTTGTGCATTTTTTCACTTATTTGTAACAGCACAACAATGAAACCGACATTATTAGCTCCATTTCACAGACAAGGCTGCAGAGACTCAAAGGGGTGTCTGGGCTTACCCAAGGTCGTACAGCTGGCCTGTGGGATGTCATCAGGAAGAGCTGGGAGTGGGTGCCACAGAGTCCCCTAGAACCAAGCTGGCTTGTCTTCCCTTCAGGACCTAAACCGTGGTTGGAGGAGGCACTAAGGCTGGAGAGGCAGCACTTTACACCAGAGACCACCCAGCAATCAGGGGATCAGCTGGGAGGTGATGACTGGCCCCCTGGGAAATAGGGGAGGCCACAGGTGGGCTCCATCAGGGGCTGCCTCAGGGGACACAGAGGCCAGACTTCCAGAAGGCTGCCAGGCCTGCTTTCAAATCCCTGCCCCTCAGAAAACCCAGTACATCAGCCCAAGTGCACCAACACCCCAGCCTCTAGACCTGGGCCCCTAGATGCTTCCACCTGCCAAGGGAGAACCAGACACCTCCATGCACTTGTCCTGACTTGAGACTCCAAGAACAAAGCCAACTTGGGTTTGAGGTCTGTCAAAGGTGGCCTAAAGCTGTGGCTTAAGGTGTCTCCTGAGCCAGGACACTGGGGCACAGATACGTAATGGGGTCATGGCAGTGCTGTCTGCAAAAAGAGGACCTCAAACGCTCAGGCGTGGCTGTACAGGGTCCGGCCCTGACTTGGCTTCTCTGAGCTGTGATCTTGAGGCAGGCATTCAGAGGTCTGGGTCTCACCGTCCTCGCCTGTCTCATGGGGACACTCAGCCCTGCCCCAGGGTGCTTGTAAATGTGAAGTAACATCATGTGCATCATGGCAGCCAGCCCGGAGGGGGTCAGATTTGGGGGGATTTACTGAATGGCTTCTCTCTACCAGCCCCAGCACGTATCCCTGGGAACAAGGAGCATCAAGACTACATAATCCCCGTGTTCCTGGAATTCAGCCCAATCAGGAGGACAAATGGAAACCACACACCTCCACAGGCCCCGCCTGTCCAGGTCTGGGGACACAGTGAGGACATCGTCGAGGGCTTTGTCACGCCTGTGCTGCAGCTTGACCCTTTCTTCTGTTCAAACTCGCTCCTTCCCCCTTCTTTTCACAGGGGTTGACCCTAATAAACATCTTTCACCCCAAATCCACCTCAGCATCCACTTCCAGACAAACCAACCTGAAACAGTTGGCACCAGGAATGGCCCAGGAAAGTAGATGAAGAGGTGGCACCAAAGCTCCATCGCTGGTGGGAGATGTGGCACCGGCGCAGCGTGAGGGCTCCATTCGCTGTGTGAAGAACTGGGAGTGGCTGCCGGCAGGAGGGACGCTCTGACAAGAGTCCTGGACGGGGCACTGAAGATGCCTGGAGGCACAGGCGGTGTGTGGACGGCAGGACTGAGGCTGCTGCCGGGCACCACGATGCCCTCCAGACAGCGAGGAACTGCTGAGGGTGAGGAACAGGCAATGGGAAGCCGGTGTGAACCCAGAGGGCCTCTTTGAAGCCCTCACCTCCTGCCAGGGCAGAATAGAGGAGGTGAGGACCCAGGAGTCCGAATGGCTGAAGTTTGAAGAAGGCTACAGGCCCTGCCCAGGTAGGTCTGTTTTGCCAGACCTGGGAACAGGGACCCTGACATATGGGCCAGAGGCAGATGCTCCTGAAGACTCTGGCTTCCCAGGGCCCGGGACCTTCAGAGACTGCAGAGGCACCTCCTCTCAAGTGCCAGCCAGCACTCCCCTGTGCCAGAAGACAGTGCAGAGGGCAGCCCACCCTCCCCCACCACTAAGCCGATGGGCACGTGCTGAGCCTGCTAAGGCAGGAAGCAGACTATGCTCAAAGGAGCCACAGGACCCAGCCAGCATGTTCTGACCAGGGCCGAGGGCGCACAGCCAGGACTCCAGTGTGATCAGAGATGTGGAAAGTAAAACTAGCCAAGAGGAATCTGCTAATCTGTCCCTCTCTTCCAACACACACAACCCAGGGGATGGTGCAGACTCAAGTGTGGGTGGCTGCTGGGAGCCTTGGACATGATCAAAGCTGAAATGCCAGGATTGCCAGGCACACAGGAAGGAAACAACTCAAAGGCTCAGGGAAGTGGACACATTGGAATGGACACACCATGTCAGGCCAGAAGGCCACCAGGTGACCATTTTCCAGGAAAGTGCCTGGAAGACACATCATCTACAGAGACCTGAGGAGCACCTGCGTTGATCGCTATAACATTGATGGTGAATTGTCTGGAGGCCAGGGCTGATGTCAGGCGAGGCTCTTAAAAAACAAAGCTCACAGACAGCAATGGAATGGGGAGATCCATGTGCTAAAGGCTGGGGGCCCGATTCCCCAGGAGCTGGGACTTTGCCAGCATCACGATGACCAGCCAGAGTGTAGGGCAGCCACAGGAGCCCAACTTGCAGAGAGTCATGACCTCAGGGCCAGAGCAGAGAGAGGGACAAGGACATTTCTTAGGTTGTGCCAACAAAGGAAATCAAGTATGGATCAACCAAAGGCTGGGGGAGGTCACAGCAAGAAAAAAGTCACAATCTTTTGCCCAATTTCCTTACCTCAATCAAGTTTTAGATCCATAACTCACTGGCTGAAGAGGTAAGTGGGTTGCAAGAAGGGAAGACCCTACCATATCATAGCAACTATATATGGTAACATTTTTTTTTTTTTTTTTTTTGAGACAGAGTCTCGCTCTGTCGCCCAGGCTGGAGTGCAGTGGCGCAATCTTGGCTCACTGCAAGCTCCGCCTCCCGGGTTCGAGCCATTCTCCTGCCTCAGCCTCCGGAGTAGCTGGGACTACAGGCACCCGCCACCGCGCCCGGCTAATTTTTTGTATCTTTTAGTAGAGACAGGGTTTCACCGTGTTAGCCAGGACAGTCTCGATCCTCTGACCTCATGATCCGCCCGCCTCGGCCTCCCAAAGTGCTGGGATTACAGGCGTGAGCCACCGCGCCCGGCCTATATGGTAACATTTTGCCCAGCTTTTGCCCCAAAGGGGCTTATGGTCATTTAGTCAGCTAATAATGCAATGGCTAATAGTGCCAATAACCAAACATTCTGAGGTCTGTTGGAGACCAAACCTGAACTGACTTTGACACTAGAGACATGAGGCATCCATCCCCCTGGCCCTCATGGAGTGGGGGCTGATAGACATCAGGTCAGTGGTGGAGCCCTTTCCAAGAGCCACCTTACTATCAAGCCACTGAATCACTGGGTATTGATTTCTTTGACCCCCAAATGGATAGTTGGAACCAGCACACTTAACAATCGGTGCGATTCCCACCTTGGATCCTTGGTCTGTAGGGTGAGAGCTATTGAAATGGGGAAGGCCAAGTGGAAGCCTTTGAAACTAACTCCTCCTTGACCAGTATAATAAATCAGAAACAATAGCACATCCCAGGAAAGGGGGATGACAGAAATTAGCACCACCTTTAAGGAGATAAAGGGTGCAGGGGTGCTGGTTCCCATCATGTCTCTTTTTAACTCACCAAATTTAGCCTTTGCAAAACCTACAAGATCCTGGAGGGTGGTGTAAACTACCTCAGCTTCACTAAGGAGGAGCCTGGATCATATCACTGCACCGGAGGTGGTACCTTTGCTAGAGCAGATTACCGTGGCCTCAGAGATGTGGTATGCAGCCACTGGTTTGACAAATGCATTGTTTTCTATCCCAATCAAAAAGGAGGATCAGAAATAGTTCACATTCGCATGGAATGGAGAACAATATACATTTACAGTTAGCCCCAGGGCTGTGCCAGGTCTCCTGCCTTCTGTTATCATAAACGCAGGAGAGTCTGGATCATCTTGATGTCCCACAGAAAAGCATAGTGATCTGTTTCATCAATGACATCATGTTGATTGCAACAGATAAGCAAGAAGGAGCCAGACCACTAAAGGCCTTGGTAAGATCCATACGTTTCAGAAGGTGGGAGGTGAATTCCCTGAAGTCTCAGGGGTCTGCCATGTCTTTATCTTTTTTAGGGGTGTTGTGGTCAGGACATTCTTCCAAAGTGAAAGTCAAATTGTTGCAGCTTGCATCTCTTTACAAAGAAGGAAGGACAGTGCTGATGAGTTCAGGCTCTAGGGGGAGCATACCTCATACACCTAGTAATACTGCACCAGCCCATATCCTGGGTTAAGCACAGGCCACTAGCTTTGAGTGGGGCCCAGATTGGGAAAGGGCTCTGCAGCAGGTTCAAGCTGCCGTGCAAGCAGTCCTGTGGCTCAGGCCATAGGATGTGGCAGACTCTACTGGGGTGGAGGAATCTGCAGCAGGAAAAGATGTCATCAGAGTTTATGGTGAACTAAAGCAGGAGAATCACTACATCGGCCCCCGGGCTTCGGGGGCAAGGCCGTGCCATTTGCACTGGGAATTACACTTTTTGAGAACAATTCCCGGAGTGCCACTGGAGTGCCATTCTGTCTCTGCCTAATAGAGACAGAATGCCTGAGCAGATCATGCCAAGTGGCCATGCAGCTTCAACTGCCCACCATGAGTTCTGTAAGACCCAATGAGTCATAAGGCTGGGCAGGCCAGGCAGCAATCTGTCATGTGGAAGTGCTACATCCAGGATTTAGCAGAAGCAAGACCAGAGGGCACAAGCCTCACAGCAGGTCACCTGTGTCTCAGGGCTCCCAGCCCTCTCTCTCTGCCCAGGCCAGTGGCTGTGTGAAGCAGGAAATGCTTGAAGGTGGTTTACAAATGGGTCCATTCTGTTTGTGGACTCAAGCCAAAACAGATGACAGCTGCACTACACCCTTGTTTAAGATGGCCTCGAAAGACTGTAGTGAGGGAGAGTTCTCCCAGTGGGCAGAGCCTCAGGTGGCCATCCATTCTGTGTGGAAAGAGAAGCAGCCAGAAGTTAGAGAATCTATGGGCTCATAGGCAGCAACAAGAAGCCTGGCCAGTTGATTAGGATATTGGAAAGAAAAAAAATGGAAGATTAAGGACAAGAAATTCTGAGGTAGAGATGGGATGTACCTATGGGAGTAGATCAGGTAACACATGTTAATCCCACCAGAAAACCCCACCCGAAGAGAGGCCCTCAACAGCCAAGTCCTCTTGACAAGATGACCAGCCATTTGACAGCAGCCAACCTCTGTCCCTCATCCCCCTGCTGGTATCATGGTATCATGGTCAATGAAGTCATCACGGAGACCAAAATTGCAGGAGACACATGGGCCCAACCGCATGGACTCTCACTTATCAAACCTGACCTAGCTACTGCCAACCCGTAGAATATCCAACTTGGCTGCAGTAGAGACCATTGCCGACCCCCATGCGGCACCATTCTTGGAGGAAGCCAACCAGCCAGGTAGAGGCACCTTGACCACCTGGGCGCTTCCACTTTAGAAGGGTGCAGTGATCTGAATGCATGTCCCCCAACAACATTCATATGTTGAAATTCTAACCTCAAAGGGGATGATATAAGGAGGCAGGGACTTTGGGAGGTGATGAGGTCACAAGGGTGGAGCCCTCATGAATGGGATTAATGCCCTTGTTAAAGAGGCCCGAGAGAGGTCTCTGACCCCTTCTTCTACATGAGGTGACAGCGAGAAGATGGCTATCAATGAGGAACTGGCCCTCATCAGACACCAAATCTGCCAGCACCTTGATCTTGGACTTCCCAGCCTCCAGAACTGTGAGAAAGAAGTGTCTTTTGTTTATAAGCCACCCAATCTGTAGTAGTTTGTTATAGCAGCCCAAATGGACTAAGACACAGGGGTCAATGGTTTGTTTTCATCAGAAGAGACACCTACTTGGGTGTAGACTGGCCTTTCCTACCCTCAGCACCACCAACCAAAGCGAGAGCTTTTGTAGTGTTTGAGCCACCAGCATCAGACCCCACATAACATCGCTTCAGACCAGGGGACCACTTTGGAGCTAAAGAATTGTAGGAGAGAACCCAGGACCATGGGGCCCACTGGCCCTACCACAGAACACCCCATTCAGAAGCTGCAGGCCTGACCATGTTGACACTGCCAGCCAAAGGCTCCACTGAACACCAGAGGTTGACTGGCAATGCCAGCATGGTCAGGTTGCAGCTTCTGAATGGGGTGTTCCAGGGCAGGACTCTGTCGCATGGGGGTCGTCCTCCAGGATGAGCACATGCATTGTGTCTGCCTCTGACAGTGTATGCCTGACAGGCAGAACAAGCACGTGGGCCCAGGAGCCAAGGGACAGAAGCAGGAGGAATCCCCTTATCATCACTCATTGGCCCACTGGGAACTTACTGCTTCCATTTCCACACCTCTGCGTTCTGCAGAGTCAGGGATCCTCATTCCCCAAAATGACATCTTTCCACCAGGGGACACAGAAAGAGTCCCATTGAATTACAAGCTATGGCTGCAACCTGAGCAGTTGGACATCTCATGTCCACAGATCAGCAGGCAAGCAGCATGACCTGCCTTGGCAGGGGTCAGTGATGGATCAACAGGAAAAGGCAGGCTCCACAGTGGAGTCAGATAAAGCACATAGGTCTTGGCACTTCCTTGCCCAGTGGTGACTCTGAGTGGGTAAGGGTGACAGCCCTTGGCCCACCAAAGGTGTGCTGGCCAGGGCCTCAGGACCCTTGGGGAAGAGGGTCTGAGTCACGCCCCTGGCTAAGCCATGAAAGCCAGCAGTGCTGACACACAGCAAGAGGAGAATGGCAAGGGGAGATGATGACCTCCCTGAGGCCACCTGCAGTGCGGGGCTTTCCTGTGTCCAGGGAACTGCCCTCCTGCAAGATTCCCCCAGGAAGAGAGGTCAGCTGGGGCCCTGGAGGGGCTGGTCCCCAAGTAGACATGGGAAGTGGGTCTGAGTGGTGGAGGGAAGCAGACAGGAAGTGGGTCTGAGCGGTGGAGGGAAGCAGACAGGAAGTGGGTCTGAGCGGTGGAGGGAAGCAGACAGGAAGTGGGTCTGAGTGGCAGATGGGAAGCAGACAGGAAGTGGGTCTGAGTGGCAGATGGAAGCAGACAGGAAGTGGGTCTGAGCAGCAGACGGGAGCAGATGTCAAGATGTGAGAGGCCACATGCCCCTTCCAGGAAGGCCTTGTTGTCCAGCTGAGAGAGTGTGGTCATCAGAACGCCTGCAGCTGAAGCTCCTCCAGGCCCTGCCTCACTGCAGGGAGCTGCCTCTCCTGATGTCGGCTCTTCCTGGCAGTGAGTGAGCCAGTGCTCACTGTAAAGTCCTGGCCAGTCGGGCCCAGTAAGGGACACTCAGATGGGCAATACCCATTCTAGAGCAACCCCCAGTTCCACAGAGGGAACTGAGGGTTCCCTCAGGCCTGTGCTGCAGCTCAGCTTCTCCCCATGACCCATCCTGCTTCCTCCTCTTCCTTTCGCAGCTGCTGAGCCCTAGTCAACATCTCACGATGCAGGCTCTCACCGACTCATTGCCAGCTTTGGACAACCCGAGACACCAGCACTTTATCTAGTGATTTTAGGCAGGGGGAGGTGACACAATCAGGTCTGTGGTTTAGAAAACCCAGTCTGGCCCCCCGAGGAGGGTGCACAGGGAGGCAGCAAGAGGGCCTGCAGGAAGCCCAGGGGGTCACAGGAAGACACGGTGGGCTGGCCAGGCCGGAGGCAGGAGGGCAGAGAGGGGACACACTTGAGAGAGATGAGGGGTTTTTTTTCAACCTATTTCCATAGGTTTGGGGGGAACAGGTGTATTTGGTTACATGAGTAGGTTCTTTAGAGGTGATCTGTGAGATTTTCGTGCACCCATCACCCGAGCAGTATACACTGAACCAAATTTGTACTTTTATCCCTCACTCCCTTCCCACCCTCTCCCCCAGAGTCCCCAAAGTTCATTGTATCATTCTTTTTTTTTTTTTTTTTCCTTGAGATGGAGCCTCACTCTGTTGCTGGGCTGGAGTGCAATGGTGCAACCTCAACTCACTGCAACCTCCACCTCCTGGGTTCAACTGATTCTCGTGCTTCAGCCTCCCAAGTAGCTGGGATTACAAGCATGCACCACCACGCCCAGCTAACTTTTGTATCTTTAGTAGAGACGGGGTTTCACCATGTTGGCCAGGATGGTCTCAATCTCCTGACCTCGTGATCCGCCCGCCTCTGCCTCCCAAAGTGCTGGGATTACAGGCGTGAGCCACCGCGCCCGGCCTGTTGTATCATTCTTATGCCTTTGCATCCACATAGCTTAGCTCCCACATATGAGTGAGAACACAAGATGTTTGGTTTTCCATTCCTGAGTTAGTTCACTTAGAATAATCGTCTCCAATCCCATCCAGGTTGCTGCAAATGCCATTAATTCATTCCTTTTTATGGCTGACTGGTATTCCATTGTGTATATATACCACAGTTTCTTTATTCACTCATTGATTGATGGGCATTTGAGTTGGTTTCATATCTTTGCAATTGTGAACTGTGAGCTATAAACATGCGTGTGCAAGTTCTTTTACGAAAAAGACTTCTCTTCCTCTGGGTAGATACCCTGTGGTGGGATTGCTGGATCAAATGGAAGATCTACTTTTAGTTCTTTAAGGAATCTCCACGCTGTTTTCCATAGTGGTTGTACTAGTTTACATTCCCACCAACCATGTTCCCTTTAAGATAGATGAGGGTTTGAGTCAGGGGTCTAAGGGGATAGAGTGGGTGTGGAAGGAGAGAGAGATGGTAAGTCAGGTTTCTAACCTGGCTGGTGGGGTTCCATTGACAGAGGGGAGGGAACAGAGGGCAGGGCAAGCCAGGGCAGGTGATGAGCTCAGCCTGGTCGGACAACCTTGGAGGTTTTCAGGGGTCACCCAGGCAGAGATGGTCCGTGGGTCACTGGATCTGCAAGGCCAGGGCTCCTGTGTTTCGGCCGGGGAGGGGGCTTAGAGAGAAGGGAGACGGGTATAAGAGCCATGCTGTGGCCAGGCTCTCCCAGGCTCCAGTGTCAGAGAAGAAAGGAAGTGGGCACAGGACCAGGCCCTGGGGGAATCAGTGTTTGATGTCCAAGTCTGGGAAGAATCCCCTTCCTGCCAGACCCTGACTGGTGGACATAAGATACAGGGCACACTCAGATTCCCTTCACACCGCATGGGCCACTCAGTGGACAGTTGAGGAACTCCTGCCATGCTTCAGACTCCCTCAACCTTGATGTTTTCATAGAGAAGCTCCTCGAGGAGGCAGACGGCCTGTGTCATGGCGCATCCCTGCATCACGGTGTCCTCAGTGTGTTCTTGGAGGGCTCTGCTAGTATATTATTTCTGAGGGTGTGTTCAACATTCTGCATTGTTTGGATCCAGGAAGGACAAGACACCAGCGCTGTCAGTGAGGAAGAAGCTGGAGAGAGGTGTTCAGAGGCAGGTCTGCTCCCCATCCAGTGCTCTCCCACCCAAGACCCTCTCAACCTGCAGGTGTCCTTGATCCACCTCCAGCCCCAGGCCCCTGCCCAGCCTTCCTCCAGGGGTCTGGCTTTTCAGCAGAAGAACTGAAAGCAGTTCATGGTGGCCTGTTCAGTGAACTGAAAGTCAGAGGCAAGAGCTCAGACAGGTGGAGTCACAGATGCCACGTCCCCCACCCTTAAGGACAGGAAGCCAGAACACGGCCCTCTTTGCTCCTCCATGAAACCACAGGTTTGAGGTTTTCCATGTTCATGGATACCTTGAGATCTTTCAGAAGCAGGGGAGAGGAAACATCCACCAACACCCACCTGCCCCCTCTCCAGCGCCATCAAACAAGTCGCCAATGATAGGGAAAATTCACAAACACCAGGACATCCACCTGCCCCCTCTCCAGCGCCATCAAACAAGTCGCCGATGATAGGGAAAATTCACAAACACCAGGACATCCTGAGCCTTTCGAGAAAGTTGGGTTGCCCCCATTTCTGGGGTCCCCCCAGCCGAGAAAGAGCAAGTCTGAGGACACCCTACGGGAGGCCCTCAGCCTTGGGTAGAAACTGACCTGAAAGCATCTGCTGGGAGGCTGGGGAAGAAGGTCATCTGGAGGCCTGGATGGGGGTGCTCCATTCATCAGCACACCCAGTGAGGGAGGGGTCTGGGTGGGAGTAGGGAAGCAGTGGAGGAAATGTTTCTTCATTCCCACCACTGTGTGCAGGGCCCAGGCAGGCCCTCGCAGAGCTTACTCTCTAGAGCGTAGAGGAATTCAAGACTCACTGAGCTGCCAAGGGAAGTCAAGACTCACTCAGCTACCAAGAGCAGGAGGATTTCTGAGCCGAATCCCTGGTCCCATTCCTCAGCCCTGCACAGATGCCCACAGTGGGGATGGCTCCAGCTGGGAATGCACATCCTGGGTGCAGCTTTGCCAAATCCAGACTCACTTCTGCCAACATCGGTGCAGCACCCACCTACCAGCCTCTTCTGCACAGGGCCCTCCCTTCCTTCAATCCTCAGAAAAACCTGAGACGAGGACGAAATTTTTCGCATCTTGTCAATAAGCAGATGAGGCTCTCCTACTGTGTTCCCAAGCACTGAGGGCAGAAATAGAGTAAGAAGAATAAAGATGTAGATAAAGGAATAAGGGTGGAAAAGCGGTAAAAATACAATTCCTGAAACTGGGCTCCCATTTTGGCACTGAGCTCCCTAGCAGCCAAAGCAAAAAATGGATACGTGGTCTGTTATAAGATTCGCAACGTCCATGGGATGCAGCCATGCTTAGGGGAAGCAAGTGGCTGTCACTTGCCTGTGACCCCCCAGCCAGAGAGTGCAGAGAGTAGAGAGGAGCTCCAGGTCCCTGGAGCTCCAGACACTTGTCTGCTGCTTTGTTAAGCCCCTACACAGTGTCAGGCTCTTAGCCAGCACAAGCAAGTCAAGTAAAACCCTCCTTCCCCTGAATGTCCCCAGGCTACCTTCCTGGCACCTGGAGAACAGCATCCCAGCTGTTGGCTGCAGACCAGGTGTGTGAACATTTCTAGGTTGGGACAGAAAAAGAGAAAAGCTGTGCATGAGATTCCAAGCTGGGAAATGAAGATCGCCCTGTCAGCTCCTTGGCAGTCACCTGACTGTGGGGCAGGCAGGGCATCCAGGAGGCTTAGCCCAAACCTCTGTTGGCCCTGCTTTGGGGACTCTGCCCCAGGAAATGACCCACTAAAAGGAGAAAGATTATTAGCCCCAGATGGGGACAGCAGCGTCACTCACCACAGTGTAGTGGGGAAATTATCACAGCCCAGACAAACTGGAGGGGGCGTCCAAGTAAGCCCTGGCTTCCCACCTAGAGACCTGTGGCTCTCTGACGTGGCTCACATGTGGCCTGTGTGATGCAAGAAGATGTGTGTGCAGAGAGGTCCCCACTGCCACCGAGCAAAGGCAGCCACCTCCCCATCATGGTGAAGGCCCTGCCCACCCCCGTGGTGGCATCTGTGTGCACTCCCCCACTCTTCACTTCAAGGAAGCAGTGCAGCTTCGAAGGGGCTTTTCAGGACCCCTGTGATGCCTCCTTTCCTGCACAGCTGGCTGCCTCTGCCACCTTCCTCTATCCAAGGTCAGCATGGGCCTGGCTCCCAGAGGCTTGCAGCCCAAGCCCTCCCGTCTCGGGGCCTCTGTGCCATGTCCCTCCACCCCTGGTTCCCAGGCCTCTCACATGTGAACAGGAGTGCCCAGAGCAGAGCATCTGGCCGGGAGGACTCAGAGGGTGTGCAGGCCCATTACTGGAGTGGGACGCCATGGGGTGGCTGCAAGTTTGAGCAAAGCCTGAAGCCCAGCAAGTGGGGTACTCTGGGGTTAGAGGCTCCCAGGAGAGCTTAGAGCTGAGTGGAAAAGCTGCCGGGCCCTCTGTCCTCACGCACTGTCCTCCCAGGCTGCCCCCGCAAGTCCCGGCCCGCATGGTGCCCTGCCTAGAGCATGTCTTCCTTCAGGAGGCTGGGGATGCTCAGAGCTGCCAGGTGAGGCAGAGGAGATGGGAAGGGACCTCTGCAGGCACCTGCCTGGGCTCCCTCCAGAGGGTTTGATCTGCACCGCGATGCTGTGTAGGGGATCCTAGCCCTGTGACAGGCAGAGAAACAGGCTCAGAGAGCTGATGCAATGTGTCCAGGTCTGTGCAGGAGCAAGGGCAGAGGCTCCGGAGCCTAGGGGCAGCCTGGTACTTTCCACATTGCTGGTCCTGGGGTCAGACCACTGCTGAGTGAACCAAGGAGAGCCAGTGAGAGAGGCCCCCCTCGCCAGGCTGTCCAGGCTCCTGGTTCAGCCCTGTTGGGCACTTCCTAGCTGTGCACTCCTGACCAGTCCCCTCACCTCTCTGAGCCTTCTGGCCCATAAAATGAGGCCAAATGCCCCCTCCCCCGCTGTTGGAAAGTGAGTGGTCCCTCAGGGCAGGGGGCTTCACTCCTGAATTAGATGGCATAGAAAGTGAATGGACTCAGCAGGCAGGTGGTCTGGGTTCGAGTCCCAGCTCCGGCCCCTGGCAGCCCAGCAGTCTGGGAATGGGGATACAGTCTGCTAGGCCTCGGCAGGGCTGGCGCAGGAGCCTGTCCCACAGGCCCGCCCCATGTTTGGTGCTGGACCCGGGACTCCCCATCCGCGAGGAGCCTGGCACGGGACTGGCGCTTGTCAGCCCCTCATGTGGGTGTGCCTGCATCTGCGTCCCCACGTCGCACAGGATAGGGCTTATGCATGGCCTAGCTTGTCGTGTGAGGTTGACTGGCATGTCACAGGCACTGTCACAGATTCTCAGAGCCCAGGAGCACATCCCCTGAAGGACTCCTCAGCCGGGGCTGGGCTGGAAGCAGGGCCTGGAGAAGGTCAGAGAGGCCCCGCCCTCCTGGCACTCCCAGGGCAGGGGACGCAGCACAGAGCGGGTGCCGGTCAGCCAGGGAGGCCGGGACGGGACGCAGCACGAGGAGAACACTGCGCAAGGCAGGCCCGCAGTCAGTCAGGACAGCTGCCCAGAGTAGGTGGCGTTTGGGCCAGGCTTCGCAAGCTGTGTGGGGGTTCGCCCAGCAGAAGACGGGAGAGGGCGTTCCAGGCAGAAGGCTCAGCATGGCCCAAAGCACAGAGGCACGGCAATGTCCGGCGCATCTGCGCACCAGCAAGAGTCTGGGGTGGCTCATGGGACAGGCTCGAGGAGAGGGCACTGTAGGAGGCCCCTGGGGAGGGGCCCCATGGAGGGCCTCCAAGCTCCGAGGTGGGGCCGCCAGAAGGCCCGACTCTTCCTCCGAGGCCCACCTCTGCCGAGAAGCCCTCCATCTAGGGGCTCCTGCCTCTAGTCTCCATAGAAGAAGCAGAAGATCAACCCAAGAGTGAGGGAGGGAGGGAAGAGGAGGAGATGGAGGGGCTCTTGTCCCCATTTTACAGATGAGGACGCCGGGGATCTGAGAGACAGCGAGTCTGCAGGGACGTCCTAGGCCCAAGGTCACTCGAGTGCAGCTGTCATCTTCACTGTAAATGACTTTAAACGTGACCTCACAGGCCATGCTGTTGGGAGAGTTTCTGGTAGAAGCCAGTAAGGGAGGCAGAAAGAGCCGAGGGTGTTTAACCTGCAAGGCTAAGCAGATCTGACTTGTTCTCTGGGGCCCCTGTGGACAACGCCAGGGCTAGGGTGAGGGGTAGAGGAGTTATAGAGCAGACCTCAACTTAGCCAAAGGAAGAACTCTCTATTGGTGAAGAAGGAGCCAAAAGGCCACACATGGCCCCTGGAGGTATGACACCTTTGCCCTGGAGGAGGGAGAAATGAAGAGGGGTCTGGAGAAGAAGGGTCCAGGCAGTGGGAAGGCCTTATTTACACTCTTAGGTAGGGTAGAATGACCAGCGGGGTCTCACACCGGGGGACCTTGAGATTTTTAGCTTCCTTAGGCCAGCCCCAGGGACTTGGATCTCAGAGCTAGAGGGCAGGGGCCCCTGTGCCTGGTTCCCTTGCCGGCGGCCCAAATGGGACACCTGGCTAAGGAGCAGCGTGCAGCCTCGACGGAGAGGCCAGGAACAGGGGCGAGGACCCAGTGTCCACTCAGTCCTCCCACAGCTACAGCCCTGATCCAGAAACACTCTCCTAGGAGGGTCTCAGCCCTGGCCCTGATCTGCCAGCACCACCCACTCCCTGACCAAGAATCCTAAACTTCCTTCTCAACAGCTTTCCTCACCCCTTTCTTTCCCAGATGAGGTTGTAGCTGGAAGCCCACGGTTCAAGGCAGCTATGGGGCACTCCGGGGCCTGGGAGGGGAAGCGGGCCTTCCTCTGCCCTTTCCACAGGCCGTCCTTCTCCAGTAGGCAGAATGGAGCTGGATGTTTGAAATGGAAGGGAAACTGTGAGGGCTCTTAATCAGAAAACATTAAACTGGCCAGGTGTGGTGGCTCATACCTGTAGTCCCAGCACTTTGGAAGGCTGAGGAGAGAGGGTTGCTTGAGGCCAGGAGTTTGAGACCAGCCTGACAACATAGGCAGACCTCAATCTCTACAAAAAAAGAAAAAAAAATCAAAATTTGCTGGGCGTGGTGGCTACGCCTGTAGTCCTAGCTACCCGGGAAGCTGAGGCAGGAGCATCCCTTGAGCCCAGGAGTTCAAGACTGCAGTGAGCTATGATCGTGCCACCACACCACAGCCTGGATAACAGGGAGGAGACCTTGTCTCTTTAAAAAAAAAAAAAAATGAATAAAAAAAATTGTAAAGAAAACATAAAACCAGCTCCTCAATCAAAAAATACATTCGGTGGAGAAGGTATGAGGCCAATATAACCTTATGCTTTTACTCCTGAAATCCACTGCAGGATTCATGTCCCAAAATTCAAGAGTCCCTCCCACCAGAATTAAAATTTTAATTTCATTTACTCAACAAGCTGAATGACTGCAGGGTCTGAAGCTTCAAGCACACACCAGCAATGCCCATCCCATAGGTTAACAGGCAAACATGCCAATAAAAATAAAGCTGGAAGGAAGACCACAGCAGGATGGGTGACGATGGTGTCGCCTCTAGCCTGAGTGAATCCCCACAAACTACTCGAGAGTAGGAAGGGGTGCTCCTGGCAAGGTTAACTGCAGGGACAAAGGCCCAGAGTCAGGAACAAGCTCATTGTGCCCCTGGGAGGACCTGGCGGGAGCAGGAGAGGCAAGAAGGCAGATAGAAGAGGCAGAGAAAGTGGCTTCACGTCGGAAGTCAACACACAATCATGAGAGTGGGCCTTTCTCCTCCTTGGAGCAAAGAAAGTGGATGGAGGGAGGCACTGGGTGGGGGGACAGGGGTGCTGAGGTTTGGAGAAGGGAGGGGCCCGGGTGGGGAGGATAGAGGCAGAGGCGTGAATGAGACCCACACACACCCATTTCACACAAGATGGGGTGGGGGTGCCCCCAAGACTCTGCTACCGTGGGAGGGTGTGGGGGACCCAGAGTGTAGCTGGAGCTGGGCCTGGACCCTTCCCTCAGCATGAGGATGAGGGGCAGGGAGAAGACCCTGGTGGAGTCCCTGCTGTCCTCTCCCTCAGGAGGGGTGGTCTTGCAACACCCCCATCCCCAGTTTCCTACACCCAAATCTTCCTGCTCCTAGTGCCCAGCTCTCTGGCCCAGGCAGGACCAAGCTGGGCTGGCTTTATCCTCCAGACCTAGGAAGGAAGAAACAGCTGGGCTGCCCTCAGGCCTGGACACTACAGAGAGGCCAGAGCCCCATTTCACGGAGCTGAGGTGGCCATGGTGCTAGAGATGCAGGGTCCTGAGACTTCCAGCCACACGTGCTCCTCTACATCCTGCCTCCTCGACCTCCAGTCACCCACTAAGTACAGGCAGCCCTCAGACCAGTCCCCTCTCTGGTGCCTGCCTCTGGGACAGTGGCCCCCACGCTCTACATCGGAGCCTCCTCACCGGAGCCTCCTCACCACCCCTCTGGGCCTGTTCTCTTCATCTTTCCAGTCTGCCCTCCACCCACTGGTGACCAGCAGCTGCTTCCACCCATACCCTGAGCCAGGGCCCCGGCAGTGCCCCTAACTTCTCCTTTGGCCCTCAGCTCTAGTCACAAGGTCTTCCTGGTTCTATCCCACCACAACCCTCACTCTGGCCTGAAGACAATCTCTTGCCTGACCACATCTCCCGGAGCCCAGACACTCTCCTCAGTCCATCCTCCATCCTGTCTAAGTCGTATTCGTAACTAGCACTTTCATTTCACCTTGCACCTGCTCAAAAACCATCCATGGCTCCCTATTGCATCATATCCTGGCTTTCTGACTGTAGCACCTGCTGCTGTCTCTCATGGATCTTCTGGGAAACTTGACTTGTACATTATTCTCTGCACACATGTATTTCCCCAGGCTGTTCCCGCAGCCTAGAATGACTGTACTGTGTCCCATTCCCCACTAACTGGAGTTTATTTTTCAGAAGCCATCCAGATAATGTTCCTCAGTCTCCACTACCACTCACCCAAAGCTGGACACGGCACCTCCCTCAAGATTCTCACAGGTCTTACTGCACTTTCTTCTCACATCTGTGTAAGTGCTTAAAAGGTAGTGATTGCTCTATAAAGCGTAGCTATTATTGATAGCTAACTTTTTCAGAAGGGCTCTAGGGTTTTTCTTGTTGCTTTTTGTATTCTAGACATTAATCCCCGGTCAGTTTTACATGTTGCAAGTAGATTCTCCCATCTGTCGCCCACCTGTTACATTTGCCTATGACACAGATTTGGGAATTATTTGCAATTTAAAATAATTTTGATTAACATGTTAAAGCACTAATGGAACAAGTAGACAATATGCGATAATAGATGGATAAGGGAAGCAGAGAGATGGAAACTCTAAGAAAGGGTCAAAAGGAAATGCTAGGAGTGAAAAACACCATAACAAAAATGAAGACTATGTTTGATGGGCTCATCCACAGATGGGACATGGCCAACAAAAGGATTAATGTGCTTGAAAGTATGTCCATAGAAACTTCCCAAATTGAAAAATACAAAGAGAACAAAGCATCCAAGAACTGTGGGACGATTTCAAAAAGTGCAACAGTCTGGGTGAGTGGTTCACGCCTGTAATCCCAGCACTTTGGGAGGCCGAGGTGGGCAGATCACGAGTTCAGGAGTTCAAGACCAGCCTGGGCAACATGGTGAAATCCCATCTCTACTAAAAATACAAAAATTAGCCAGGCATGGTGGCACACGCTTGTAATCCCAGCTACTCAGGAGGCTGAGGCAGGAGAATTGCTTGAACCTGGGAGGCGGAGGTTGCAATGGGCTGAGATCATGCCACTGCACTCCAGCCTGGGTGACAGAGCGAAGCTCCATCTCAAAAAACAAACAAATGAACAAAGAAAAAAGTGCAACATACACATAATTACAATAACACAAGGAGAAGACAGAACGGAACGGAAGAAATATTCGAAGCAACAATGGCTGAGAACTTTCCAAAGTAAACCACAGATCTAGGAAGCTCAGAGGACACAAAGCAAGATAAATACTAAAAACAAAAACAAAACAAAAACAATCTACACTTAGGTATATAACTGTCAAGCTGGAGAAAAAAGATAAAATCCTAAAAGAAGCAAAAGGGAAAAGATACCTTACCTAAAAAGATAAGAATCCATCAGACTTCTCAGAAAGCAAGCAAGAGAGTGGAGTGAAATGTTTGAAGTATTGAAAGAAAAAAATCCACCAACCTGTCATTCTATATCTAGCAAAATGATCTTTCCAAAGTGAAGTAGAAACAAAAACTTTCTCAGACATATAAAAGTTAAAGATATTCATCACCAGCAGACCTACCTTGCCAGAAGTATCAAAAGTTTTTCAGGAAGGAGGAAAAATATATAAGTCAGAAACTCAAATCTACAATTTAAAAAAAAGTATCAGAGAAGGGTTTTTTAAAATAAAATAAAACATTTTGTTTTCTTATTCTTAATTAATCTTAACAGATAAATGTTTGTTAAAAGTAATAATAGTGCTATGGTTTCAAAGTTCCCACAAAGTTCATGTGTTGGAAACTTAATCCCCAAGACAACAGGATGGACTGGTGGGAACTTTAAGAATTAATTAGGTCCTGAGGGCTCTGCCCTCATCAATGGATTAACGCCATCATCACAGGAGTGGATTCTTGATAAAAGCGTGGATTCAGCCCCCTTCCTCCTGACCTTCCTCTCCTTCCTCCTCCACCTCTCCTCCTTCCTCCTCCACCTCTCCTCCTCCTCCTCCACCTCTCCTCCTTCCTCCTCCTTTTCTCCACCTCCTCCTCCTCCACCTCTCCTCCTCCTCCTTTTCTCCACCTCCTCCTCCTTCTTCACCTCTCCTCCTCCTCCTCCTCCACTTCCTCCTCTCCTCCACCTCTCCTCCTCCTCCACCTCTCCTCTTCCTCCACCTTTCCTTCTCCTCCACCTCTCCTCCTCCTCCTTTTCTCCACCTCCTCCTCCTCCTTCACCTCTCCTCCTCCTCCATCTCTCCTCCTCCTCCACTTCCTCCTCCTCTCCTCCACCTCTCCTCCTCCTCCACCTCTCCTCTTCCTCCACCTTTCCTCCTCCTCCACCTCTCCTCCTCTCCTCCGCCTCTCCTCCTCCTCCACCTCTCCTCCTCCTCCTCCTCCACCTCTCCTCCTCCTCTTCTCCACCTCCTCCTCCTTCACCTCTCCTCCTCCATCTCTCCTCCTCCTCCTCCACTTCCTCCTCCTCTCCTCCACCTCTCCTCTTCCTCCACCTCTCCTCTTCCTCCACCTCTCCTCCTCTCCTCCACCTCTCCTCTTCCTCCACCTCCTCCTCCTCTACTCCACCTCTCCTCCTCCTCCACCTCCTCCTCCTGTCCTCCACCTCTCCTCCTTCTCCTCTCCTCCTCCACCTCTCTTCCTTCTCCTAC
The DNA here is from genome assembly GCF_000001405.40 of Homo sapiens. Lineage (NCBI taxonomy): Eukaryota > Metazoa > Chordata > Mammalia > Primates > Hominidae > Homo > Homo sapiens. Next base: position 101,608,190 of record NC_000014.9, read on the forward strand.
CTCTCCTCTCCTCCTCCACCTCTCTTCCTTCTCCTACCTCTCTCTGTCTCTCTCTCTCATTCTGTCTTGTGCATGTGCATGCTGTCTTGCCCTTCCACCTGTCACCTGGGATGACACAGCAAGAAGGCCCTCTCCTCAACCTTACACTTCTCAGCCTCCAAGACTGTAAGAAATAAATCTCTATTCTTTATAAATTATCCAGTCTCAGATATTATGTTATAGCAGCACAAAATGGACTAAGACAAGTAGTAATAAAGTATTTTGTGATCATAGCATACGGCTAAATGAAATTAATGATGGCAACTTTAAAAGAGGAGAAAGAAATTGTAGATATTCTTTTATAAGGTAGTTGCACTACATGTGAAGTAATATACTGCTAGTTGAAGGTGGACTTAAATTAGTTATACATGTAAATTGCAAACTCTAGGGAAACCAGTAAATAAATATCGGTTAAGTATAACCGATATGCCTAAGAGAGGAGAGAAAACAGAATAATTTTTAAACGCCTAATTAAAATGATAGAAAGCAGAAAAAGAGGGAAGAAGTAACAAGTGTAACAAATAGAAGGCAGTTATAAACAAGGTAGATATTAATTCAACCCTATCAATAATCACCTTGAATATGAATGCTCTAAGTATACCAATTGAGAGACAGATATTGGCAGAGTGGATTAGGAAGACAAGACTCAACTAAATGGTATCTATAAGAAACCCACTTTAAACATAATGACACATGTAAATTAAAAGCAAAATATCAATGAAAGTGAAAAAGCAAAGGGATAGAGAAAGATATATCATGGCAACAGAAGGAAAGCTGGAGTCCGAAGAAAGCTGTAGTTGCATTGTTAATTTCAGACACGTCAGGCTTCAAAGCAAAGAAAATTAACAGGAATGAAGAGGAGCACTGAATAATGACAAAAGGGTCAAATTCTTCAAGAAGATATAATAGTCCCTGATGTGTATGCTTTTAACAACAGCATGTCAAAATACATGAGACAAAAACTGCTAGAACTACATAGAGAAACACGCAAATCCACTAACACAGTTGGAGACTTCAGCGCCTCTCTTTCAGTAATTGACAAAGCATGTAGAAAATCAGTAAGGATATTTTTGACTTGAACAGCACTACCAATCAACTTGATCTAATTGACATTTCTAGAAAACTCCATGCAAGGATGATAGAATACACACTCTTCTCAAGTTCACATGAAACATACGCCCAGATAGACCATGCTCTGGATCATGAGACGCACCTTAACAAACTGAAAAGAATAGAAATCACACAAACTATTATCTCAGGCCACAGCAGAATTAAACAGAAAGTCAATAATAGAGATAAACTGGAAAATCCCAAAATATTTGGAGATAAAACGACACACTTCTAAATAACATATGGATCAAAAAAAGAAGTCTAGATAATTGTTTAATATTTTTAACTAAATGAAAATATAACTCAAAATTTGTGGATGCAGTGAAAGCAGTGCTTAGACATTTATGGCATTAAATGCATATATTAGAAAGGAAAAATCAAAAAGAAGGAAATCTCATCATTTGTGACAACACAGATAAACGTGGAAGGCATTATGTTAGATGAGATAAGCCAGACACAGAAAAATCTCCCTTATGTCTAGAATCTTAAAAAGTTGAACTCAGAGTTACCAGAATGGTGGTTACCAGGAACTGGGCAGGGAGTTGGGAGATGTTGGTCAAAGGATACAAAATTTCAGCTAGACAGGAGGAATAAGTTCCAGAGATCTATTGTACAACATGGTGACTATACTTAATAACAATGTATCATATTCTTGAAAATTGCTAAGAGCAGATTGTAAGTGTTCTCACCACAAGTAAATACGTGTAATAATGCATTTGTTAATTAGTTCAGTTTAATCATTCCACAGTGTGGACATATTTCAAAACTATTTATTGGATGTGATAAATAAGTAAATTTTATTTGTCAATGAAAAACCTAAAAATAATAAAATGTCTTTTAAAGATAAAGAAATGTAAAATCAGTAATCTAAACATCCATCTTAAGATAAGAAAGGAGCAATTTAAGCCTAAAGCAAGCAGAAGAAAAGAAGTAATAAAAATTAGAGACAAAAATCAATAGAATCAAAAACAGAAAAACAATAGAGAAAATCAGTGTAACCAAAAGCACGTTCTTTGAGTCAATAAAAATGATAAACCTCTAGCAAAGCTAACCAAGAAAAAGATGAGAGAAGATATAAATTACTAATATCAGAAATGAAAGAAAGTTAATCGCTATTGATCCCATGGACATCAAGAGGATAATAAAGGAGGCTATGAACAACTCTCTGCGGATAAATTTGATAACTTAGATGAAATGGACTAATTACTTGAAAGACCCAGATACCAAAACTTCACACAAGGAGAATAAGACTATTTAAGTAGGCCTGTCTATGAACGAAATTGAATCAATAATGACTTTCCAAAAGAGAAAGTAGCAGCCCCAGAGAGTCTTACTGGTAAATTGTATCAAACATTTAAGGAAGAAATGATACCAATTCTCTACAATCCCTTCTAGAAAATAGAAACAGAAGAAACACTTCCTAACTCATTCTGTGAAGCCAGCATTACCCTAATACCAAAATCAGATAAATACATGACAAGAAAGGAACGCAGCAGACCAGTACCTCTCATGAACATGAATGTAAAAATCTTCAATAAAAGACTATCAAATCGAGGCCAGGAGCAGTGGCTCACGCTTGTAATCCTAGCACTTTGGGAGACTGAGGCAGGCGGATCACGAGGTCAGGAGATCAAGACCATCCTGGCTGACATGGTGAAACCCCGTCTCTACTATTTCCGTCTCTACTAAAAATTAAAAAACAAATAAATAAAATAACTAAATTAGCCAGGCATGGTGGCAGACGCCTATAGTCCCAGCTACTCAGGAGGCTGAGGCAGGAGAATGGCTTGAACACTGGAGGCAGAGGTTGCAGTGAGCCAAGATCATGCCACTGCACTCCAGCCTGGGCAACAAAGCGAGACTCCATCTCGAAAAAAAAAAGACTGTCAAGTCAAATCTACTAATATATAAAAATAATTATAAACCATGACCAAATGGGATTATTTTCATGTATTCAAGACTGGTTCAACATTTGAAAATCAATTAATGTAATCTACCACATCAACAAGATAAGGAGCAAAACTCATATGTGCACATCAATAAATGCAGAAGAAGCGTTTGACAAAAATCCGACACTAATTCATGTAAAAAAAAAATTTCTCAGCAAACTAGGAATGCAGAAGAATTTCTCCAACTTGATAAAGAACATCTACAAAAACCTACAGTGAGTATCATGCTTAATAGTGAGAAACTGGGTGCTTTCTCTGTGAGACTAGGAACGAGGCAAAGATATTCCCTCTCACTGTTATTATTCAACATCATACTGACAGTCCAGCTATTGTAACCAGAAAAAGAAACAAAAATCATACAGATTTTGAAGGAAGCAATAAAACTGAATTTGTTCACAGTTGATGTGGTTAACTATAAAGAAAACCCCCAAAAAATCACATACATGTACACACACAAAATCTCCTGGAACTATAAGGAATTAGAGCAAAGTCAGGGGCTACAATGTTAATACACAAAAGTCAGCTGCTTTCCTATAAGCCAGCAATATGAAATTTAAAAACAATATCAATTACAACACCACCACCAACAAAATATTAGGTATAAGTCTAACAAAATATGTTCAGAATCTGGCCAGGTGCAGTGGCTCACACCTATAAACCTAGCATTTTGGGAGGCTGAGGCAGGCGCACTGCGCCCAGGAGTTCGAGGCCAGCCTGGGCAACATGGTGAAACCCCATCTCCACCAAAAATACAAAAAAAAAAAAAAAATAGCCAGGCATGGTGGTGCATGCCTGTAGTCCCAGCAACTCAAGAGGTTGAGGTGAAAGGATGACTTTAGCCCAGAGAGGTCGAGGCTGCAGTGACCCGTGATCCTGCCATTGCACTCCAGCCTGGGCGAGAGAGTGATACCCTGTCTAAAAAAAAAATTTTTTTTTAAATGTTCAGAATTTATATGTGAAAAACTATGAAACTCTGATTTTTCAAAATCAAAGAATATCTAATCAAGGAATATTGTGTTTAAGGATTGAAAGACTCAATATTTTGAGATGTCAGTTCTTCCCAATTTTATCTACAGATTCAATACAATCCCAAACAAAATCCCAGCAAGCTATTTTGTAGATATTGACAAACTGATTCTAAAGTTATATGAAAAGAAAAACGCCCACAGAAGCTAAAGCAATACGGAAGAAGAACAAAGTCGGAGAACTGACACTACCTGACATCAGGACTTATCATAAAGCTACAGTAATCAAGACAGCCTAGTATTGGTGAAAGAAAAGACAAACAGATCAATAGACCAGAATAGAAAACACAGAAATAGACCCACACAAATATAGACAGCTGCTCTTTACCAGAGGAGCAAAAGCAATTCAAAGGAGAAAGACGATCTTTCAATAAATGATGTGGAAAAATTGGACATCCGTATGCAAAAATAATAAGAATCTAGAAACAGATCTTATGCCTTTCACAAAAATTAATTCAAAATGGATTATAGCCCTAAATGTAAAATGCAAAGCTATAAAACTTCAGAAGAAAACAGCTGAAATCTGGGTGATCTCGGGTTTGATGATGAGTTTTTAGGTACAATATCAAAAGCATGACCCATGAAAAAAATTGGTAAGGTGAACTTCAGTAACACTGAAAATGACTGCTGTGTAAATGATACTGTTAAAAGAATGAAAACACAAGCCACAGACTCGGAGAAAATGTTCACAAAACACATAACTGATAAACAACTGGCATCCAAAATATACAAAGAACTCTTAAAACTCAACAGTAAGAAAACAACCCAATTGAAAAATGAGCAAAAATTCTGCATAGACATCCCATCAAAGAAGATCTGCATATGACAAATAAAAATATAAAAAGGTGGTCAATCACCTAAGGTCTGGAATTCAAGACCAACCTGGGCCAACATGGTGAAACCCCATCTCTACTGAAAATACAAAAGATTAGGTGGGCGTGGTAGTGGGTTCCTGTAATCCCAGCTACTCGGGAGGCTGAGGCAGGAGAATTGCTTGAACCTGGGAGGTGGACATTACAGTGAGCTGAGATCACGCCACTGTACTCCAGCCTGGGCAACAAGAGCAAAACTCCATCTCAAAAAATAAAAAATAATAAAAATAAAAATGAAAGATGGTCAAAATCTTTTGTCATTAGGAAATAGCAACTTGAAACAATGAGATACTACTACACACATACTAGAATTGCTAAAATCTAAAAACCTGACAGTACCAGTGCTGGTGAGGATGCAGAGAAACAGAAACTTCCATTCATTGCTCGAGGGAATGTAAAGTGGTACAGTCACTTTGGAATATAGTGTGGCAGTTTCTTACAAATCTAAACATAGTCTCACCATACGATCCAGCAATCACACTCATAAGTATTTACCCAACTGATTTGAAAACTTATGTTCACACAAAAACCTATATGAAAATGTTTACAGTGGCTTTATTCGTAATTGTCAAACACTGGAAACAACTGAGATATCCTTCGGCGGATGAATAGATGGATAAACTGTGGTACATCCATACAATGAAATATTATTCAGTGATAAAAATATATTGGCCATCAAGTCATTGAAAATGTGGAGGAACTTTAAATGCATATTGTGAAGTAAAATAAGCCAGTCTGAAAAGGCTACATACTGCAGGATTTAATTATATAACATTCTAGAACACACAAAACTCTGTAGCGACAATGAAAAGATCAGTAGTTTCCAGAGTTTCAGAGAGAAGGAGAGAGATGGAACGGGTAAAGCGTAAGGGTGGTGAAACTATTCCGCATGATCCTGTAATGGTGGACACGTGATGTTACTCATTGTTCAAACCCATAGAACTGGACAGCACGAAGAAGGAACCCTCGTCTATGCAAATTTTAAAAATCATTTAGGTCGGGGGATTCCAAGAGGGATGTAGTTGATAGCAACAGACTCTAAAGGTGTTATAAATGCATGAAACCACCCCAGTGAAGCGGAAGAGGGAAAAGATGGTGAGCCAAGTGACTCTGGAAATTAATGGAGACAAAAGGAACAGTGCATAAACCCTGTGCTCTAGTTGATGGTTGTTTGCAGTCGATAGATGGTGGTACCGGTTAATAGTTCTGATACCGCTGGACATGTATAATGGAATTGAACAATTAAGTAAATGGATGGTGGATGGTAGAATCCAGGTTTCTCCCCGTTGGAGTGGGAATTTACAGATAAGCAAGGAGAGGAGGTTAGAATGGCCCATGAGGTCAGGGATACGAGTTGGAGACATCACTATTGACTCACGTTTAGCTCAATATAGATACAGGTGGTTACATACAGAAGCATTTATAGATATGTTGATCTGTCAGCTGAGAGGGTCTAGAAGCAACCACACTCAATAGCAACAAGCAGGTCCGGCATCCAGACCTTAGTTTCCAATGCCATTCTGCAGTAGAACCACCCAGGGCTCCTTGGAGAAATGGCTGATTCTATGGCTGGGGCAGGAAATCTACAAAATGAGTATCTCGTAGTGCCAGAAATTGAGGAAGTGCTCAAAAATAAAACACAAAACCCCTTCATTGATGGGGGAATGTTAAAGGGACTCAGAAGTCAACTGTAAGTGCTCCCAGGGGCCAAAGCTGAAACGATTTGAGCAACAAAATCAGCTATTATTGGATTATAGCCCAAAGTATGAAATAAATATCTGTGAGTCCATGCTGATATAAGTAAATGATTAACTAAATAAATAAGTGGGGGAGAAGAGAAAAATCTCCCTTGCAGAGGAATTCCAAATAATGTATATAAATATTTCACCCTCAAGGAGGAGGAACATAAATCCCCTTCCTTAAGTTCGGGATGTGCATAGTGACATCCTTCTAAACAGTGTAGTACGGAAAAGGGGGAAACAGTAACTTTACAATGGAGAAAACTGATAAACATCTCAGCTGTGTGATCAGGGTCAATGAAGTCATGTTGATAGCATGTGCTCTTGATATGGTGTGATAAGAATGGCATTCTCATCTGGAAAAACCTCTGTGGTTTTTCCACCCAAAACCCATAAACCCAGCCTAATCATTGGAAAAACATCAGACAAATCCCAATTTGGGGGCACTCTGCAAAAGACCTGACCGGTACTCCTCAAAAGTGCCAAGGTCGTCAAAACAAGGACAGAGTAAGAAACTCTCATAGCCAAGAGAAGCCTGAAGAAACATGAGAAGTAAATGAGATAGGATCCTGGAAGAGGAGAAGCCACTGTGTCAAAGCTAACAAAATCTGGATAAAGTCTAGTACTTAGTGGTTGAAGATAACATACCAATATTGGTTCACTATATGTAACAAAATGAGAGAAGAGTCAGTGAACTTCAAAATACATCAACAGAAATGATCCAATCTGAAGAACAGAGAAATGGGATCAAAAAGAAATGAACAGAGCTTCAGGGACCTGTGCAGAAATATCAAAAGGCCAAACACAAATGTAATTGGAGCCACAAAAAGAGCAAGAAAAGAAAATGAGGGCCAGGTGTGATGGCTCATGCCCATAATCCCAGCACTTTGGGGGCTCAAAGTGAAATGACTGCATGAGGCCAGGAGTTTGAGACCAGCCCGGGCAACAGCAAGACCGCTGTCTCTACAAAAAATAAAAATAAAAAAATTATGCAGACATGGTGACACGTGCTAATAGTCCCAGTACTCAGGAAGCTGAGGTGGGAGGATCCCTTGAGCCCAGGAGTTCAAGGCTGCAGTGAGCTATGATCATGTCACTGCACTCCAGCCTTGGTGATAGAGCAAGACCCTGTCTCAGGACAGGAAAAAAAGGAAAAGAAAAGAAGGAAGGAAGGAAGGAAGGAAGGAAGGAAGGAAGGAAGGACGGACGGAAGGGAGGGAGGGAGGGAGGAAGGGAGGGAAAGGAAGGAAGATATTTAAAGAAATAATGCCCAAAATTTCCCAAATGTGATAAAGACAAAAATTTTAAGGATTCAAGAAGTTCAGGAGACCCCAAGGAGAATGAAAAAATGAAATAAAAACACATACTCATGCCCAAATAAAAACACAACAGTCAAATTTCAGAAAACTAAAGATAAACAGAAAATCATAAAAGCAGCCAGAGGAAACTACAATTACGTGTAGCAGAACAATTGAAATCACCACTGACTTCTCATCAGAAACTATGGAGACAAGAAGACAGTAGATCTTCAAAATATCAAAAGAAAAAGACTTTCAACTCAGAACTCTATAACCAAAGAAAATCGTCTTCAAGAATGAAGGTGAAATAAGAACACTTTGGATCCAAGAAAACCAAGAGAATTCATTCCTGTACTGCAAGAAATCCTAAAGGGAGCTTTTCAGGCTGGAAAGAAACGATACCAGATGGAAATGTCAATCTTCAGGAAGAATAAAGAGCCTGGAAAATGATAAATGATACATACCTAGTAAATATTAACACTTTCATTCTATTTCTTAAAAAGCAAACCCCATTTTCCTATGGAGTTTATAATGTATGTGGATATCTTACATATAACAACTATAACATAAAGGATATATATATATATACACACATATATATGGTTGCAAGATTTCTACATTTTACATGAAGTGGTAAAATATTCATTTAAGTAGACTGTCAAAAGTTAAGAATGTATTTTTAATCCCTAGAACAGCTACCAGAATTTTTTAAAATACGAGAAGGTATAGCTAAAAAATGCAATAGATAAAACAAAACCCTAAAAACCATTCCAATTCTTCAAAAGAAGACAGAAAAGAGAGTCAGAGGAACCAAAAACAAAGGAAATAATCAGAAAACACATAATAAAATGAAAGATATGAATGAACCAAACAACATAATAAAAAGACAGAGATTGTCAAAATGGATACAAAAGCAAGAACCAGCTATAAACCTATACAGGTGACGCCCTTTAAATATGAAGACAGGGAAGGCGCAGTGGCTCACACCTGTAATCGCAGCACCTTGGGAGGCCGAGGCGGGCAGATCACCTGAGGTCTGGAGTCCAAGACCAGCCTGGCCAACATGGTAAAACCCTGGCTCTACTAAAAATACAAAAATTAGCTAGGCATGGCAGCAGGCACCTGTAATCCCAGCTACTCAGGAGGCTGAGACAGGAGAATCTCTTGAACCCGGGAGGCAGAGGTTGCAGTGAGCCAAGATCACACCACTGCACTCCAGCCTGGGTGACAGAGCACCTTTATTTATTTATTTATTTATTTATTTTGTACACTTTGAAAGTGTAGTTCAAAGTGAATGGATGTGAATAGAGAGAGGGAAAAAAAGTAGTTGTAAAAAAGCTGGGGTCAGCCGGGCGTGGTGGCTCACACCTGTAATCCCACATTTTGGGAGGCCGAGGCAGGCAGATCACAAGGTCAGGAGATCGAGACCATCCTGGCTAACACAGTGAAACCCCGTCTCTACTAAAAATAGAAAAATTAGCTGGGTATGGTGGTGGGCACCTGCAGTCCCAGCTACTCGGGAGGCTGAGGCAAGAGAATGGCGTGAACCCGGGAGGCGGAGCTTGCAGTGAGCCGAGATCGCGCCACTGCACTCCAGCCTGGGCGACAGCACCAGACTCCATCTCAAAAAAAAAAAAAAAAAAAAAAAAGCTGGGGTCATTATCTTAATATCAGATAAAAGAGACTTCAAGAAAAAGGGTTTTATTCGTGATCATGAAGCCCAGCTCATAAAGATAAAATGGTTAATTCATCAGGAAAACATAAATATGTATTCATATAATAACAAAACCTAAAAATATATGAAGCCAAAATTAACAGAATTTAAAAGGGGAAACAGACAGCTCTTTGATCATCATTAAAGATGTTAACTCTACTCTTTTAGTAATTAATAGAATAATAGATTAAAAGTTCAGATATAAATGAAATAGTTGATCTGAATAACACTATCAACCACTTCAATTGATATTTATGGAATACTATATTCAACTACAGAGTCCACATTCTTTTAAAGGGCATTTCCAAAAATAGGCTATATTCTGAGCTATAAAACAAGGTTTAATAAGTACTGAAATCAGCCAGAGTACATCCGATAACAATGGAATTAAATCCAGTAATAATACAATATCTCAGAAACCCCCAAATGTTTTTAAACAACATACTTCTCAATAATCAATGGATCAAAGGAACCACAAAAACTGAATAATCATGAAAATACAGCATATCAAAATCAATGATATGCAGCTAAAACAGTGCTTGGGGGAAATGTATAACCCTCTAAGTGTATATAGAAAACAATAGAGAAAATTAACAAAGCCAAAATTTGGTTCTTTGAGAAGATGAACAAAATTGATTACCCCTTAGCTAGATTGATCATGAAAGAGAGAAAACACAAATCATCAATACCCAGATTTAGCAAGACATGGTCACTACAAATCCTGCAGACAACTTTACATGAACAAATTCAACAAGTGCTAGGAAATTGACAACTCCCTGAAAAATACACCTTACCAAAACTAACACAAGATGAAATAGAACACTTTAATAGCCCTATAATTAATTTAAAAACTGAATTTGTTAGCAAACCCTTCACATAAATAAAACTCCAGACTCAGATGTCTTCATTGGTGAACCATATCAAACACTGAAGGAGGAACACAGCCTCTTTGAAAAAATCAAGGATAAAGAGAACACTTCTCAAGTTATTTTATGAGACTAAAATAATCTTAATACCAAAACCTGACAAATACATTGCAAAATTGATAAATTTGCAGACAATTACAGTCCAATATCTCTCATGAAAACATAGACACAAAAAAATCTTAATGAATTATTAGCAAATAGAATCCAACAGTATATTTAAAAGAACAAAAGGACTTATCTCAGCAGTATAAAGTGTTTTAAGATTTGAAAATCAATATAATTTACCATATAAAAAGAAAGGAGAAAGTAAAAAACATATGATCAATTCAACACCCAACCCTGATAGCACTCTCAGAAAACTAAGAATAAAGAGAATCTTCCTTACCCAACAAAGGACATCTGAGAAAATGCTATGCTAACATCATACTAAATGCTGAAATATTGACACTGTCCTCCTAAGATAGACATTCTCACCACTTCTATTCAACATTATACTGGAGACCCTGGCATTGCAATCAGGAAAGAAAAACAGGATAAAAGGCACGAAAATTGAAGAAGATGCAGTAAAACTGTGTCTCCCTGCAGTCAAGAAGGGTGAGGCCAGAGGCTGAATGTGCCAGGATGCTGGAGCGTGGTCCAGGCAGAAAACTCTGGGGTGGAATAAACCAATGGGGCTAGGACACCTGGACCACAATGGGAAGGAGGGAGCCCCAGAGTGCCAGGTTCCCTCACTCGGGAGGCAAATCAGGGGACCGTGGGAAGAAGAAGACAGAGCCCAGGGCGGTGAGCTGCTGCCCCTGCTTCATCCTGTGCACGGCAGCAATGGGGCCACCTGCCCAGAGACCCCGAGTGTCACACTTGCTGGTGGGTAGAGAGGGCAGACAGGCCTGGCCTGAGGCCTGTCCAGGGCTGGAGGAGGACACAGAGCCCCTTGGCCAGTGGATCTGTGCTTGTTCTCAATAGTGGGACGGGCTAGACAGTCAGTGACTGGGACCACTGGAGTCAAGGGTGGGCGGGGGTGGCACACAGGACAGGCTCAGCCAGGGAGAGCTGTTAATTTGACCACGTAGCCCAGCAGTCCTACACCCCAACACCCCCATCCCACTTCCCCCACCCCCACACACACACACCTGTTCCCAGGTGTGCTCAAGCATCTTTGGAGGCTTCCTCTCAACTTGGATCCTCAAAAATCAGAGGCAGATGCTGAGACCCTTTTGGGGCTAGGACATACCTTCAAGAAGCTGGAAATGGGGGTGGCAGGCCTGGATTCAGAGGCAAAGACACAGCTTCCAGGGGAGGCGAGAGTCAGGGTCAGGCACAGGTCACAGGCCACACCCAAAGGCTTCAGGTCCAGGGCCCCTGGCTGCCCCGCCTCAGCCCTCCTCCCAGGCTCCTTCCCCAGTCTCCTCTGGCCACAGCACGCTTCCTCCAGATGTTCCAGCCACCTGGCTTAGACACTCCTGCTGCCCTCTGAGCCAGCATGAGACCGTCTGCAGTGCTGGCATCAAAAGACCCCAGAGTCAGGGAATGTGGAGGCTCAGAGTCAGGCCTGGGATGAGCTGGACCCCAGAGCCAGGGAACGTGGAGGCTCAGAGTCGGGCCTGGGATGAGCTGCCCTTGGCATGGGTCACCTGCCCCGAGACGCGGGTCACTGTGGCTGTGCTGTCTCCATTTCTGTGCAGGTCCCAGGCCCCAAAACACCTCAAAGGAAGGAGCCAGGGCCTACAGGCAGGAGATGCCAGGGAGCTCCGGGCCCTCAGGCAGGATGTGGATGGGAGACCTGGAGTTGGGGTCCCAGGTGGGAGTGGGGGTGGGGACCAGCCTGGGCCAGGCCCCAAGTCAGACACATGGGTTTCCATCCTGTCCCATTTCTTCAGGCAAAGGCTGAGGGTCCCCGTCAAGCTGTTAACACTGGAGTGGGAATTATCTTCTCAGACAAGCCAGTCCCCAGCTGGGCTCTGAGACAGAGAGCCCAGAAGCAAAGAGTGAAAGTCACCAGTCAGGACTGGGGTGCCTTGGGAGACGGCTGGAAATGTTCCCAGCGTCACCTCGTACACCCTCCACAAATAACTGTCCCGTCATCTGTCTCTGCTGCTGAGATTCCCCGCTGGGGCTTGGGAACATTTCCCCACTGTCTCTGACAGCCCTGGGCCTGCAAACCAGAGCCCCACTTGCAGGCCGCATGTCTGGCAAATCTCTTACCCTCTCTGAGGCCCCTCAGACTCTACCCAGCAGGGGCCCTGCCCCAGGCCCCACGTCTCGGGGAGCTCCAGCTTTGATGTGCCCTCCTCAAATTGTCTGAGACCCCTGTGGTGTCTGGGACAAGCCCTGACCTGGACTGTGGGGACCCTAGTTCCCCCTTCTCCCCATTTGGGGCGCTCTCTAACTCTACCCAACCACCACCCCACATGGGGTAAACCAGGTGTCCAGAGGTACCCTGGGAATGAACTAGGTCTGGGAGGGAGGCCTGGCAGGCCGGCCACTCGGCTGGAGGATCCACGCTTCTTTCGTGAGGTCACATGAGGCTGGGCCATCAGAACCGCACACGTGGGGTGGCACTCACCCATGTCAAACACAAGACAAGCTCAAGTCTCTGAGTCCACCACCAACACTTGGACTTGAGCCACAGCGTGAGCCTGAGTGCTGATTCCCGGGTGCTGACCTCTCTCTGTTCTGGCCAGGGTGCTGCTTCCAGTCCGTGGCACCCAAGAGGCATGATGGTGACTGGCGCTAACCGGGTAGCTCCGCTGCTGGCAGCCACACTCTCCACTGCTGCATGCCAGGTCAGCTGTCCTCCAGGGTGCTCAGAGGCCACTGTCCCCAGTGCCAAGGGGCCCCTCCATCCATGTCTTCCCTGCCTTCAGTTGGAGGCAGAATGTACCTTCAGTCTCAGGCTGAATGTACCAGGGTCGGATGTTCACTGCATGAATAAAATGACTCTTCTCGGTCACCCACTGGCCGTGCAGTGTGGGAAGGCAGGGCTCCATCAGCCCCAAGAGAGAACACAGGGAGAAGAGATGTTTACCTTCCTGCTACTTCCTAAAGGTAAATTTAACATGACCAGAAAACAAATTAGTTTCCATTTTCCCACATCCTCTGGGTACAACTTGCATTTGTGGTCATGTCAACAAAAAAGCCACAGACGGGTGCAGTGGCTCACGCCTGTAATCCAGCACTTGAGGAGGCTGAGGTGGGCCGATTGCTTGAGCTCAGGAGTTCGAGACCAGCCTGGGCAACATGGCAAAACCCCATCTCTACCAAAAATACAAAAATTAGCAGGGTGTGATGGTGCATGCCTGTGGTATCAGATACTTAGGAGGCTGAGGCAGGAGGACTGCTTAAGCCCAGAGGGCAGAGTTTGCAGTAAACTGAGATCATGCCACTGTAGTCCAGCCTGGGCAACAGAGAGAGAGATCCTGTCTCAAAAAATAAAAAGAGAGAGAGAGAGAGAAACCACAACGTTTGGAGCAACAACCCCAAAGCCAACCAGGAGGAGACCCACAGTCTCCCAGAGCCAACCAGGGGGAGCCCACCGTTCTCTGCATTGGCTGGACAGGCTCTCTCCTGCAGAGCCCCTTCCCTAGAATGCCCTTCCCCCTGTGCTGCTCGACCTGCTTCCTCCAGGCCTGGTTCTGCCATGGCCTTCTCCAGGAAGTTCCTTGTCACTCCCAGCAGGAAGGTAGAGCACTAGACGTCTTGCCCTCTCAAGGCCCGGCCCCAAGCCCCATCCCACCGTCACCTGAGGCATGTCTGAGCTGACTGCCCAGACTAAGAGGCCCAACAATGAGCGCCCAACCTGGAGTCAGAGGCCCAGGCTGTGTGACACTGGGCCCATTCCCTACCCATTCTGGACCCCAGCATCCTCACGGGCTGAGGAGAGACGAGACCCCTGCCCGGCAGGGCTCAAGAGAATCTGGGGAGCAGCGGGACCACCTGTCTCCACCGAAGCACCCGGCACCCGCTCAGGTGTTGGTATTACTCTCTCTCCCACCTGCTACATGCCAGAGCCGGGGCAGCCCAGGGAGGAGAGGACCCTGCCACAGTCCTCAGCTTGCTGCTGGGGCAAAAATCAACGAGACAATGACAGGAAGTGTGAAGAATGCTGGGCTTTCAGGGAGGGCTTCAGGCAGCCTGGGAAGGCTTCCAGGAAGAAGTGGCACGGAGCTCTGTTTCCTTGTAAGTTACCATTTCTTGGGTACTAGTGGCAGGCACTCGTTTATACCTCCAGCACCCCGTGAGGCAGGTACAGAAAGGATTACTCCCATTTTACAGATGGGGAAACTGAGGTTTAGTCCCACAGATGGTATACTCAGGGCCAGGTGCGGGGAGTGGGGGAGGTTTCAGGACAAGGGGAACAACAGTGTGGAGGCAGGAAGCAGCTGGGTGTTTTGGGGGCCGGACACTTTGGTGTGGCGAGAGCCTGGGTGGGAGACTAGGAGAGGTGAGAGCAGGAGCTACGGGAGGGCAGAGCCCTGGGGTCTAGTCCGCCTACCAGGGCCACAGGGAGCCATGGATGGTGCTAGGCAGGGAGGAACCTGGTCAGATGGGTGGGTTAGGAAGACGGTTCTGGATCTAAGAGGGAAATAGCTCAGGAGGCAGGGGAGAAGGTGTGAGGGAAAATGCAAGGGCCAGTGCAGGCCTGAGAGGCGCTTGTCTGGAGTCCAGGGGTCACTCCTGGCTCTCAGAGCAACGACAGTGGGGTGAGCAGCTTCCTGTGTTCCCAGCTCTGGGAAAAGCTTCTGCTTTCCGTCTCTAGGTCAGTGTCTTCTCCCAGCTCCAGATTCACATGGCCACCTGCCCGGCAGCCACCCCACCCATAAACAGTGAATGGGTGGTTAGCTCCTAACCTGGCCCCTCAAGCTCCTCATCTCCCCAGCCTGCTCCACCACCATCCTCCCCATCTCAGCACCTCCCTCCCTCCAGGGCTTAGGCACCTCCCTCCCTCCAGGGCTCAGACCCAGACCCTGGAGTCACCTTAGCTCCTGTCTGTCACCCCAGCACCTGGCCCACCATGCAGCTCTGCTGTCTCCTCCTATCCAGGTTTATCCCAAATCCAGCCGGTCCCCTCCATAGCCACAGCTCTGGTCTGAGCCACCACCCTGCTCTCCTGTGGATCACAGTAGGGGCCTCTCGGCAGGCAGCCCCAGCCCTCACCCCACATCCTGGTTCTCATGCAGCCAGAAGCACCCCGAAATCCTGCACTGAATCACCACCCTGCTCTGCTCCAAACCCACCAGGAAGGTCCAGCTCACTCTCAGTCCTCACCCACTGCCACACCTGGCCTGGCCCCAACCCTGCCCTGGCCTCATCTCCCACTGTCCACTTTCCCCTCCGCTGGCCTGAGCACTCCTCAAACTCACCAGGCAACTCCTGCCTCAGGGCCTGTGCGCTTGCTGTTCCTGGAATGTCCTCTCTTCTCTCTCTTCCCCCTCCCATCCCCAGGCACATTGTATGGTCCCTGTATTCATTCCATTTAAATATCTCCTCTCCAGCCTGGCTCCTGTGGGACCCCCCTTCCCGTTAGTCTCCATCCCGTCACCCAGATTTTCTCCGCAGCACTGCACCTTCACCCTGCATTCGGTCATGATCGCACTGCTCACTGTCTGCCTCCCTCTCTAGATTGTCAGCGCCCTGAGATCAGGATTCTGACCTTCTTGTTCACAACTGGAACCCCAGTGCCGAGAAGGGGCCTGCTGTGAGCAGGGCAGAGCATGTGCACCCACTGAGTGAGCGAGTGACCATTGCAGCCTCACTCCTGCGCTGCATTCCGCAGCATTCTTTCACATCCATGGTTTCCCCCGAGGCCCCTCAGGAACAAAGGCTCAGAGAGGGTGGGAGAAGTGTGCAGGGTCACACGTGCTTCCCCTCCTCCCTTTATGGGGTCCTGTGGAGGAAGGGGAGGCCTGACTGCACACTGCAGAGGCCAGGGCAGGGCAGAGAGACTCCCACGCATGCTACTCCAGGGATGGGGCCTGGAGGGAGGCTCCCGTGCGTGCTAGTCCAGGGCCTGTGGAGGAAGGAGACGCCTGACCTCACACTGCAGAGGCCGGGGCAGGGCAGGGAGATTCCTGTGCATGCTACTCTAGGGATGGGGCCTGGATTCTTCAGTGGGTCCCTGGGCAAGTCAGGCTCCCTAAATGCCCCACTGTAGGTGCCTGCAGTAACAAGAACAAGAAGGGCAGGGCATGCAGCAAAGCCACAAGGCACAGGCTGCGCACACCTACTGGCTGTGACCCTGAGCAAGTTACATAACTACTCTGTGCCTCAATGCTCTCATCTGTAAAGTGAGAGTAACAATTTCTGCCTACCTGACAGGGCTAAGGGAGGATTAAATGAACCAATATCTGAAAGTTCTCAGCATGATGCCTGGCCGATGAAAAAAACCTCAGAAAGTGTTAGTACTACTACTACTAATAATAATAATAAGCAATAACAATGAAGAGTTCATGGCCCCGTGACAGTGGTGCCTGGCACTGACCTCTGTGTTTGTTCTAATTCTCTCAAGACCCCTGAGAATAACTGCCACACAGATGTCAGCACAGGGGCTGGGCCTCCCTGCCCACTTTCTGCTTCCCAGAAAGTGGCCAACTTCCCCCTGGCCAACTATGCTTTCTAGCCAATATGTAAGTTATGGCTTTTCCTCTGTGGCTCAGCATAGGGAGCAGGGCAGGAGAAAGGCAGGGACTCCACCAAGGTCACACAAAGAGTGCCAGTGGGGCCTGGTCCACCCTTCTCAGGAAGGTCTGAGCTCCCTGTCCTGTGCTCCCATAATACCTAACCTTCACCTTGCAGATGAGTCACTGCAACTGTGCTTGCTCTTTAAGGTCTACCTTGCCTGTAAAAGCCAGAGCTGTTCATGCAAAATTTCCTGCACCTGGGCCTGAGTCAGAGTTGGTTCTCAACCAATATTTTTTAGTGGATGAGTAGGTAGGTGGATGGATGGATGATTGGATGGATGGATGGATGGATGGATGGATGGATGGATGCATGGATGCATGGACTGACAGATGGATAGGTGGATGGATGGTTAAGTAGGTGGGTGGATGGATGGATGGATGGATGGATGGATGGATGGATGGATGGATGGATAGATGGATGGATGCATGGATCGACAGATGGATAGGTGGATGTATGGTTAAGTGGGTGGGTGAATGGATGGATGGATGGATGGATAGATGAGTTCCAGTGTGAATGGATGGGTGGATGGATAGGTGGATGAGTCCTGAGATGAATGGATGGGTGGAGGGTAAGTGGATGAGTTCCAGAATGAATAGGTTTGTGGATGAGTTTGTGGATGGGTTGTGGCTGGGTAGACTTCAGAGACAGCACTCTCCTGGGACATATCATTGAGCCTTTCCCCATAATCTGAAACACAAGGAGGCTTCAATGGTGTGGGATCCAAATGGGATCCAAAAAAGATTCTAAAACCTTCTGAGTCAAGTGCATTTGGCCTCAGTGGGCCTCAGTCTATCCATCATGAAGTTGTGAGAAGAGGACCAGCCTGCCTGTGTTTCACGATTCCCGGGATGAACCCTCCTTAAAGGAGAGGTACAGTAGCACCTTGAAAAGGGTAAGTGCTGCAAAGACCTGGTTTAGAGGATAATGTTAGCCCTGCCAAGGGTACCAAGGGTGCAGCAGGGAGACACGCCCTGCCAGGCCTGTCCTGGGAGCATGCACGGGTTTGCCCTGGCAGGCATGCAGGTAGAGGGAGACAGCCGCCCTCAAGGCACTCATGCCCTCTAACCCAGTAATTCCACTTCTAAGAATGGACCCTAAGGAGGTAGTCAAGGATTTCCAGAGAGACTCACCTATGAGTGTGGTCATTGCAGGGTCAGAAAAGGGAAGATGTCCATGTAATAACAGACTTCAGCGTAAATAACTCATTTCTCTACACTGCAGGGCACTCCTCCACAGCGGAATATTACGCAGCTGTTCAAAGTGGGTTTTTGAAGAATGACTACATGGCATGGGAAACTCTTAAAAGATTACTGGAAAAAAATCAAGATAAGACAAACTGCACGTGGAGTAAGATCTCATGCCTATTGGGAGGAAGTCTCTTTCTGAGTATTTGCTTGGGAAAAAAGTCCTCAATAGGTATATACCAGAACGCCTGGTTATCTCTAGGTGGGGGGATTATAGCGTTTTTTCTTCCTAGTAATTTTCCATATTATCCAAATTGCATTTCAGGGGTGCAGGCCAGGGGGTGGCCCTGAGTGGGCCTCTGTCTCTGAACTTCCTTCCCTGGGGACCAAACAGGAAAACCCCCACCCTTCCCCTCCAGAAGGGAGGGATTCCTAAGGACAGAAGAGCTATGGAGGGAGGAAGTGCCCTGTCCAAGCCCTTTCAAACATCAGGATACATAAAACTCCAGGCCCTTACTGCCTGCATCTTATCTGAGAAGTGGGATTTTTGGAGCTATGTCATTGCCAGCTTTGCTGTCTCTCCGTGTTTTTTTCACCTTCCACTTTTTTTTTTTTTTTTTTTTTTGAGACGGAGTCTTGCTCTGTCGCTAGATTGGAGTGCAGTGGCACGATCTCGGCTCACTGCAATCTCTGCTTCCCGGGTTCAAGTGATTCTCC
Organism: Homo sapiens; assembly: GCF_000001405.40. Lineage (NCBI taxonomy): Eukaryota > Metazoa > Chordata > Mammalia > Primates > Hominidae > Homo > Homo sapiens. The sequence goes on from NC_000014.9 coordinate 101,627,441, forward strand.
TGCCTCAGCCTCCCCAAACTCCCACTGGGACTACAGGCGCCTGCCGTCACGCCCAGCAAATTTTTTTTTTTTTTTTTTTTTTTTTTTTAGTAGAGACGTGTTTCACCATGTTGCCCAGGCTGGTCTCGAACTCCTGAGCTCAGGCAATCTGCCCGCCTCGGCCTCCCAAAGTGCTAGGATTACAGGCGTGAGCCACCGCTCCCGGCCTCACCTTCCACATTTTCTACAATGAACAAGAAGAACTTGGCAAGTCAAGAGAAGAAGCAAAGCCATAGAGAGCTAGCCAGGGGCGTTGGCCGGCTGTGGATCTGTCCAGACCCAGGCCGCCCTCCTACGCGGGCCTGCTGCAACCTGCGCTGGGGTTGAGGCAGGAACCAAGCTTGGGGCCAACCGACTGCGTGGGACGTGGCTCCCGGATCTGCCCCTCACCAGCTGAGGACACCGGAGCGTCTCTCTCCAGGACTCAGTTTCCCCATCTGTGAAGTGAGGATAGTCCCACCCCCCAGCTCAATGGATCCCTGCGGGAGGAGGGAATGCGAGGCTGGTTGTGGGTCGGGGGGCCTCTTTCCGATTCTTCCTGAAGAACCCTGCACAGAGGAGACGGGGGACTGGGAGGGGCCTGGGTCTCCGAGTGTGGGCACGGGGAGCTGAGGTCTTGCAGCTCCTGGGTCTGGGGCGCCGGGGTTCTGTGAGAGCCCCAGCTTCGTCACGTACGACTTCCTCTCCTCTAATTGAGGGAATTGCAGAAGCCCCGGAGGGCGGCTGGTTCAGAGACCGAAACAAAGGCAGGATCAGGACCCTGGATCAGAATGGGGTCCACGCGTGAGTCTCTGTAATTAACGCTCTGGTGTCTCAAATTACGAGAAAATATATAAAACATGTAATTGCTTCTGTATTTTGGACACTCATTAGGAGAATAATAAATGTTATTATTTATTAATATGGTAATGAATCATCTCGCTTTTAAAATTAAACATTAAACCGCTAACAAATTAAATGTAAATTATTAGGCCCCGAGTTGATGGAAAGAGTTCCCCGGGGAGGGGCCGCTGGGCTCCTTCTTTGCAGAAATGAGTGCGTCGCCCTTTAACTAGGCGCGGAGGCTGCGAGCGGTGCGGGGTGACCTGAGGACACCCGAAGACACGGGCGACTCGCGGGGACATCCTGCCCCCTGCCGGCCGCGAGCGGGACCGCAGCGGCCCGCGGGTAGCGTCCCGCCGCGGAGGTGGTTTTTCCTTGTGATCTTTCCAGAAGCAGTGAAGCCCTCTTGGGCACCCGCGCCCCTCGCCTGGCAGACAGCCACCCGCTCGCGCACGAACTCGCTGCACAGAGCTGTCAGGAGTGGGGCGTGTGGCCTGGAGCGAGGCTGCTCGCGTAGGCTGGGCCTGGGCTCCTGGCCGTGTTGTCACCGCCAATCCCCACACACGCAAGAGAAAGCAGCTTCTAGCCTCATCTCACACACGGGAAAGTGAGGCTCAGAGATGTGTGGCCTGGCCGGGGTGCACAGCCAGTATCCGGTGGGCCTGGGATGCCAGCCCAGCCTGCCAGGCCCCAGGGTGGCCATCATGGAGTGGGACTCCCGGGCTGGCCCCCCAGAGCCTGTTCCAGGCACGTGCATTTGAATTAATGGGGTTACTGTTTCCTGAGGGCTCTTGCCAGACACCAGCTACTTACTGCACGTGGTTGAGCCCAATCAAGTAGGCAGTGTGCCCTGTGCCCATCTTACGCACGAGCAGACTGAGGCACGGAGAGGCTTCAGCGACTTGCCCAGGTCAGCAGCAAGGAAGTAGGGGCAGGAGAGAGAAGTAGGTCTTGCTGAGTCTAGAGTTAGCTCTTGACCACTCCAGGCCAGACTGGGTTCTCCCTCCTTCCAGGAGGAGGGCAGGCAGCCCCATCTGTGCCCATCCCTGCGGTGCACAAAACAGTGCAGCTTCCGGGCCACTGGCTGTGTTTCTAGGGATCACCTGAGTTAAAGCAAGAAAAGGAATCATTATTTTTTTAACCAATACATGATTTGGGGCTTAGAGGTTGTTTGCAGTCACTCTTATGAAGAATGCTACAGCAGACACCGTGGGTTCAAGGTTATTTCCTTGGGAAAGACTTCCAGAAGTCAAACTGCTGGAACCAAAGGCTGGGACAGCAGGATTTTGGCATGCATGTTATTAGGATCCTTCTCGTATATGTGTCCCAGCTTGCACTCATCTGGGGAGGGACTCAGAAAAGAGGGCCTCCTCCCCTCACAACCAATAGCACCCTTGAGATGGCCCAGGCTGGCAGGGTTGGAAAAGTCCAGCTCATCTATGGTCCAGTTCTCTGGTGGGCACTGACCCTTGAGCCAGCCACACCCACACCCACACCCACACCCATGCCTGTGGGGATCAGAGGTCAATAGATGCAGCCTCCAATGGTCTGAGGCTCCCTGACTTTCCTCCCGCCTTCTCTCCGTGTGTAATCCCAGCCCAGGGCCACCCTTTGGTGGCAAACACAGACACCCCTGTGTCAGCCATACGTATTCAGCCAAGGCTTTATGAGTACCTTCCACTTAGGAACCCTCACTTCTGTCTCTGCCTTCCCTTGCGATTATGAGTCCCAGCAATGGCAGCTGAGCACTCAGGATGCCCACTCCTGGCTCTGACTTTACGTCACTTTCTCAACACGTTACAGGTGAAGAGCCTGCCAAGTGGCCGAGCCACGATTTGGCCCCAGAGCCCAAGTTCTGTTCTTTCCTTGGGTCTCTGCTGTCTGCCCAGGCCTGAGCATGGTCCCTCAGACAGGCTCAGGAAGTATTTGTGGATGAATCAATGAACGACCCCGTGAGGGCCTTTGCCTTTCTCCCCTGCCAGGCTGGGAGCCCCCAGAAGACAAGTGGGGTTGACCATGTGCCTGGAAGGAGTCACGGCTCCTCTCTAGACCGGAACTCCCCACTAGAGCGATGGGGTGCCACAGGGTATCCCAGCAGGCCCGGCAAGCACATCACAGGAGCGTGGAGAAGCGGGACCAGCCGTGCCCCCATCCCTGGGAGCCCTGCCCCCAGCCTTGTCTAAGGCCTCACTTGCCCCATATCTGGTTTGGGGAGCAGGTTTCTCACCCCAATATGATTCTGTTCTCTGCCCCCTCTGCCCTCCTACCCCACACATCCCAGCGTGGATGGACGAGACTTCGCCCCTGCCTCCTGCCCGGGCCCCTGCCATGGGAAGGGGACGCATTATTGCTCTCTCTCAGGGCTATTCAGACACCAACTAATTTATTTCCCTCCTGCCCCCTTCCTTATTGATCAATGCTTTAGCTGAGTGGCTGTTAAATGACTTGTTCCCATAGCAACCATCAGATACATGCTCGGATCTGATGTGTCTGTTTCCTGAGCCAGATCGCCTCCTAAGAGCTTGGAGAGAACAAATCTCCTTTCATATCCGTCGCTGTCTTCTGAAAGGCACAGGATATTGTTCAGAACAAGTCATTTTTTAAAACAATATTAAAAAAAGAACTAGGTTTTTCAACAGATATAAAGTTGTTTCATAAGGTGCATCATTCTTAAGAAGTATTAAATCAGATTTTAAAAGCTTTGACCAAGTTAATCTTTCTTCTGCCTACTTTTCCTTCTGCACAGGGGGAAGTATGGAAACGGTCTCTGCATAAAGATACTCTGCTGCATCATTTATAAAAAGAAAAATTGAAAACAGCCTAAAAGCACAATAGACGATTCAAATGATCTATGGTTCACATACCTGTGAGGGTTTTATAGAGATGCTGAAACGCTGCTTAGAAGAGAGAAACACACATGTCAACAACGTGAAGTGAAAAAAAAGAAACAAGATTAAAAACTGTGTCTGCACGGGTGAGCATAATGAATGGAAAACAAAGCTAAATTATGTAGAGGAAAAAATACTCAGGAAAACAAACACAGTGAAATGTTGACAGAAGTGTTTCTTGTTGGCAGAGCCATGGGATTTTCTTCCTTATTCACTTACTTAATACATATTTATTGAGCACCTACTACGAGCCCAGCCCTGTCTGAGGCATTAACAGCACAACTGCTATTTCTACTGCCTATATTTTCCCAAATGTGTTTAAAACTGTTTTAAAACTATGTATTTTTTTCTTATTTTTGTTTGTTTGTTTGTTTGTTCTGAGACAGGCTCAAGTGATCCTCCCACCTCAGCCTCCCCAGTAGCTGGGACTACAGGCGTGCACTACTACACCCCACTAATTTTTGTATTTTTTGTAGAAACAGGGTCTCGTTGTGCTGCCCAAGCTAGCCTCGAGCTCCGGGCCTCAAGCAATCCACCCACCTCAGCTTCCCAAGCTCTGGGATTACAGGTGTGAGCCACCGTGCCCAGCCAAGTATAATTTTTTTTAATGACAGGGTACATGTTTCACCTGCCACGTTGCCAACAAATAAACATAAGACGCTCTGTTGGTGAGGAGAGGATATAGGAACACCAGCCCCGCCTGGCAGAAGAATGAATGACCACGACCAATAAAGGACCAGTTATCAACACTTAAAACCGACATACTTTTTCCCAGCAATTCCACCTGTAGTCATTGTCCCTACTGGGATTCTCTCCCACCTTTGTCGTGGGATGTTTACGAAGCTTGTTTACCGTGGCATGTGACTGCTGGAACCCCGAATGGTCCTCGCCAGGGGATGGCTACCCAGATCGTGGTTCAGACTCAGGAAAACACTGAGCCCTGAGAAGAACGAGGCGATCTGCCAGTGTGTGGAACACTAAGCTGAGGTCCCTAAGGGACAGAGCAAGGCGGATCACTTGAGATCAGGAATTCGAGACCAGCCTGGCCAACATGGTGAAACCCTGTCTCTACTAAACATACAAAAATTAGCCGGGCGTGGTGGCGGGCACCTGTAATCCCAGCTCCTTGGGAGGCTGAAGCAGGAGAATCCCTTGAACCTGGGAGGTGGAGGTTGCAGTGAGCCGAGATCATGCCCAAGATCTCTGCTCTTCCCCCGTCTTGCCTTAGTGATCCTGGGCATGTCCCTTCACCTCTGCGGCCTCAGTTTCTCATCTGCACAGTGAAGATGCTGATGCCCGCCTGGCTGATGCCCGCCTGGCTGCTTCCTGGACAGATTTCCCAGGATGTGCTGTGTGACAGGCCTTCCACACAGGCCCTCAGGCACCTTTTCTTCTTCCTGAGATGGAAACAACAAAAAAGTTGGTGCATGGTCACCAGCGATCCCCAAACTACGACCTCTGCCCTCTTTTCCTGCAGACCCCTCAAAAATCACGAAAGGGGCCCTTGCAATAGGGGGTCTCTATGGACTCAAACAAAGGGCTTTCCCTGGGAGGGGCTGCCGGCCTTTGCCTATAACATGCGTGATGTAGTTTTTAAGACTAGCAAAAGCCCAGCCTGGCATTATCTAGCATTGAGGTACAGCGTCTCACGGAAAGTTCTTTTTTATTCCCCAGGCTGTCCCCTTCTCCTCCATTCCCGGATAAGCCTTCACTCACCTCTGCACCTCACCAGCATCCACTCAGAGAGACCCAGCCCCTCAAACCCAGCCAGCAGGGACCACGCTGCACATTAAGTTTGCTCAACTGCTCCAGGTTATTTGAAAACTTATGAAACCTTTTTCTTAAAAAAATCAAAGTCCCATTGTGAGAGGGAATCCAGTACTTTCTTAAAAGTACTAACTCAGCAGCTGCAGGAATCTTCCTGACCTAAAGAAAGAGGAAGGAGAAAAAACACAATCACCCCTGGCTTCTGACACGCATACTCCTGGCTGGATTCTAGATTAGAACAAAGGGGACATAGGTCACGGAGCCATTTCTGTGCCTAGACACCACCTTTGATTTTGCAGGGTGGCGCACCAGGGCTTAGCCACAAGGGGGTCGTGATTCAGTGGGTATGAACTCCAGTGGGGGAGTGCGGGGAGAGACAGCAGGCCAGTGGTCCTTCGGGGAAGATGCGGGAGGGGGTTCTTTTTTAATTTTTCTGGTCTGTTCCACATAACTGAATGCCAGGGACCCAACCTGGATGGGTAGGGGGTGCCAGGTGCAGACCTGACTCTGCACTAGGAAGGAATGCTTGTCACCACCGGCAGGCATGTGTGCTTCTCAGCCCGTCCCAGAGGACAATCCCGAACCACTGATCCAAAGCCTTAAAACCCTGCAGAACTTTTGACCCAGGCCCCACTGCTAGGAATGAATAACATAGTAAAGATAGGTGGGACGATTGAGCTACCAGCGTGTTTATGACTACCACGTTTTCAGCAGGTGAAGTGCAAAGTGCCTAATGTTCACAAGAGGGGCTGAGTTGAGCAAAAGCAAATTTCAGTTCAGCCATACCCTAAAATATGAATACAAATATTGCCGTGGCTAATACCATGAAAACTTGGTCTCATCAAACCGTCTAGCAGATTACAAGCACTCTGGACAGTATGTTACTATGCAGAGACATAGGAAAATGTCTACGAAGAAATACACCAAAATGTTAATGACAGTCATCTCTGAGTGACTTCTCTTTGTTAATATCTCTGCATGTTCTGATGTTTCCCACAATAAACTGATGTATCTTTTGTTGATTTCAGAGCGTGGCCTTGAGGATGTTCCTTCACCTCTCTGAGCTTCAGGCTCCTCACCTGTACAATGAAGACAGCACCTGCCTCATGGATTTGCTAATATATGCAAAATGCATAGCTTGCTGCCTGGAAGATAATAAGTACCCAAATGTTAGCTGTTTTTATTTTTCGCTCAATTTTCTACATATAAACATGTCATTGTGCTCCGTGCTGGGGATATGGCAGTGACAGCTAAACTCCAGAAGAGAAAGATTAAACCAACACTCACAGACGATTAATCCGCTGCCGTGAGGACCAATGATGTATTCATTACAGTTAGGGATGCTGTGGTGGGGGGCACGTTGAGAGCATTTATCAGGGGAACTTTGTTGAGAGTTTTGATCATTATCTTAAGAGCAACAGGAAGCCTGACATTGAAGGCTTCAAGCAGAGCTGTGAAATCAGAAGTTCATGGTTTAAGAACTCACCATATCCACACCGTGGACTGAGAGGGGCCCCAGGGAGGTGCCTTCCCAGGAGGCTGCTGTGGGGGTGCGAACCACGGAGGAAGTGCTGCCACGGCAGATGGGGCGAAGTGGACAGACCCCAGCCCCTTCAGGAGGTGCAGTTTGCAAAATCTGGACACAGTGATGCCTCGGAGGGGCTTGTGGCGGGATGGTCGGGTGACCCCAGACCTCTAGTCTGATGTAGTGCGCCGATGGTTCCTGGATACAGAGGACTCAGTGGGGAGCAGGTCTGGGGCGTTGCGGAGTGTGTCTAGGGGAGTGTGTCTGGGGACATGCTGGTTTTGGGTTGCCTGGGCGGGGGAGGAGGGTGTCCAAGGGGATGTCCTGGAAGCAGAGCAGTCTGTGGTCGCTTTGAACTCGGGATCCGCGAGACCCCAGGGGTTCACCTCCATTGCATCCGGGAGAGACACCGGTTAGGGGATGCAGGACTCCCCAGCGCTGGGAGCGCGAGGCCTATCTAAAGGCCAGACGTTCTCAGAGTCCGAGGCTCGGGTACAGGTGTTGCGCCTCCGACGTGGAGGGGCGCGGGGCTGGGAGCCCAAGCCAGGTGCGCGGGTGGCCTCGCTGGTACACGAGGCGGCTCGGTCTCAGAGGGTCAGTGGGGGCCGGACCCTCAGCGTTGGTGGCCGCTTTCCTCTAGGGTGGGCGTATGGCCGCCTCCCCCAGGCAGTCCTCCTGCCTTGCCCGCGAGGCCAGCTCAAAAGCCTTTATGCCCGGGCCGCCCGCCAGGGGCGCCCTTCCCAGCCCGCGCTCGCCCGCTCTGCCTCGCCCACGCTCGCCCCCACCCCTGCCCTGAGCCCTGCATCCCGGGAAGCCCCCTCTGCAGGTACTCACTAAACATCGTGGAATGAGGGAAACAGAGACCCGGAGAGAGGAGCGCGGGGAGAAGAGAGCCCACGATGTTCCCAGCCCTTCTCCCAGTGAGATCATGAGTCATTTTATGTTCCAGCGTCTATGCTTCAACACCTTCCAGATTTTCCTCCGTGAGCTGGCATCTCCTCCGTGAGCTGGTGGAGTCAGAAACCAGCATTTTTCTATCACTGTTTCTGAAGATGTGCTGAATACGAACCAAAGACCAGGGCGCTCCGGGGAGGGGACCGGGCGGGCTCTAGCTTTGCGAGGTGCCAGGGGGTGTTGGTAGGGGCCGTGCCTGCTGCTCCCCCAGCGTGGGGCGGTCCTGGCGGTTTTCTGCTTGCCTCCTGGGCTCCCAGACAGCTTCCTCCAGCCCAGCTTCCCTGGCCCTAGAAGGAGTAAGCAGGCAATCCCTGGGATTTGCTTAAACCACCCACACCCCCAAAAATGTGTGTCCCCCTTTACTGGGAACGTGTTTACAGCTGTGTTATGTGGGGGTGTGTCCCATGCCCAGCGTGGGCCCCTGGTGGTGAGTAGTGTTGGGTACAGCTGGGAGCCTGGACTCCACCTCAGCTCTGTCCCTGGTATGTCCAGGGCCATGCCCGAGCCTCCTTTTCCTTGAATGGGACTCACCAGGTACATCTCCAAAGGAGGTTGTGAGCATTAAGTATCCAGGACTTGCCAGGGTGCTGGCACACAGTAAGCGCTCAATAAGTGCTGGCTACTGTGAGAATAACGTGAAGGGAACTGGATGGGGTGCTGGGCCTTGCTTTCCCCAGTTGCCCATACTCTGGCCCTGTGTGGCTTCCTCCTTTGGCCCGGCCAGCGTGGATGTGGTTGAGGATGACATATGTCTGTGGAAGGCCAGCTGACAGGCTCTGGGACAGCCATGACAAGTTAATGAATTCCGCTGTGGTTACTAAGGCACATGTCTGGGCCACGAGGACTTCTGTCTGCCGCACTGACCTTTAAAAGAGCGCCTCTAATACCCACCAATCACTCATGCTCTGATTGAACATTCAGAAGATGAAACCTGTCTGAGCTGAGAGTGATCAGTCATCCCTGCCGCCCCGTCACTGTCACTCCTTTCTGAATCATAATAAAACTTTGCAAAACTCTTTGGTTCACTCAGCAGCCTTTGCTGTGAAGACGGGGGCACTTTCTGACATACCTGGCGGTGAGGGCCAGCCCCGTACGCTCCTTCACCCACCCCAGCCCACACCGGGCACCCCTTGTGGGGAGGGGGTTCCAGCCCTGCCTGCGTACATAGCCTTTATTTTAATCCTTTAATAACCTTCTCGTTCAGCTTTCCATCTATCCATTGAGAAAACATTTATCAAGGATCACCTCAGTTTAAATGTCTTTGGCCACAAGGAACATAAAACCTGTCTCAAGCTAAAACCATAAAAACATGGATCATTTCATCTAACAGGAAGTCTAGAAGTGGAATGGGGTTCAGGGTGTGTGGTAGCTGGGTGTGGTCCTCAAAGACCCTGGTGCCTTCCATCTCTCTGCTCTGTTTTCCTACCTCTCTACCTCAGCGCTGGCTTCAAATGCAAAATGGAACCAAGATGGTGGCCAGCACTCCACTGTAGCTGGCCCCGACACCTCTCTCAGTGACTCTTTCTCTTTGGGAGTAACGAATCCTAAATTCAGTCACTCTTATTCTGGCACCTAAGATTGTATGGGTAGCCCCTCTCCAGAGAGTGCCCTAGATGCTACACCCAGGGGCATGACCTTGACCTTCCCATCAATCAGCCAACAGTCAGATTTCATCTAGCTGCCAGCTTTTTTAGTGAAGTTCTTTATTCTGCAAAGATATTTAGTTTTCTTTTTGATTAGCTCTTATTTTAATTCCCGCCTTAGAGGTCTATATTTTGTTTCTTTATCTTAGTGGTAATGACTGTTAGTGTTAGGTGCTTCCAAATAAAGCATAATTGATTTTGTTAATTGATATTTACAATTAGCCAGTTCTGATTCCTTTTTTTTTTTTTTTTTGAGAGGGAGTCTTCCTCTGTTGCCCAGGCTGGAATGTAGTGCCATGATCTTGGCTCACTGCACTTCCTCCTCCTGGGTTCAAGTGATTCTCCTACCTCAGCCTCCCAAGTAGCTGGGTCTACCAGCGTGCGCCACCATGCTTGGCTAATTTTTGATATTTTTAGTAGATGAAGGGTTTCGCCATGTTGGCCAGGCTGGTCTTGAACTCCTGACCTCAAGTAATTTGCCCGCCTGGGCCTCCCAAAGTGCTGAGATTACAGGCGTGAGCCACCTCGCCCAGCCACCAGTCTGATTCTTAACAAAAGTTCATAATGAATTATTATTTCAGAAATTTAAATCAATTTGTTTTAGAAACTTAAAAACAATGGTTAGGTTTTTTGTTTTTGTTTTTGTTTTTGTTTTGAGACCGAGTCTCACTCTGTTGCCAGGCTGGAGTGCAGTCACATGATCTCGGCTCACTGCAACCTCCGCCTCCTAGATTCAAGCGATTCTCCCACCTCAGCTTCCTGAGTTACTGGGATTACAGGCCCCCGCCACCATGCCCAGCTAATTTTTGTATTTTTAGTAGAGACAGGGTTTCCCCATGTTGGCCAGGATGGTCTCGATATCTTGACCTCCCAAAGTGCTGGGATTAACAGGCATGAGTCACCACGCCCAGCCAGGTTTTTTTAAAATAGGAATTTAACATACTTTAAGCAAATCAATACATTAATGAGGGACTATCAGCATTTACAGCACCAGGAAATCTATCTTTTAAAAAGGTTCATTATTATACATGTGTGTAGATAATAGTCACATTGCATGCCATTTTCAGCAATTTAATTCCTGAATTAAATGAAAATCAACACTTTAATACATCCTATTTTATTTAGTCCATGCTTCAATTTTTTTATTTTTGTTTATTTTTAAACTTTTAATAATGCAGACAGCCTTTTTAAAATCAATCTTCAGAAGCTGTAAAGGCCTCTGGTCTCCTTAAGCATTTCATATCCAAATTGATGTACTTTTACAGATATTTTTATGTTCTCTGTAATTGACAATATTTTAATTAAGACTGGAAAGTTATAGTCACAAGACAACCAATAATTCCCCCCAAAAGTCTAAGTCGTTAGTTAGGCAACATAATGAGAACTATCACACATTGGGATTCGTGTGCTCCTGACAATTATCCCTTTTCTGCCTTAAAGTCTTATTTGGATGGGAGAATTATCCAGAGAGGCAAGGGCGCCAAGTGGCCGGCACCACCTCACCACGCAATGTGCTTTTTGCCCAGAAAAAAAAGCTGTGACCTTTTCTAAGCATCCACAAGCACGAATTAAGAAACAAAGTTCTTGGCTAAGATCGATTGCCCCAGTATCCGATGGAGCCCAAGGAGCTGGTTACAAGGTCCAGCGATTACAACCTAAAGCCGAAATGACTCACGTAATTGCAGAATCGCTCATTCTAACAGCCTGATTGGAAATTGTCAACACTGTGTCTGGGACTAATGAAGCAAAGGAAATGGAAAAGGTGACATTTTCAAATAATATTATTAGTAAACGAATTGACAACATGTCAGATGACAAAGATGACACCAATCCAAAGTCTTATTAAGTCAAAAGAAGTTTTCATTGCAGATTGATGAATCTATATATTAATACATTACTAATTGGGCTCAGTTAATAGCACTAATTCGAATCCCAAAAGAAAAAGGCTGGGGAGGACACTGTTTGTTCTTTTGAGTAGTCCCAAAACAAATTACTGGGAATGAACCATTCAAACTGGACAATTAATACTTCGAGACACATAGCTCATGGTGGAGGCCCTGCTGTGTTGCATACAGATGTGGCTGTAATGATGGAAGGAATAACAGCTCTCCACCAAGAGTTTGTTCTAGAAAACCCTGAGATGCCAGTAATGCATGGCATTATTCACAGCCTCTGGTATAGAAAGTTTGCGTGCAGATCTGACATCCACGTTAAATTACATGATCAAATGACTGACTCTAATAAAATCCAAGCTGTGACAGAACCGTCTGTTTCAATGTTATGTGAAAAAAAAAAGTGTCATCAGAATACTGGGCTCGGCTGTTCCATGCCAAAGTGGCTGTCCAAAGAATGAGACTTGTCGAGAGCTTAAGAGCTAAGAGAAGAAATGGGGGTGGAAAAGTGTAAATGATTCTCACTTAGCTTCTCACTCGGCTTCAAAAAATGATGTACTTAACTTGACATTTTTGAGCACCTGAATGAACTTAATTGGAAATTGCAAGGACTGTCAGGCCGAGCTGTCCTTCCACCATTCGGGCTATGAAAAGCCGTTTCAAATGTGCAAGAACCCAGGAAATATTGTACTCACAAGCCCTTCCCAAGAAAGCTACCAGAAGGCTGGTGGAGAACATTAAATATGTATAATTGTAGGTCTCAGACTAACAGAAAAACAGAGACCAGAGTAGAAGAATAATAGATAACTATTATATGTTCTGACAAAATAGAAATAATGAACTTAAAATGGGAGGAAAAAAAGAGAGAAAGGGGAAACAGAACAAACTCATGGATTGTCACATAAATAATAGGTGGCAGACAAAGGATGTCACTTCATGCTGACAAACCAAATACTATTAGTTTGCACTGTGTGAAACTGACAATATCTGACCATCTTTTCCCTACAAAAATGCTAATCCTATATTGCTCAAGCTAATTAAACATTACAAAGGATATTAGAATAAAGACAGTCACTCAATCAAAAACGCAAACATGTCTAAATTGCAAAAGAAATGTAAAAACAAAAACACACTACAATGTAGGTAAACCATGAAAATACTATGCTTAGTGAAATAAGTCAGGCATAAAATGACAAATGTCTGATTTCACTTATATAAAGTACTTAGAACAGGCAAATTCATAGAGACAGAAAATAGAATAGAGGTTACTATGAGCTGTGGGGAAAGGGGAGATGGGGAGTTATTGCTTAATGGGTACAGAGTTTCTGTTTGTGGTAATAAACTATTTTGGAAATAATGGTGATAGTTGCAAAACAACCTAAATGTACTTAACACCACTGAATTATACACTTAAAAATGGTTAAAATGATAAATTTTATATTATGTGTGTTTTACCATATGTTTGAAAACTAATGTAATAAACCAAAAACCACTGACTTGTACACTTTAAATGGGTGAATTGTATGGTATGTGAAGTAAATCTCAAAGCTGCTTTTTAAAAACATAACAACACAGAAATAAAGGAAGTTATGCTTTAAAAAAAATAAGAGCAAGGAAAACAGACAACATTAAATATTGAGAAAGAAACAATAAATATTATATACAATAACATAGTAGAATGGAGACCAGCATATCAGTTATAGCAGTAACATGAATAGGTTTAACTCACTTACTAAAAGAAAAAGATTTTCAAATTGGCTTACATAGCAAGCCAACACTCTAAACACAGAGATTTAGACTGAAAATGAGGAAAATGGCCACAAACAAGCAGGGATTTGACTCTGCTTATTTATGGCCATCATTTTTCAGACAAGGTAGAATTCAGGCCAGAAAGCATCAAGCGTGAAAAAGATGTTACATTATTAGGCCAGTGGAAATTGAACAGTTAAGAATACCTGTGTGGCAAGAAGCACAGCAACCACTTTATAAAGCAAAAGCTACAGGAAATATAAGAAGAAATAGACAAAAACATACTACTAATAGGAGACTTATACACTGCTCCTAGTCAAATGAACAACAACAAAAAAGCAAGGTTATGGAGTAACTGAACAGTATAATCAATAAGGAAGATCTTCTGGTTATGTGTAAAATTCATATCACAACAAACAAAGATATACCTTGTTCTCAGATATGCATAGAACATTCACCAAAATAAACACACACACAGATCACAATACTCTTCATAAAGTAGAAATTATACAAATAATCCTTGTTGGTTATAGTACATTAAAACTAGACATTAAAAACTAATTCAAAAAGCAAATTTTTTGCCTGAAAATTTAAAATCTCTCTCAAATAACTGTCAGCTGAAAGTTAAAATACAAATGGAAATTGCAGAGCTTTTTTTAAAAAAATATAATGGCAATGCTACATATCGGCATTTTGGGGATACTGTAAGATGGTTATCAAAGAAAAATTCATAACCTCAAATACTCATATCAGTAACAAAGATAAGTGAACTAACTTTCCAATTCAAAAAAATTAGAAAGTTAACAAAGTAAACCAAAAGAATGTGCAATAGGGAAATAACAGAGATAAAAGTAGCAGGAAGGTAAAATGATACAGCCAATTTGGGAAAACAGTCTGGCAGTTCCTCAAAAAGTTAAACAAAAAAAAAAAAAATTACCATATGACCCAACAATTCTGCTCCTAGGAATATACCCCAAAGAAATGAAAGCATATGTCCACACAGAAACTTGTACATGAATTATTCATGATGCCCAAAAGATAGAAACAACCCAAATGTCCTTCAATGGATGATGGATAAACAAAATGTGGTCTATCCATACAAGGGAACATCACTCAGCCATAAAAAGGAACAAAGTGCTGATACCTGCTACAACTTGGATGTACCTCAAGAATGTTAAGTGAAAGTAGCCAGACACACAAGGTCACATATTGCCTGGTTTCTTTTATGTGATATATGCAGATTAGACAAATCCACGGAAACAGAAAGCAGCTTTTCTAGGAAAGTACAATTTACCGAAATTGATCCCAGTAAAGATAAGAAGTTGAAGCCATCTAGTTCCAGAAAAGAAATAGAGAAAATTGTAAATATATGTAAAAAGAAATAGAATAAAACAGAAGCCAACAAAATTGGTTAACTATAAGAGTAGACACCTTAAATACAAATTTGTAAATGCTCACCTCCACTCATAGTAAGGGAAAGGAAAGAAAATGAGACTTCTCTGTACCTTTTTTAACTATTTTGACTTTTAAATCATGTTAATATATTATACATTTATAAAATAAAATTAAATAAGATTTGGGGGAACACACTGAAATCAACAGAAACAAGCGGAGATAACTGTATATCAGTTTGATATCATGACCGCATAGAAGAAAATGATAATAACTACAAACACTTTTTGAACACATCGATCTGTTTGTGTAGAAGAAGAACTTAAAGAAATCCTGGACTTTATTGAAAAATTTGCTGTTGGTAGTGGATTTGGGGCTGCAGTCCCTAAACTATTTTCTGTTCATTGTAAGATTGAGCAAAAAGTAAATATATGGATGTTATTGAAAAGCAGGGTTCTTTTGGAGAGAAGGGGGATTCAAAAATGAAACGGGAGGAGGGGAAGAACTTCAAGATGTTGGAATGACATTAGAAGTACTGGTATGAAATAATTTTTGAGTATTTACTTTTTATCTGTCTCCACTAAACTGTCCTAGAAGCTGTTTAATAGGCCTGGGGCAAGGGAAGTAAAAAATATTTGTGCCAGAAAGTAAGGAAGCACTCAAAACTGCTAGAGACATGTCAAAAGTTTTCAAGAACACTTGAAGAGGCTATCGTCTGGAAAATTTGTAAAAATGTTATCCTCAATGTACTATAATGCATTAAATTTTAAAAAGAAATTCTGAAGGGCAGTGGGATTCTGACTCTAGCCATGACAGAATGACTTGTAGAGCTAATCCTCTTACTGACAACAACTGCAAAAGATAGTTAAAACGGCCGGGCGCGGTGCCTCACGCCTGTAATCCCAGCACTTTGGGAGGCCAAGTTAGGCGGATCACGAGGTCAGGAGATCGAGACCATCCTGGCTAACACGGTGATACCCCGTCTCTACTAAAAATATAAAAAATTAGCCGGGAGTGTTGGTGGGCGCCTGTAGTCCCAGCTACTCGGGAGGCTGAGGCAGGAGAACGGCGTGAACCCGGGAGGCGGAGCTTGCAGTGAGCCGAGTAGAGATCGCGCTGCTGCACTCCAGCCTGGGGGACAGAGCGAGACTCTGTCTCAAAAAAAAAAAAAAAAAAGATACGTAAAACATATAAGACAATTATATGAAGGCATTAGAGACCAGCCAAGGCCAACAGAACTTGAAGGGTTATGAACACTGAGAGAAGGTAAGTACATGACATACATTTCACAAATATCCTCACATTTTCCATAAGGGCATTTTCTACTTCCCAATTCAGAAAAACAAAGTCCAAGAAGAAAGCAGAAGTCTTTGCAAGTTTAGGAGACAGAAGTTGGAGTTTAGAGCTGCCTAACCATCTGGGACTTAGGGGATAAAATTCTGAGGTGGTGGGAACCATGAGGAAGTAAGCATAAAACTCTCTGTACAATTCAAATTAGAGTTTTATAACTAGAGTGTTAAACGTAATCACCACAGTAACCACAAATAAAATAGCTAAATAATATACCAAAAAAATGGAAATGAGAAAGAAGTTTAAGTGTGTCGTCAAGACGAAAAAGAAACGAAGGTAATAAGGGACAAAAGAGCTACGAGGCTTAGAGAAAACAAATAGCAAATAACAAAATGACGGAAATAAGTTCTTCCTTCTTGGAAACTACTTTAAATGTAAATGGATTAAACTCTCCAATCAAAAGTGATTGGCAGAGTGGATTTAAAAAGCACGATCCAACTATATGCTGTCCACAAAAGGCTCACTTTCCATCCAAAGACAGAAATAGGCTGAAAGTGAAGAATGTAAAGATATTCCATGAAAATAATAACCAAAAGAGACCAGTAATAGCTATACTAATATCAGACAAAATAGATTTTAAATCAAAAAAGCTTATAAGAGACAGAAAAAGACTTATATATTAGTAAACCATTCCATACAGAAAGATGACATAAACAGTTATAAACATTTTCACAACTGGTATATAAAGCATCAAATATGTAGAGCAAAAACTGACAAAACTGAAGAAAGAAATAGATCTATAACAATAGTTGGACAATTCAATATCCCATTTTTAATAATGGATAGAACAATCAGACGGAAGATAAGTAAGGAAATATAGGACTTGAACAACACAATAAACCAATTAAATCTAATAGACATGTACAGAACACTGTGCCCAATAACAGTATACACATTCTTCTCAAGTGTTCACGAGATATGTTCCAGGATAAAATATATGTTAGACTACAAATTATGCCTTAATTAATTTTAAAAGATAAATATAATACAAAGTGTCTTCTCTGACCACAACAGAATGAAGTTAGTAATCAGTCACAAAAGGAAAACTGGAAATTTCAAAAATTTGTGGAAATTGAACAACACACTCTTAAACAGCCAATGGATCAAAGGAAAATAACAAGAGAAGTTAGAAAATACTTAGAGATGAATGAAAACAGAAACAAAACACACCAAAACGTATGTAACACAGCAAAATCAGTCCTAACAGAGAAATTTATACCTATAAATCTTCCTTTAAAAATTAAGAAAGATCTCATATCAACAACCTAAATTTACAACTTAAGGAACTAGAAAAATGAAAACAAACTAAGCCCAAAGCTAGCAGAATGAGGAAAATAATAAAGATTTAAAAATTTTTAAAGAAAAATAATAAAGAAAATCAACAAAACCAAAAGTTAGCTCCTCAAAAAGATCAACAAAATTGACAATTCTTTAGCTAGATAGACAAAAAAAAAAAGGAGGGAGAGCAAGAGCACTCAAATTATTGAAGTCAGAAATAATTTCTAAATTACTGGGAGTATTACTACAAATTCTACAGAAATAAATAGGATTGTAAGAGAGCACTATGAATAATTGTACATCAACAAGTTAGATAACCTAGATGATATAGACAAATGTCTAGAAACCCAAAACCTGACAAGACTAAAATGTGAGAAAATGGAAAATCTGAATAAACGTATAACTGGAAAGGAGATTTAAGCAGTAATTTAAAATCTTCTGACAAAGAAAAACTCTGGACATGATGGCTTCCTAAGTGAATTCTAAAAAACATTTAAAGATGAACAAATACCAATTCTTCTCAAACATTACTAAAAAATTGAAGAGAACACTCCCAAACTTATTCTATGAGGCCATCATATGCTGATATCAAAGCCAGACAAAGATACCACAAGAAAACTACAGACCAAGATTCCTTAGAAAATTATGCAAATTTCCTCAACAAAATACTAGCAAACTGAATTCAGCAACATATTAAAAGAATTATACAGCATAACCAAGTTGTATTTATTCCTGAAATGCAAAGACATTTCAACATATAAAAATCAATCAATATAATACACCACACTAACTAAAAGGGGGAAAAAAAGACACGGTCATCCTAACTGATATAGAAAAAGCCTTGTATAAAACTGAACACATTTTCATGTTAAAAACACTCAACAAGTCAGAAATTGAAGGAAATTGCCTTAATGTAATAAAATCCATATATGAAAAACCCACAGTAAACATCAAATTCAGTAGTGAAGGACTGAAAGCTTTTCCTCTAAGATCAGGAGTAAGGTAAGGATGCTACTGTTACCACTTCTATTCAACATAGTACTGGAAGTCCTAACTAGAACAACTGGGCAAGAAAAAAAGGAATCCAAATTGGAAATAAAGAGGCAAAATTATCCCTGTTCACAGATGAATTGTATGTAGAAAACTCTAAAGATTCCACCAAGAAAAATATCTATTATAGCACTAATAACAAATTCAGCAAAGTAACAGGATACAGGGTCAACAAGCAAAAATTAGGGCATTTCTGTACACTGTCATTGAACAATCCAAAAAGGAAATTAAGAAAATAATTTCATTAATGGCATCAAAAAGAGTAAAATTCTTAAGAATTAACTTAACCAAAGGATAAAAGATATGTACAATGAAAACTATAAAATATTGCTGAAAGGAATTAAAGAAGACATAAATAAGTGGAAAAACATCCCATGTTCATGGATTGGAAGGCTTAATGTTGTCAGGATGTCAGTACTACTCAAAATAATCTACAGATTCAAGGCAATCCTGATCAAAATCCCATTAATGTTTTTGCAGAAATAGAAAAAGTCATCCTACAATTTATGTGGAAGTTCAAGGGATCCCTAATAGCCAAAGCAATCCTGAAAGGAAAAAAAAGAACAACAAAGATGGAGGAATAACACTTCTTGATTTCAAAATTTGATACAAAGCTATAGTAATCAGAACAGAGTGGTACTGACATAAAGACAGACATGTAGACCAATGGAATAGAACAAAGAGTCCAAAAGCTTTGCATATATGGTCAAATTATTTTCTACAAGGATGCCAAGACCACTCAATGGGGTAAAGGCAGTCTTTTCAACAAGTGATGCTAGGAGAACTAGATACACACATGCAAAAGAATGAAGTTGAACCCTTACCTGAAACCACATACAAAAATTAACTCAAAATGGATTAAAGCCCTAAACATAAGACCTAAAATTATGAAACTCCTAGAAAAAACATAGGGCAAAATCTTCATAACATTGGATTTGGCAGTAATTTTTTGGATGTCATACCAAAAGTACAGGCAACAAAAGAAAAAAATAGAAAAAATTGACTTTATGAAAATTGAAAAATTTTATGCATCAAAAGACATAATCAACAGAGTAAAAAGAAAATCTACATTACAGAGAAAATACACAAAACTCTTTAAACTCAACACCAAAAAACAAACAACCTGATTCAAAATTGAGCAAGGATTTGAATAGACATTTCTCTAAGAAGTCCACAAATGGCCAATAAGCACAGGGAAAGATGTTCAGCATCACTAATCATTAGAGAAATGCAAGTCAAAGACCTCACACCCATTAGGATGGCTATTTAAAAAAAAAAAAAAAAAAAAAAAAACAGAAAATAAAAGTGTTGACAAGGATATAGAGTGATTAGAGCCTTTGTACACTGTTGGTGGGAATGCAAAATTATATAGCCACTGTGGAAAATAATATAGCTGTCCCTCAAAACATTAATAATAGAATTACCATTTGATCCAGCAATTCCACTTCTGGGTATATACCCAAAATAATTGGAAGTAGGTTCTCACAGAGATATTTTTACAGCCATACAAATAGTACCATTATTCACAATAGCTAAAACATGGTAGCAACTCAAGTGTTCATTGATTAATGAATGAATGAATGAATGAATGAATGAGCAAAATGCATTTTATATATTACTGGAATATTGTTTGACTTTTTAAAGAAAATAAATTCTGACATACGCCACAGCATGGATGAAGCTTGAGTGCATTGTACTAAGTGAAATAAACCAATCACACAAAGCCAGTCACAGACCATACCTTAGGAGTAAGGGGAAACTGAAATAGGCCAAACCTAACAGAGCTTAAAACTAATGCTCAGCAAGATCAAGGTGGCCTGTTACTCTGCATGCCAGAAGAAAAAGTTAGCTCTCTCAGGAGGAAAATAACGTTGTCCATAGTCTCTTCATATTTACACTTATAAGGGCTGACATCCAAACAAAAATTATGAAGCATGCTGAAAAGTGGGGCAGGGTTCTGGGAGGGTAACAAAATGGCTAAAAACCAAGAGATGAAAACAAACAATAGAAACAGACCCACAGGTGATTTAGATAGTTGATCTATCAGTGAAGAAATTTTAAAATAACTATGATTACTATGTTCAAGAAAACAGATAAATTCACTAAGGACTTGGAGTTTATAATCTTACAATATTCTAATGGGAATTCTAAAAATGAAAAATATTAGAAGAAAAAATTAATAGATGGTAGTAGGAGCAAAAGGAAAGAGAAAATCCAGATTGAATCACAGAAATAAAAAATCTAATGAGATTGGAGACTATTATTCTAAGTGAAGTAACTAAGGAATGGAAAACCAAATATCATAGGTTCTCACTGATATGTGGGAGCTGAGCTATGAGGATGCAAAGGCATAGGAATGATACAATGGACTTTGGGTACGTGGGGGTAAGAGTGGGAGGGGGACAAGGGATAAAAGACTACAAATGTGATACAATATATACTGCTCAGGTGATGGGTGCACCAAAATCTCACAAATCACCACGAAAGAACTTAGTCATGTAACCAAATAAAAACTGTACCTCAATAACTTATGGAAGAATAAAAAATAAAAAAACTAATGGAGAGAGTGTCTCATACACACAGAACAGACTGCAGCCTCAAGATATTCATAACCAGAGATGATTGAAACTAACTAGACCAACAACCCGCAACTGACCCAGTTCCTAATCAGTTCTTAATCCTATCTTCTTTGTGGCCTTGTCAAAAATTAGTTGATTGTACATGCTTAGGTTTATTTCTGGGCTCTCTATTCTATTCCATTGGTCTGTATGTGTTTTTTATACCAGTATTATACTGTTTTGATACTATTGCTTTGTAATATAATTTAAAATCAGGAAGTATGATGCCTCTGGCTCTGTTTTTCTTTATATATATACACACACACACACATACACACATATATGAAAAGAATATGTATACACACAGTTTTTTAGTTTTAATTGACAAATAATGATGGTGTATATTAATGGAGTACAATGTGATATTTTGTGACACGTATACATTGTGAAATGATAAAAATCAGGCTAACTAACATATCTGACATCTAACTTTTTTTTTTTTTTTGAGACAGGCTCTCACTCTTTCACCCAGGCTGGAGTGCAGTGGTGCAATCATGGCTTACCGCAGCCTCAACCTCCCAAGCTCAAGCAATACTCCTGCCTTAGCCTCCAGAGTAGCTGGGATTATAATGCCACCATGTCTGGCTATTTAAAAAAAAAATTGTAGTGTCTCACTGTGTTACCCAGGCTGGTCTCAAATTCCTGGGCTTAAGCAATCCTCCTGTCTCGGCCTCCAGAGTAGCTGGGACTACAGGCACATGTCACCATGGGTGGCTATATTTTTTTAATTTTTTTGTAGAGATGGGGTCTCACTGTGTTACCCAAGCTGGTCTCAAACTTCTGGACTCAAGCAATCCTTCCACCTCAGCCTCGCAAAGTTCTGGGATTACACGTGTGAGATGCCACACCCAGCCATTATCTTTCATTCTGTTAACGTGGTATATCACATTGATTGTTTTGCACATGTTAAAACAATTTTGCATCCCATGAAAGATCCCACTTGGTCATGGTATATACTCTTTTTGATGTGTTGTCGAATTTGGTTGGCTAGTATTTCATTGAGGAATTTTGCATCTATGTTCATCAGAGATATTGGAATGAGAAAGACAATCACTAACACTGAAATGATATCGATGTTGGGATTCTCCAACAAGGATTTAAAGTGGTTCATCATAATGTGCAATTATAAACATGCTTGAAACAGATGAAAACATATAAAGTCTCAACAAAGAAATAGAAAATATAAAGAAGAACCAAATGGAAATTCAAGGATTAGAAAGTATAATAAGCCAAAATGTAAGAACTCACTGAATGGGATCAACAGCATAATAGAGAGGACAGAGGGAAAAAAATCAGTGAACTTGAAGATAGAATAGAAATCAGTAAATCTTAACAGAGAGAAAATGGAATGAAAAATATGAATAGAACTTCAAGGACCTATGCAATGATAACAGAAGGTCTAATGGTCTAAGCGTTAGAGTTCCAGAAGAAAAAAAGAAAGAGGATGGGGCTAAAAACTATTGGAAGAAATAATGATGGAAACTTTCTCAAATTTGGCAAGAAACATAAATCTACAAATTAAAGGAGATCAAACTCCATACAGGATAAATGCAGAAAAATCCACACCAAAATGCATCATAATCAAACTTCAGAAAACTAACAACAAAGAAAAAAATCTTCACACACTGAGAAATGACACATAACCTACAGGGGAAAACCATTCGAATGACAGTGGATTTTTCATCAGAAACCATGGAGGCTATAAGGAAGTTATGTGATATTTTTCAAGAGAAAATAACTGTCAACCTTTAATTCTACATGGAGCAAAACTGTCCTTTAGGAATGAAAGAGAAACAAAACATTGTAACATGAAAGAAAACTAAGAGAATTTGATGCCAGAAGATCAACCCTAATGGGCTGGCCAAAGGAAGTTCTTGAAACAGAAAGTGATAAAAGAAGTAACCTTGGAACATCGGGGGGAGAAAAGGGAAGAATATAAGGAGCAAAAAATGGGTAAACACAAAAGAGTTTCCTTCTCTTTTGAGTTTTCTAATTTATATTTGATAGTCAAACCAAAAAGTATAACAGTGCCTGATGCAGACATCAATGAATAGAGAGAAAATGTTAAGGCAATTCTATTATAAACAGGGGAGGTAAAGAATGCAAAGGGAAGAAGGTTTTACATTTCACTCAAGCTAGTAAAATGTTGGCTCCGACAGATCTTTGTGGTATGAAATAGGTCTGTAACTTGATTGCAGTAGTGGTTACATGAATCTACATATGCCATAAAATGGTATAGAGCTATACACACACATGACACCAAATGTCAGTATCTTGGTTTTGATTTTGCACTATAATTATATAAAGTGTAACTATTGAAGAAATTGGATAAAGAGTGCATGGATCTCTCTGTGCTATCTTTGCAACTTACAGTAAATCTATAATTATTTCAAAATAAAAAGGTTTTTTTTAAAATATGAGGTAAAATAAAGACATTTTTAGAAAAAACAAAATCTAAATCATCACCAACAAACCAGCAATACAAGAAATACTTAAGCAAATTAATAGCCCCAGATGGGAACACAGAATCATGAAAAAGAATGAAGAGTATGGGAAAGAGTTAATAAGTGGGTAAATATGTATTTACATTATTTATAAATAATGTATGTCAACTATTTGAGACAAAAATATTAAGGTGCTATGTGATCATAAAAATGAAGCAAAAATATATGAAAATTAACATAAAGAGCAGAAGGGGAGCCAGGCACCGTGCACTCACCTGTATTCCCAGCTATTTGGGAGGCTGAGGCAGGAGGATAGCATAAGCCCAGGAGTTCCAGGCTATAGTGTGCTATGATCATGTCTGTGAATAGCCTCTGCACTCCAGCCTGGACAATGTAGTGAGACTCCATCTCTTTAAAAAAAAGTGAAAGGGGATAAATAAAGTTAAATTTTTGTAAGATTCTCGCACTCTTTGGGAAGTGATAAAAGCACTAACTTAAGGTAAACTATAATAAGTCAAGAATGCACATTGAAATCTTTTGTCTTTGGAATCCACTAAAAATGATATAAAAATGTCTGCCTAAAGATCTGATAGATCTAATGTACTGATTACTTCTATCTGATTACTTCTAAATAAGACAGGAAAAGTCAAATAAGGAACAAATAACAGCTGGAACACACAGAAGACATAGTAGTAGAATGGTAGACTTAAACCCAACTACATCAGTTAATTTTTATTAAATGTAATGAAATAAACATTGTCTGGATAAAAATCAACACCCAACTGCATGCTGTTTACCATGTCCGCACTTTATATATAAGGACTGAATGACACAGAAAGGTTGAAAGTGAAAGGATGGGAGAAGAAAAACCATGCTGTTGCTAACCAAAAGGAAACTGGAATGACTACAATATCACAGCACAAAGTTAACATTAAGGCCAGAAGTATTACTAGAAACAAAGGTATTCCATGATTATTAAAGAATCGATTCAACAGGAAAACATTAAAAATTCTAAAATAGGTCAAAGAAGAAATAGCAGGGGAAATTATAAAATACTTTGAAATGAAAATGAAGATACAACATACCAAACTCATGGGGTGCTTAGAGGAAAATGTATAGCTCTAAATCTATTTATAAAAAGAAAAAAGAAGTCAAATAACCTGCCACCTTAAGACACTGAAAAAAGAAACACAAACTAAGCCTAGAGCAAGCAGAAGAAAGACAATAAAGATTAAAGAAGAAACTAATGAAATGGAGATAGAAAATCAATAGAAAAAATATCAACAAAACCAAAAGTTAGTTCTTTGAAAAGATTAATAAAATTGGCAAATTCTTACTCGACTAGCCAAAGAAGGGATAAATTTCAAATTACTAAAATCAGAAATGAAAGAGAGTGCATGACTGTTAGCCTTAGTAGAAGTAAAAGAACTGTAAAGGAATACTACAAAAAACTATATGCCAATAAATTAGACACATTGGATAAAATTGAAATTTTTCTAAAAAGATGCAGACTAACAAAATAGACTACAGAAGAAATAGAAAATCTGACTAGACCTATAACAAGTTAGGAGATTTAATTAGTCATGAAAAAATGTCACCAACAAGGAAAAGCCAAGACTTAGGTGACTTCACTGGTGAATTCCACCAAACATTTAAAGAATTAGTGCCAATTCTTCACAAACTCTTTAGAAAAATAGAAGAGGAGAGAAAACTACCTAATTCATTCTATGAAATTAATATTCCCCTGATAACCAGAAAAATACATCACAAGATAAACAACTACAGACCCCTATATCTTGTGACTACAGATGCAAAATCCCTCCACAAAATACTAACAAACAAAATTCATCACCTAAAAAAAGGATCCCACCATAACCAAGTGGGATTTACCACAGGAATGCAAGGTTGATTTAATTAATTAATTAAGAAATTAATTGATATAAAACACCATATCAATAGAATTTTTAATAACACAAAAACTACAGTATTATCTCAATAGATGCAGGAAGACTGTTTGACAAAAATCCAGCACCCTTTCATGATTAAAAAAACACACACACACACACTTAACAAACTAGGAATAGAAGAGAACGTTTCATAGATACTCTTTGAGGGGTCCTCAATCTGACAAGCATCTATGAAAGCATCTATGAAAAACCCAACTCATACTATTGGCTAATATCACACTGAATGGTGAAAGGCTGGATGCTTTTCCCTAAGATCAGAAATGAGACAAGAATATTCACTCTTGTCACTTCTGTTTAACATAGCACAGGACATTGTAGCCAGGGAAACTAGGTAAGAAAAATAAATAAAAGGCATCCAGATTAGAAAGGAAGAAGTAAAACAATCTCTATTTGCAGATGACATGATCTCATATGTAGAAAATCTAAGGAATTCATTGAAAATTTGTCAGAACTAATAAATATCTCCAGCATCTTTAAGATTAACAGGGTTTAATTTGTGAATTATGTCTTTCATCAATTTTGAAAAAATTATTGAGCAGTATCACTTCAAACATCACTTCTTCCCCACCCCTCTCTAGGACTTCAACTAAATGTCATACCTTTCATTCTTTCTCACGTGCTTCTAATGTTCCTTCTATATTTTCCTCTTTTTTTCCCTCTATATGTTTCAATTTTAATACATTCTATTGGTCTGTTATCTATTTCATTAATTCTGTCATTGGCTTTGTCTAATTCTTTGTTAAATCCTTCTAGAGAGTTCTTATATTTCAGGTACTGTATTTTTTATTTATAGAATGCTTGTTTGATTCTTTTTATGGATTTCAATTCTCTCTTGAAATTCACCAACTTTTCACGGGTTTTCTCCATCTTCTTTCTGTTTTCTTGAGCATATTAATCATGGTTACCTTAAAACTGCTATCTGCTACCTCCAGTATCTAGATCAATTTTGATTCATTTTTTGTTGGGTTTTTGTCTTGGATCTCAGTTATTTATAATAGCTCTCTATTATAAATAATGTCCTCATCATTATACCTATACATGCCTATCATGTTTGGGCATTTGGGGTGGTCCTAGTTGGCTTGCTTCCACAGGGGTGACTTCTCCCTTTCTGCTTGATTTGCACCAAAGATGAGTCTTAGTTGCTGTCTAGTGCACAAGCAGTTTTTTCTGGCACCACTCTTCTCTTCTAAGACTGATTGTGGGAGGAGACTAGTGGCATGAACCAGATACAGTCAGGGGTCAGATGAATGACTGACCAGGAGGGTCTTCATCTAGAGACCATTCTCAGGATTTGGAAGATTGCTCCCCCTTTCTTATACGTGCATCTAGTCCGCATCAGTTTCCAAGTGTTTCTTTCATAAGACAATGCCAGGTGGCATTGTCTCCTGGAAATCCCTGGGTTGGAAATCCCCAGGTCAGGCTGCATCATGTTGCTAAGTGACATGTATTAGCCCTGTGAGATGCTTAAGTGGGCCTTATGGCTACCATTAATCTGATAGCCATGATATGCCTCTTACAGTATACTATAATCTTTGTTTAATATGATCTTATTTTTCTAGTTTAAGGTGGAAGAAGAGGTTATTGATTTGAGAATTATCACTGGTAATTTATGTTTATTGCTACAATTCCCCACCCCCACTGTGGTGCTTTTACAGCATCCCACAAATCTAATATGTTGTGTTTTTATTTGCATTAAGTTTCCAATATTTTCTAATGTCTGTTTTGATACCTTCTTTGATCTATGAATTATTTACAAGTATGTTGTTTAGTTTCCAATTATAAGGGGGTTTTCCAAGGATTCTTCTGCTACTGATTTCTAGTTTAATTCCACTGTGGTGAAACAGCACACAGACATTTCGCATTTCATTGCACTTTGCTTCATTGAGATTCACAGATCTTGTGTTGTTTACAAATTGAAGGTTTGTGGCAACCCTGCATCAAGCAACTCTATCAGCACAATTTTTCCAACTGCATGTGCTTGCTTCAAGTCTCTGTGTCACATTTCAGTAATCCTCACAATATTTCAGAATTTTTCATTATTATTATATCTATTTTGTTGACCTGTAATCAGCGATCTTTTATGTTACCATTTTAATTATTTTGGGGGCACCACAAACTGCATCCGTGTAAAACAGCGAACTTAATCGATAACTGTTGCGTGTTCTGACTGCTCCACCGACCAGCCATACTCCCATCTCTCCCCCTCTCCTTGTGTCGCTCTATTCCCTGAGACACAACAGTATTGAAATTCAGTCAATTAATAACCCTACAATGGCCTTTAAGTGTTCAAGGGACAGAAAGAATCACACATCTCTCATTTTAAATCAAAAGCTAGAAATAATTAAGCTTAGTGAGGAAGATATGTCAAAAACCGAGATAGGCTGAAACTTAGGCTCTTGCATCAGAAACAGCCAAGTTGTGGAGGCAAAGGAAAAGCTCATGAAAGAAACTGAAAGTGCTACTCCAGTGAACACACAAAGGATAAGACAGTGAAACAGGCTTATTGCTGATATGAAGAAAGTTTTAGTGTTGTGAGTAAATAAAACCAGCCACAACATTCCCTTAAGACAAAGCCTAATCCAGAGCAAAGCCCTACCTCTCTTCAATTTTATGAAGGCTGAGAGAGGTGAGGAAGCAGCAGAAGACAAGTTGGAAACCAGCAGAGGTTGGTTCATGAGGTATAAGGAAAGAAGCCATCTCCATAACATAAAAGTGCAAAGTGAGGCAGCAAGTGCTGATGTAGAAGCTGCAGCAAGTTATTCAGAAGACCTAGCTAAGATCATTAATGAAGGCAGCTAGATTAAACAACAGATTTTCAATGTAAATGAAACGGCCTTATATTGGCAGAAGATGCCATCTAGAACTTTCATAGCTACAGAAGAGAAGTCAATGCTGGCTTGAAACATCAAAGGACACGCTGACACTCTTGGCAGGGGCTAATGCAGCTGGTGACTTTGAGTTGAATCCGGTGTTCATTTACCATTCTGCAAATCCTAGGGAATTATGCTAAATCTACTCTGCATGTGTTCTCTAGATGGAACAACAAAACCTGGATGACAGCACGTTTACAGCATGGCTTACTGAATACTTTAAAGCCACTCTTGAGACCCATGCTCAAATTTCTCTCAAAATATTACTGTTCATGACAGTGCCTGTAGTCAACCAACAGCTCTGATGGAGGTGTACAAGGAGATTAATGTTTTTATGCCTGCTAGGACAACGTCCATTCTGCAGCCCATGAGTCAAAGCGTAATTCTGACTTTCAAGTCTTGTTATTTAAGAAACACGTTTCATAACACTATAGCTGCCGTAGGTATGCTTCCCCTGATGGAGCTAGGCAAAGTAAATTGAAAACTTTCTGGAAAGAATTCACAATTCTAGATGCCATTAAGAACATTTGTGATTCATGGGAAGAGGTCAAAATAGCAGCATTAACAGGAGTTTGGGCGGGCACAGTGGCTCGTGCTTGTAATCCCAGCATTTTGGGAGGCTGAGGAGGGCGGATGGCTTGAGTCCAGGAGTTTGAGACCAGCCTGGACAACATGGTAAAACCCCATCTCTACTAAAAATGCAAAAATTAGCTGGCTATGGTGCCGTGCACCTGTAGTCCCAGCTACTTTGGGGGCTGAGATGGGAGGATTACCTGAGCCCAGAAGTCGAGGCTGCAGTGAGCCAAGATCACACCACTGACCTCCAGCCTGGGTGACAAAGTGAGACCTTGTCTCAAAATAAAACAAGAGTTTGGAAGACGTTGGTCCCGACCCTCATGGATAACTTTGAGGGGTTCGAGACATCAGTAGAGGAAGGAACTGCAGATATGATAGAAATAGCAAGAGAACCAGAATTATAAGTGGAGCCTAAAGATGTGACTGGATTGCTACGATCTCATGAGAAAACTTGAACAGATGAGGAGTTGGTTCTTATGGCTGAGCAAATAAAGTGGTTTCTTGAAATGGAATAACTCCTGGTGAAGATGCTGTGAACACTGTTGAAATGACAACAGAGGATTTAGAATATTCCATAAACCCAGTTGATAAAACAGTGGCAGGCTTTGAGAGGACTGACTCCAATTTTGAAAGTTCTACTGTGGGTAAAATGCTGCCAAATAGCATCACAAGCTACAGAGAAATCTTTCATGAAAGGAAAAGTCCATCAATGTGACAAACTTCATTCTTGTTTCATATTAAGAAATTGGGCCAGGCACAATGGCTCATGCCTGTAATCCTAACACTTTGGGAGGCCAAGTGGGGAATATCACTTGAGGCCAGGAGTTCCAGACCAGCCTGGACAATAAAAAGAGACCTTGACTCTACAAAAAAATTAAAGAAATCAGCCAGACACAGTGGCACATGCCTGTAGTCCCAGTTACTCAGGAGGCTAAGGTGGGAGGATCCCTTGAACCCAGGAGTTTGAGGTTGCAGTGAACTATGATTGTGCCACTGCATGCTAGCCTGGGTAAAGAGTGAGACCCTATCTCAAAAAAAAAGAAAGAAAGAAATTGCCACAACCACTGCCAGTAACCACCACCCTGATCAGTCAACAGCCATCAACATCAAGGTAAGATCCTCCACCAGCAAAAAGACTATGACTTGCTGAAGGCTCAGATGATAGTTAGCATTTTTAGCAATGAAGTATTTTGAATTAAGATATGTACATTGCTTTTTAGATATCATGCTATTGCACACTTGAAAGCTACAGAATAGGGTAAACATACTTTTATTTGTTCAGGGAAACCAAAAAAATCATGTGACTCACTTTATTGCAATATCCATTTTATTGTGGTGATCTGGAACCAAACCCACAATACCTCAGAGGTATGCCTGTATTGATATGACTTGAATCATTTTAAATATGTTGAGATTTGTTTTATAGCTCACAATATAGTCAAATATGGTAAACATTCTGTATTTTTAAAAAAGTGTGTCCTCCTGTTGTTGAGTAGAGTGTCCTATAAATGTCAATTAGTTCAAGTTATCAATAGCATTGTTCAAGTTTTCATATTCATACTGACTTTCTATCTAATTGCTCTCAAAAATTATTGAAAAAGAGGTATTGAAATCTCTGATTTTCACTGTGTCTATTTCTCCTTCTGGTTCTATCAGATTTTCTTCATGCATTTTAGAGCTCTTTTGTTAGGTGCATTAACATTTAGAATTGTTTTTGTTCTCTTGGTGAATTGAAATCTTTATCATTATGAAATTGGCTTCCTAGCCATTTGTGGTGGCCCACACCTGTAATCCTAGCACTTTGGGAGGCTGGGGTGGGTGGAACACTTTGAGCTCAGGAGTTCAAGGTCAGCCTGGACAACATGGAGAAACCCTGTCTCTACAAAAAATACAAAAATGAGCCAGGCATGGTGGCTTATGCCTGTGGTCCCAGCTACTCAGGAGGCTAAGGTTGGAGGATCACTTGGCTCGGGAAGCGGAGGTTGCAGTGAGCCGAGATGGCAACACTGCACTCCAGCCTGGGTGACAGAGCGAGACCCTGTCTCAAAAAAAAAAAAAAAAAAAGAAAGAAAAGAAAAGAGGAGAGAGAGAGAGAGAGAAAGAAATTAGTGTCCTTATCCTTGGTAAAAATCTTCTGCCTTAAATCTTTTTTTATATTAATCCAGTTATTCCAGGCTTATTTTGAATAGTGTTAGCATGGCATACTGCTTTTCATTCTCTTACTTTTCATCTATTTCTGTATTTAAAGTGCATTTTGAGCCAGGTGTGGTAGTGCACGCCTGTAGTCCCAGTACTCAGGAGACTGAAGTGGGAGGATTGTTTGAGTCCAGGAGTTCAAGGCCAGCCTGGGCAACATAGTGAGAACCTGTCTTTAATTAATTAAAATTTTGAAATAATTGACTAAAAATAAAATAAAGTGCATTTTGTATAGACAGGAGATGCTTGGCTCACTTTTTTATCCAGCCTGTAACTTTTAATTGGAAGTTTAGATAATTTATATCTAATGTATTTATAATTTTGATTAGACTTAAGCTTATCCTGCTATTTGTTTTCCATTAGTTCTATCTGTTCTCTGTTATCTTTATCCTCTTTTCAGCCTTCTTTTGGATTACTTGAATATTTTTTATTATGTCGTTTTTATCTGCTTTTTTGGCTTGGTAGGTCTCATTGTTCTATTATTTTTGTGATTGCTTTAAGAATTACAGTATACATCTTTAATGTATCACAATCTACCTTTAATGATAGA
Source organism: Homo sapiens (assembly GCF_000001405.40). Taxonomy (NCBI): domain Eukaryota; kingdom Metazoa; phylum Chordata; class Mammalia; order Primates; family Hominidae; genus Homo; species Homo sapiens. The sequence goes on from NC_000014.9 coordinate 101,659,011, forward strand.
TATTATACCATTTCACGTCTAATATAGGAAACTTGCACTAGTACGCTTCTATTTTCTCCTTATGACCTTTGTGCTATTGTTGTCATACATTTTTCTTCTATAAATGTATAAAACCAACAATATGTTGTCATTCTTTTTATATTTAAGATGTGTAAACAATTTTTAAAATCTTACATATTTACCATGTAGTTACCATTTAAGATACTCTTCATTCTTTTGTGTATATCCATATTTCTACATGGTACAATTTTCCTTCTACTTGACATTTTCTTTAACATTTCCTGTAGTGCAGGTCTGTTGGTCATGAACTCCTTCAGCTTTTGTATTTCTAAAAACCTTTTAATTTTTACCCTCATTTTTAAAGATATTTTCACTAAGATAGAATTCTAGGTTGCAGGTTTTTTATTTTAGTACTTTAAAGATGTTGCTCCACTGTCTCTTTGCTTTTTCCTCACTGTTTCCAATAAGAAATGTGCTATTATTTTTATCTTTTTTCCTATGTACATAATTTCCCACCCCTGACCTCTGGCTGCTTTTTTTTTTCTTGTTTTTGGGGGGATGGGGCTTTGCCATGTTGCTGAGGCTGGTCTTGAACTCCTGGGCTCCAGCAATCCTCCCACCTCAACCTCCCAAGTAGCTGGGATTACAGATGTGCACTACCAAGGCTGGCTCTCCTCTGGCTGCTTTTAAGATTTTTCTCTTATCATCGATTTTGAGTAATTTGATTATGATGTGCTTTGGAATAGTTTTCCTTAGGTTTCTTGTGCTTGGACTTCGTTAAGTTTCTTAGGTGAGTTTACAGTTTTTATCAAACTTAGAAAAACATTTAGCTGTTATTGCTTCAAATATTTTTTCTGTTCCCTCTCTCTCTTCTCTTTGGAACTCCAATTATCCGTATTACTCATATATTAGACCACTTTGAATTTGTCCTACAGCTCACTGATGCTCTTTTATTTGGGTTTATTGTAAGTGAAATGTTGTATTGGTGCACAGTGTTCCATAAAATGAAAGGTTGCTATCTTTGTTCCTCTTAGAAAGAGAAAATACCCTATCAGATTCTCTGTCAGAGCTTGCCTCCAGCTTCTGCTAAAAGTGCTTCTCAGTATTAACTATTTTTCCAATTTCTTCCTTGTGGTAAAATACATATAACACAAAATTTACCATCTCAACAATTTTCAAGTATACAGTTCAGTGGTATTAAATACGTTTTCAATGTTGTGCAGCCATCCATCTCCAGAACTCTTTTCATTGTGTACAACTAAAACTCTATAACCATTAAACAGTAACTCCCCATTTCCACCTTCCTCTAGCCCCTGGCAACCACTATCCTATTTTCTGTCTCTGTGATTTTGACTACTCTAAGTACCTCATACAGGTGGAATCATACAGTATTTTTTTTGTATGATAGGCTTTGTGTGATGGGCTTATTTTGCTGAACATAATGTTCTCAAAGTTCATCCATTTTGTAGCATATATCAGAATTCCCTTCCTTTTTAAAGCCAAATAATAATCCATTATATGTATACAGTTGTTCATCCATATCCATGGGTTCTGCATGCATGGATTCAACCAACCACAGATAAAAATATTTGAAAACAATTGCGTATGTACTTAACATGCACAGACTTTTTCCTTGTCATTATTCCCTAAACAATACAGTATACCTATTTATATAATGTTTACATTATATTAGGTATTATAAGTAATCTAGAGATGATTTAAAGTACATGGGAGGAAGTGTATAAGTTGTATGCAAATAATACACTATTTTACATTGGGGACTTGAACATCTGTGGGTTTTTTTATCCACAGGAGGTCCTGGAACCAATCCCCCATGTATACCAACGGACAACCTTATACATTTTATTTCTTCATTCATCTATCAGTGGACACTTGGGTTGCTTCCACATTTCAGCTATTGTGAATAATGCTGCTATTAACATGGTTGTATAAACATTTCTTTGTGAATCTACTTTCAGTTATTTTAGATACATACCCAGAAGTGGAATTGCTGAATCAAATGGTAATTCTATTTTTAATGTTTTGACAGATTGCCATACTGTTTCCCACAGTGGCTGTACCATTTTACATTCCCACCAAGATGGTACAAGGGCTCTAATTTCTCCACATTCTTGCCAACACTTCTCATTTTGTGTTTTTTAAAATAGCCATGTAATGGGTGTGAGATGGTGTTTCATCATAATTTTGATTTGCATTTCCCCAATGATTAGTTACGTTGAGCATCTTTTCATGTGCTTATTGGCCATCTGTATATCTTCTTTAAAGTAATATCTATTTGAGTCCTTTGCCCATTTTTTGAAGCAGGTTGTTTGGTTTTGTTTGTCTTGAGTTTGAGGAGTTCTGTATATGTTCTGAACATTAATATCTTATCAAATATATGATTTGCAAAATAGCTGTTGATTGCCTCTTGATGCACACAATTTTTCAATTATTATAAAGTCTAATAAGTCTATGTTTTCTTTTGTTGCCTGTGCTTTTTGTGTCATATCCAAGAAATCACTGCTAAATTCAATGTCATGAAGATTTTGCCCTGTCTCTTTTAAGAGTCTTATAATTGTAGGCCTTACAAGTAGGTAATCCATTTCGAGTTAATTTTTGTATATAGTTTTAGGTAAGGATCTGACATAATTTGGATATTTGTTCCCTCTAAATCTAATACTAAAATGTGATCCTCGATGTTGGAGGTGAGACCTAGCGCGAGATGCTTGAGTCACGAGGGCAGATCCCTCATGAATGTCTTTGTGCCCTCCTCATGGTAATGAGTGAGCTCTTGCTCTATTAGTCACCATGAGATCTGATTGTTAAAAAGAGCCTGGCACTTTCTCCTCTCTCTCTTGCTCTCTCTCTTGTCATTTGACACACTAGCTCCTGTTTCCCTTCTGCCATGAGTAAAAACTTCCGTAGGTCTCACCAGAAGCAGAAGCTGGTGCCATGCTTCTGTATGAACTGCAGAGCCATAAGTCAAACCTCTTTTTTTTATAAATTACCCAGCCTCAGATATTCCTTTATAGCAATGCAAAACAGACTAATACAGAGTCCAACTTTATTCTACTGTATGTGACTATCCAGTTTTCCCAGCACCATTTGTTGAAAAGACAGCCTTTTCTCTACTGAGTGGTCTGACACCCTTGCTGAATCTAATTTGACCATATATGCAAGGGTCTCTTCCTAGGCTCTGTATTCTATTTCATTGGTCTTTATGTTTTTCTTTATGCCAGACTAAAGTGTTTTGATTACTGTAGCTTTGTAATAAGTTTTGAAAACAAGAAGTGAAATCAGGAGTGCTCCAGCTTTGTTTTCAGTATTGCTTTTTGTTTTCAGTATTGTTTTAGCTGTTGGGGTCCCTTGAGATTCCATACAAATTTTAGGATGGGTTTTTTCTACTTCTGCAAAAACATAATTGGGATTTTAATCAAGATTGCATTTAATCTGTAGATTATTTTGAGTAGTATTGACATCTTAACAATATTAATTCTTCCAGTCGTGAACACGGGATGTGCTTTTATTTATTTATGTCTTTAATTTCTTTCAGCAATATTTTGTAGTTTTCATTGTACAAGTCTTTCACTTCTTTGGTTAAGTTAATTCTTAAGTATTTTATTTTTTTCAATGCTATTACAAATGGAATTATTTTCTTAATTTTCTTTTTGGATTATTCAATGTTAGTGTATAGAAATGCAACTGATTTTTGCTTATTGACTTTGTATCCTGTTCTTTGCTGGGTTTATTAGTTCTAAAAGGTTTTTTGGTGGAATCTTTATGATTTTCTACCTATAAGACCATATCATATTGAAGCAGATCATTTTACTTCTTTTCTAATTTAAATTGTCTTACTTGTTTTTCTTGCTTAATTTCTCTGGCTAGGACTTCCAGTAACTACATTGAACAGAAATGACAAAATGAGCATCTTAACCTTATTCCAGATCTTAGATAAAAAGCTTTTAGTCTTTCACTATTGAGTATGACATTCACTGTGAGTTTTTTTGTATATGGATTTTATTATGTTGAGGTAATTTCCTTCTATTCCTAGTTTTTTATGTTTTTGTCATGAAAGCATGTTGAATTTTGTCCGGTGCTTTTTCTGGACCAATTGAGATGACCAGGTTGGGTTTTTCCCTTCATTCTGTTAATGTTGTGTATTATATTGATCAATTTTCATATGTTAAAGCATCCTTGCATTCTAGGAATAAATCCCACTTGGTCATGATGTATAATCTTTTTAATATGCTGCTGAATTCATTGTCAGTTCTGGCTTGGATTTAATTAATTTCTCTCCTCATTATAGGTTGTATTTTTCTGCTCTTTTGCATGCCTGTTAATTTTTGCTTAGATGACAAACATTGCAAATTTTATCTGATTAAGTGCTGGATATTTTCTCAGTCCTATAAAGAGCCTTCAACTTTGTTTTAGGATGCTGTTGAGGTCCTCAGAAATATTGTGATCCTTTTGGGTCTTCCTTTTAAGACTTGTTAGATAGACTAGAGCATTGCACAGTCTGGGTCTAATTACTTCCCACTCCTGAGGCAAAATCTTTCTGTGTGCTCTATCAATGCCCAATGAATACTTAAGGCTGTCCAGTATAGCTATTTGGAAATGGCACTATTCCCAGCCCAGTGTGAGCACTAAGTACTATTATCTCTAATCCTTTGGGTGGTTCTTTCCCCAGCCTCTGATAGTCCTCTCACATGCATGCACTGATCAACACCCAGCTAAATACTCAAGGGATACCCTGCTCAGATCTCTGGAGTTCTGTCTCTATGCAGCTCTCTCCTCTTAGGTCCTCTGTCCTGCTAACACTAGGAAGCACCTCGCCTTCCTCAGACTCTCAGCTCCATCTCCTCAACTCAGAGAGTCCACCAAGCTCCACCTAAGAAACTCCCAAGGCAGCAAGCTGGGGTAATAATAGGGTTTGCCCCATTTATTTCTCATGTCTCAAACATGACTATCCTTTGGTGCCTGATTCTCTCATCATTTCATATATTTTGTCCATTCTTTGGATGATTCAGGTGGTAGGATATATCTGATTCCTGTTTTTCGATGTTTATTAGTAGTCCCTGGCTATTCTTATTTAACGTGATTATTGATATATTTGGTTTAAAATATATTAGTAATTACTGACATATTTGGGTTTAATAATTCTTTACAGTCTTTCACTTGACCTATATGCCTTTTTCTCTTTGACTATCTACTTTTGAATGAATTATTTTTTTATTCCATTTTTGTTTGTCTGTTTTGAGATGGGATTTCACTCTGTTACCCAAGCAGGAATGCAGTGGCATAAAGATGTCTCACTGTATCTAACTCCTGGGCTCAAGCGACCCTCCTATCTCAGCCTCCCAAGTAGCTAGAACTACAGGCTTAGGCCACTACACCCAGCTAATTTTTAAAAAATTTTTTGTAGAGACAGGATCTCACTATGTTGCCCAAGCTGGTCTGGAACTCCTTGCCTCAAGCAGTCCTCCTGTCTTGGCCTCGCAAGGTGCTGGAGTTATAGGTGTAAGCCAATGCGACTGGCATTTATTTTTCCATTTTTTTATTCTATGAGCTTGAAAGTTATGCAATCTTGTATTATTCTTTTAATAGTTGCCTTAGAGGTTGATTATAACATGCTTCTGGACTTATTATGTCTAATAATAAATGATAATTTTATGAGAATGCAAAAATCTTACAATATTTTAACTCCATCTATTCTCTCACAAATTATAGGCCAAGTTGCCACACATTTTCATTCTATTCATATTTTTAACCCAACAAGATGTCATTGTCCTATGCTATGAATATTGATTTATTTTCTTTTATTTACTTATTTATCTATTTATTGAGACAGAGTCTCACTCTTGTTGCCCAGACTGGAGTGCAATGGTGCAAACTTGGCTCACTGCATCCTCCACCACATGGGTTCAAGCGATTCTCCTGCCTCAGCCTCCCAAGTAGCTGGGATTACAGACATTTGCCACCACGCCTGGCTAATTTTGTATTTTTAGTAGAGACAGGGTTTCACCATGTTGGTCAGGCTGGTCTCAAATTCCTGTCCTCAGGTGATCCACCTGCCTCAGCCTCCCAAATTGCTGGGATTACAGGAGTGAGCCACTGTGCCCGGCTGAATATTCATTTAGATTTCCCTATCTATTGACACTTTTAGTTGCACTTCATGCCTTCCTGCATCTCTGACCTCTTGCCTGGGTTCATCCTTTGACCTGAAGATACCTTTTAATATTTTCTTTTTTGTAAAACCCAATTGTATTGGTTCTGGAAGTATTCTCTTTAGTGTAGTTCTTCTCATGCCAAACATCTATATGAAGATATCTTTATCTTTAGTCTTGAAGAATATTTTCTTTTCATAGAAAATCCCAGTTTAGCAGCTATTTTTCTTGCAGCACTCTAAAAACATTGTTCTAATGCTGTTGACTTCCTTTATTTCTGTTGAAAATCAGCTATAAGCATAAGGAAAAGGGGTGGGCGTCCAGGACCCACCAAAGGTAGGCTCTGGGACCTCTCTTGCTTGGGGTGGGGACTAGTGGTCTTGGTGTAAGGGCAACCCAGAAGCATTCTAGCCTTCTTGAGTTGGAGAAGTAAAGTGCACCTTTGAATCATCACACTTCCTAAAACTGGATTAAGGCAACCATAGAGTTCTGGTGCCCCCTGGTGCCTGGCAGAGCCAACTTATCTCACACCTGGAGGGAGATCTCCTACATCTTGATGTATTTCTACAATAAGCCAATGAATGCCCTATCACACAATAAGCACATAAGGAGACAAGACAGACTCTGTAGGCAAACAAAACAGAATGGTCCACAGTCACCCAGATAACGGAATTATGATACACAGATCTCAAAATAAATATGCATTCTTTGTTTATGGAGGAAAAAGACAAGATTGAGAATTTTGGCAGAGATCTGAAAACTGTTAAAAAGAAAAAAAGAAGAAGAAGAAGAAGAAAGAAAAAAGAAAGTTACATCCAGTGCCTCTTAAGACCTGGGCAGACTCTTTGGTCGCCTTGTTCTGGAGCCCTTGGCTGTGTGTTGACCACCTCAGGGTTCCATAGCAAAATTCCACAGGCTGGGTGGCTTACATAACAGATTTTGCACAGTTCTGGAGGCTGAGAAGCCCAAAGTCAAAGTGTCGGCAGATTTAGTTCCTGGTGGGGGTCTTCTTGGGGGTTTGCAGATGGCCAGCTTCTTGCTGTGTCTGCACATGGTGGAGAGCCAGGGCTCTGGTCTTATTAGGGGTCTAATCCTATCATGGCGGCTCCACCCTCATGACCTCATCTGAGCCTAATTTCCTCCCACTGAGGGTTAGGGCTCCAACACGTGAATGTCGGAGGAACACAAACATTCGGTCCATAGCAGCCATCTGTTTTGCTTCCACCACCCCGCTGGTCACCAGTTCTGTGTGGGCACCGCCTGACTCCACAGGGAGTGGGCAGCGCATTTCACCCTAAGCCTGCGGTGGATGCCGCTTGTCTCCTACCTCGGGCCTTCCCTGTTGCCAACAAGGCGAGAAACACCCCAGGATTCGCTCAGTACCCACGCCTGTGCGATCCGGTAACCTGAGGTATTCATGCTCCACGGGGTGAACCCCTGATAAATGGGATTTGGCACTGACTGGTAAATAAATTATTCCCCATTCCTCCTCCCAAACAGAATGTGCTGAGAGTCTGTCATTTTACAGCCTCTTTTTTTTTTTTGTTTTGACAGGGTCTCCCTCTGTCGCCCAGGCTGGAGTGCAATGGCGCCATCTCAGGTCAATGCAAGCCAACTCTCGTGTTTGAGTGATTCTCCTGCCTCAGCCTCCTGAGTAGCTGGGATCACAGGCACCCGCCACCACTTCCGGCTAACTTTTGTATTTTTTTCAGTAGAGGTGGGGTTTCACCTTATTGGTCAGGCTGGTCTCCAATTCCTGACCTCAGGTGATCCGCCCGCCTCGGCCTCCCAAAGTGCTGGGATTACAGGCCTAAGCCACCACACCAGGCCGTTTTACAGCCTCTTAGAAAGTACGTCTCTGAGAAGTGGTCATCAGTCACACTTGTCTGCAGCCCTGTCTCTGCCGTATCTGTGTCTCTCCCCTTCTTCCTCACTGCGCCCCCTGGATTTCACTCTCTAATCAAACAGGAGCGCTGCCCTTGCTTCGCACTCTGCCTTCCAGGGGAATCTGTTACCTAGGGAGGCCATGAGGATGCACCACAGCTGGAGGGCTTCACACAGCAGGAATTCATTGTCCCAAAGTTCTGGAAGCCGAAGTGCAAAATCAAGAAGTCAGCCAGGCTGTGCTCCCTCTGCAGCGTCTAGGGAGAATTCTTCCTGCCTCTTCCAGCTTCCGGTGGATCCCAACATTCTTCAGCTTCTGGCGGACCCCAACATTCCTCAGCTTCTGGCCGCATCCCTCCCATCTCTGCCTCAATCTTCACGCGGCGTTATCACCTGCATGTTTCCCTGTCGTCTTCCCTGTATGTCTGTCTATCTATGTCCAAATTTCCCCTTTTTATAAGGAAGGACCCCAGTCATATGGAATTATGGTCCACCCTAATAACTTCATGTTGACGGACTACCTCTGTAAAGACCCAATTTCCAAATAAGGTCACATTCTGAGGCACTGGGGGTTGGGGTTTTGACATATCTTTTTGTAGAGGACACAATTCAATGAAATCCAATCACTAGGGAACGCTGGCTAAGACAAAAATAGAGTAAAAATCCCATAACTAAATAATAATAAAATAACTGAAATTACAAACTTAATTGATTAGCTTAATAGTGAGTTAGACTGGGCTAAAGATGGGCCGGGAGACAGAATCCAGAATAAAGCATGGAATAAAATAGGGAATTTGGGGGCATACTGAGGACAAAAACAAAAAGAATAGGGGAAAACCAAAAAAGCTGCTAAAAGAAAGAGAAGATAAAGAAGGACTGAGGCATATGTCGACCTTTTTCATATATGTAAAGAAAATACATGGGTGAGGGGGCAAAACGGTAATTGAACAATACATGTTAATGGAATCAAATTATAATGGAAGAGATAACACCCTAGAATTTACCCAAAGTGTTGAAAGAGATCAAGCACAGATTTAAGAAACTTTAAAAACCCGAGCAGAAAAAGTACAAGAAATGCATACCTGGATATAGCATGGTAGAACTGCAGAAAACTAAAGAAAAAGAGAAAATATCAAAAGCAGACTATAAAAGATATATTACTTTCCAAAAAAGCATCATTCAGCCTCTCAGTACCTCCCACACTGAATTGGCAGTTTCTTCTGAGAGGAGAAGCAACCCAAAATGGTTTGTCACGTCTGCCAAATTTGGGGCCAGTATTTCTTCACTATTTTATTATGTCCTAATACCTTCAAGTAGATTTCTTATTTAGCTTTTCTGGCTGTCTTCAAAAGAAGAGCTAAATTACCTACATTTCATGTTTACCAGAAGCTAAGGTGCAAATTAATTTTAATGCTTAAAATATCTAAATGATGGCATCCCCTATAAAAGTGTTCTAGGCCGAAATGATTTTACAAATTAGTTTTAGATTACATTCCAATAAGGATAATTTTTATGTTAGTCAAAGTATTCCAAGCCATAGAAAAAAATTAGAAATTTCCTCAATTCAATTTATGATGCTAACACACCTTAATATCAAAACTTTCTTAAGTTATTTCAAAAAATAAATGAACAGTTTTCATTTCTTATGATAGATGGAAAAAACAAATATATATTAAAATCATACACTATGGTCAAGTAGTTTTTATTCTAGGAAAAGAAAGATATGTCAATATAAGACACAGCCACACAGAGACTACACAGCTGCGTTCTCACTGGTGACAGAACCACTGCACACCACCAGCAAGCACCCTTCTACCTCCCTGTAGGGGAAGGTCTTTCCATAGTGAAATCAGTCTGTGAAGTCTGCAAGAGGTGACTCCATCAAATATGCAGACATCAATGAAAGGCAACAAGAAACATGTAAAACCAAGGAGATATATCACCAACAAAAGAACACAATAATCTCCCAAAACTGACCACAAATAAATGAAAAAAAGCCACTGCACTCCAGCCTGGGCGCAGAGCAAGACTCCATCTAAAAAAAAAAAAAAAAGAAAGAAATGAAAAAAAACTGACAAATAATTCAAAATTCAAAATAATTTAAGGAAGCTCAGCAAACTTCAAAAAATACAGAGAAGTAATTCAGTGAAATCAGAAGAACAATAAGCAACCAAAATGAGAAATGTAACAGAAAGATTGAAATTTTTTTTAAAAAAAAGCAAACAGAAATTCTGGCACAGAAGAATACAATGAATGAAATTTTAAAATGTAATAGAAAGCATCAGTGACAGAATGATCAAGCAGAAGAAAGAATCTGTGAACTTGAAGACAGATTATTTGAAAATATACAGTCAGAGGAGAAAAAAGAGTGAAAAAGAATGATGAAAACTTATGGGACTTTGGGGAGAGTATCAAAAGAGCAAATGTTCACATTATAGAAGTTCAAGAAGAAGAGAGAAATAAAGGGGAAGGAAACTTATTTAAAGAAATAATAGCAGAAAACCTTCCAAACCTGGGGAGCAATATAAATATCCAGGTACAAGAAGGTTAAAGATCTCCAATCTGATTCAATCAAAACAAGACTACTCCTGAGACATAATCAATTTGTCAAAAACCAAAGACAAAGAAAGGATCCTAAAAGCTGCAAAAGAAAAGAAACAAATCACATGTAAAGAAGTTCCAGTAAGGCTAACAGTGGATTTCTCAGCAGAAACCTTACAAACCAGGAGAGAGTGGGATGATATATTCAAAGTGCTGAAGGGAAAAAAAAAAACTTCCAACCAAAAATACTTTACCCAGAAAAGCTATTCTTCAGAGATAAAAGAGAGATAAAGACTTTCCCAGGCAAATTAAAGTTGAGGGAGTTTATCACCACCAGACCTGTCTTACAAGAAATGCTAAAGGGAGTTCTTCAAGCTGAACAAAAGTATGCTAATTAGTAGCACAAAAACATACAAAAGCAAAAACCTCAGTGGTAAAAGTACGTAGTACACAGTCAAATTCAGAATACTCTAACATTGTAATGGTGGTGTGTAAATTATTGTTAGTATATAGGTTAAAAGACAAAATTGTTTTAAAATATATTAATTTGCTAAAGGATATACCATATTAAAAGGTGCAAATTGTGACATCAATACATCAAATATGGGGAGGTGAAGTCTAGAGTTGTTGTACGCAAAGTTAAGTTTTTTATTAGCTTAAAACAGCCTATTATAAGATGTTTTATACAAAGCAAAAACCTATAGTAGATACACAAAAAAGAAAGAGAAAGAAATCAAAGCCTACCTCTAAAGAAAATCATCAAATCACAAAGGAGGACAGCAAGAGAGGAACAAAGAAATAAAAACTCCACAAAACAGCCATAAATAAGTTAACAAATGGCAGTAGTAAGTCCTTACCTATCAATAATTACCTTAAGTGGAAATAGATTAAAATATCCAATCAAAAAACAGAATGTTGTATGGGTTTTTTTTAAGGACCCAACTATATGCTGCCTACAAGAGACTCACTTAACCTAAAAAGACACACAGATTGAAAGTGAGAGGATGGAAAAAGATATTCATGCAAATGAAAACCAAAAGAGAAGCTATACTTATAACAGATAAAATAGAATTTAAGCCAAAAAACTGTAAATTGAGACAAAGAAGGTCATTATGTAATGATATAAAGGGATTGATACCTCAAGGAGATATAACAATTATGAATACATAGGTATCCAACATCAGACCACTTTAATATATAAAGCAAATATTAATAGATCCGAAGAGAGAGACAGACTGCAGTATGATAATAGTAGGGAATTTCAATGCTACACTCTCAACAATTCACAAATCATCCAGACAGAAAATCAATAAGGAAACATTGGCTTGAACTATACTTTAGATCAAATGAACCAAACAGACACATATTTTAGGTTGGTGCAAAAGTAATTGCATTAATGGCAAAAACCTCAATTACTTTTGCACCAACCTAAATAGAACTTTTCATTCAACAGCAGCAGAATACCCATTCTTCTCAAGAGCATACGCATGGAAAATTCTCTAGGATATATCATATGTTAGGCCACAAAACAAATCTTAACAAATTTATGAAGATTGGAACCATTTCAGACCCCAGTGGTATAAAACTAGAAATTAATAATAGAGGAAATTTTAGGAAATTCACAAACATGTGGAAATGAAACAACATGCTCCTAAACAAGGGGTCAAAGAAGAAATTAAAAGGAAAATTGTTTTAATATCTTAAGACAAAAGAAAATGGAAGTTCAACATACCAAAAGCAATCCTAAGAGCAACAAATGCCTACATCAAAAAAGAAAAGGAAAGATCCCAAATAAACAACCTCACATTACATGTCAAAGGACTAGAAAAAGAACAAACTATGCCCAAAGACAATAGAAGAAAGGAAATTAAGATAAAGATCAGAGCTGAAATAAGTGAAATAGACACTAGAAGAACAACAGAAAGATCAACAAGCAAAGATTTGTTTTTTGAAAAGAGGAATAAAATTGACAAACCTGTAGCTACAGTAAGAAAAAAGAGAAGACTAAAATAAATAAAATAACAAATGAAAGAGGATACATTACAACTGAATCACAGAAATACAAAGGACTAAAAGAGACTATTATGGGCTGGGCACAGTGGCTCAAACCTGTAATCCCAGAACTTTGGGAGGCCAAGGCAGGCAGATCACGATATGAAAAGATCGAGACAATCCTGGCTAACACTGTGAAACCCCATCTGTACTAAAAATACAAAAACAAAATTAGCCAGACGTGGTGGCAGGTGCCTGTAGTCCCAGCTACTCAGGAGGCTGAGGTGGGCGAATGGCATGAACCCAGGAGGCAGAGTTTGCAGTGAGCTGAGATCGTGCCACTGCACTCCAGCCTGAGCAACACAGCAAGACTCCATCAAAAAAAAAAAAGAGAGAGAGACTATTATGAACATTTGTAGGCCAACAAATTGGGTAACCTAGAAGAAATTAATAAATTTCCAGACATATACAATGTACCAAGACTAAATCATGAATAAATTAACAATCTGAACAGATTACTAATGAGTAAGGAGATTGAATCAGTAATAAAAAGTCTCACATTTGAGACTTTTCCATTGAGACCTGATGGTTTCAATGCTGAATTCTATCAAACATTTAAAGAACACTAATACTAATTCTCTTCAAACTATTCCAAAATATTGAAAAGGAGGGAATACTTCCAAACTCATTTTATAAGGCCAGCATTACCTTGATACCAAAGCCAACTAGGACACTACAGAAAAGAAAATTACAGGCCAACACCCCTGATGAACATAGATGCAAAAATCCATAATAAAATACTGGTAAACAGAATTCAACAACACATTGAAAGGATCATTCACCATGATCAACTGGAATTTATCCCCTGGGATGCAAGGGTGGTTCAACATATACAAATCAACAAGTGTGATATGTCATATTAACAGAATGAAGGACAAAGACATATGATCATCTCAATAGATGTAGAAAAGATATTTGACAAAATTCAACATCTTTCATCCTAAAAATTCTCAACAAATTAGACGTAGAAGAAACTTACCTTAACACAATAAAGCCCATATACACAAACCCATAGCTAACATCATTCTCAGTGGCAAAAAGTTGAAATCTTTTCCTCTAAGATCAGGAATAAGACAAGGATGCCCACCCTCACCAGTTCTATTCAACAGAGTACGGGAAGACCTAGCCAGAGCAATTAGGCAAGAGAAAGATGTAAAAAACCATTCAAATCAGAAAGGAAAAAGTTAAATTGTCTGTTTGCAGACTACATAATCCTCTATGTAGAAAATCCTAAAGATTCCACCAAAAAAACTCTTAGAACTAATAAATAAATTCTGTAAAATTGCAGCATACAAAGTAAACATACAAAAATAAATAGTGTTTCTAAACACTAACGAAAACTACCTGAAAAAGAAATCAAGAAAACAACCCCACTTACAACAGCTATAAAAAAAAATCCTTAGGAATAAATTTAACCCAGGGGATAAAAGATCTGTAAACTAAAAATTAAAACATTGATAAAAAATTAAAGACACAAACAAATGGAAAGATATTTACGTGTATGGATTTAAATAATTAATATTGTTAAAATAAGTGATCTACAGATTCATTGCAATTCCTATCAAAATTCCAATGAACTTTTTCACAGAAATAGAAAAAAATCCTAAAATGCACATAGAACCACAAAAATCACTGAATAGCCAAAGCAATCTTGAGCAAAAAGAACAAAGCTAGAGGCATCACACTATCTGATTTCAAAATCTACTAAAAAGTTATAGTATGGTAAACCCAGGGGATTTTTTAAAAATTAAAAAAATTAATTTTGTTTTACATTTTTTTAAAGTTATAGTAATCAAAACAGCATTTTGACAAAGAGTCCAATAAAACGCAATAAAGAAAGGACAGTCTCCTCGATAAATGCTGCTGGAAAAACTAGATATTGATATGCAGAAGAATGAAATTAGACCCTTGCCTCACACCATATACAAAAATGAATTCAAAGTGGATTCTTAAAGACTTAAACATAAAACTTAAAACTGTAAAACTACCATAAGAAAACATAGGGGGAAAGCTATATAATATTGGTCTGGGCAATGATTTTTTGGGTATGACCCCAAAAGCACAGGCAACAATAGCAAAAATAAACAAGTGGGACTATATCAAACTGTAAAGCTTTTGCACATCAAAAAAAGAAAGCAACCAACAGAGCTGGGAACCCAGAATATCTGAGACAGGTATTTAATAATTATAATTATGAAGTTTATTTTGCCAAGGTTGAGAATATCGGCCCATGTGACAGCCTTGGGAGGTCCTGACTATATGTGCCCAAGGTGGTCAGAGCACAGCTAGGTTTTATACATTTTAGTGTACATTGGTTCCATTCAGAAAGGCAGGACAACTCGAAGCAGGGAAGAGGCTTCCAGGTCACAGGTAGGTGAGAGACAAACGGTTGCTTTCTTTTGAGTTTCTGATTAGCCTTTCCAAAGTGGGCAATCAGATATGCATTTATCTCAGTGAGCAGAGGGATGACTTTGAATAGAATGGGAGGCAGGTTTGCCCTAAGCAGTTCCCAGCTTGACTTTACCCTTCAGCTTAGTGATTTCGGGGCCCCAAGATTTATTTTTCTTTCATATTTCCCCCCTTTTCTTTTTAAAATCTTTTAGAGAAAGCGTTTTAGAAGAAAATGAGTCTCTGGTCTCAGGTTTCATCTGATCTCTCATGGCTACGATGGTTTATTCCTAAATGGGTAGGTTCCAAGTTATTAGGAAAGCTCATTTTTAGCAGGTTGTAAACTCTCATGTCCTATGAAGAGAAAATAGGGGGAGGAAGGAAGAAAAACAACAATAAACAAAAGAACAATCCTGGAAAATCAATATAGGTCACATTACTCTAAAGTCCTTCAGCAAAGTCTCAGGATACAAAATCAATGTACAAAAATCACAAACATTCTTATACACCAATAACAGACAAACAGAGAGCCAAATCATGAGTGAACTCCCATTCACAATTGCTTCAAAGAGAATAAAATACTTAGGAATCCAACTTACAAGGGACGTGAAGGACCTCTTCAAGGAGAACTACAAACCACTGCTCAAGGAAATAAAAGAGGATACAAACAAATGGAAGAACATTCCATGCTCATGGGTAGGAAGAATCAATATCATGAAAATGGCCATACTGCCCAAGGTAATTTATAGATTCAATGCCATCCCCATCAAGCTACCAATGACTTTCTTCACAGAATTGGAAAAAAACTACTTTAAAGTTCATATGGAACCAAAAAAGAGCCTGCATCACCAAGTCAATCCTAAGCCAAAAGAACAAAGCTGGAGGCATCATGCTACCTGACTTCAAACTATACTACAAGGCTACAGTAACCAAAACAGCATGGTACTGGTACCAAAACAGAGATATAGATCAATGGAACAGAACAGAGCCCTCAGAAATAACGCCGCGTATCTACAACTATCTGATCTTTGACAAACCTGAGAAAAACAAGCAATGGGGAAAGGATTCCCTATTTAATAAATGGTGCTGAGAAAACTGGCTAGCCATATGTAGAAAGCTGAAACTGGATCCCTTCCTTACACCTTATACAAAAATGAATTCAAGATGGATTAAAGACTTAAATGTTAGACCTAGAACCATAAAAACCCTAGAAGAAAACCTAGGCATTACCATTCAGGACATAGGCATGGGCAAGGACTTCATGTCTAAAACACCAAAAGCAATGGCAACAAAAGCCAAAATTGACAAATGGGATCTAATTAAACTAAAGAGCTTCTGCACAGCAAAAGAAACTACCATCAGAGTGAACAGACAACCTACAAAATGGGAGAAAATTTTTGCAACCTACTCATCTGACAAAGGGCTAATATCCAGAATCTACAATGAACTCAAACAAATTTACAAGAAAAAAAACAAACAACCCCATCAAAAAGTGGGCAAAGGATATGAACAGACACTTCTCAAAAGAAGACATTTACGCAGCCAAAAGACACATGAAAAAATGTTCATCATCACTGGCCATCAGAGCAATGCAAATCAAAACCACAATGAGATACCATCTCACACCAGTTAGAATGGCAATCATTAAAAAGTCAGGAAACAACAGATGCTGGAGAGGATGTGGAGAAATAGGAACACTTTTACACTGTTGGTGGGACTGTAAACTAGTTCAACCATTGTGGAAGTCAGTGTGGCGATTCCTCAGGGATCTAGAACTAGAAATACCATTTGACCCAGCCATCCCATTACTGGGTATATACCCAAAGGACTATAAATCATGCTGCTATAAAGACACATGCACACGTATGTTTATTGCAGCACTATTCACAATAGCAAAGACTTGGAACCAACCCAAATGTCCAACAATGATAGACTGGATTAAGAAAGTGTGGCACATATACACCATGGAATACTATGCAGCCATAAAAAATGATGAGTTCATGTCCTTTGTAGGGACATGGTTGAAATTGGAAACCATCATTCTCAGTAAACTATTGCAAAGACAAAAAACCAAACACCGCATGTTCTCACTCATAGATGGGAATTGAACAATGAGAACACATGGACTCAGGAAGGGGAACATCACACTCTGGGGACTGTTGTGGGGTGGGGGGAGGGATAGCATTAGGAGATATACCTAATGCTAAATGACGAGTTAATGGGTGCAGCACACCAGCATGGCACATGTATACATATGTAACTAACCTGCACATTGTGCACATGTACCCTAAAACTTAAAGCATAATAATAATAAAAATAAATAAATAAAAAATAAAGTCCATACATCAATAGACAGGTATAAAAGTGGCTTATGTACGTAAAATGTTGCTGTTATTTTCTTCCAGAGATTAAGTTGTCTAGTGGCAGTTTGTAAGGCTTTAAGAAAGCACAGCTTAGTTTTCAGTGATTTTAAATTAGGAAAAATGGGGGAAATAAGGAAAAGAAAGAAGAAAAAAATTGAAAACATTATCTTGGAGATTTGTAGCCAGGAAAAATTAGAATTCAATCTAGACTGCAGAAAATAATAAAAATTGAAAAACATTAGGTAAGACTAGAATCTAACAACAGGTGTACCATAGTTTTTGAAACATAATTTTTCTCTCTCCAGTTTCCCATTTTTACTAAAGACAAATCATGTTATGATTGATTTGCCTTGTTATACTTGGCCAGATTATTTGTATAAAGTACAGCAAGAATAATGATTTTTCTCATAGGCTTTTTAAATTGGCTTTGATGGAGCTTTGTTCCATAGAAGGAATCTCAGATTAGCCTTTTTTAAAGTCGAGCCTAGCCACAGATTTGTACCATCAAATACCTATGAGTTGGGTGAATTCCTCTCCTCTTGAGATCCCAAGATAGCCTGGGGATCCTAGGCCTGTCAGAAAGTGACATTCTTACTTACCACAGGTCAGGAACCCTGTACGGGGACTATGTAGGTATGAGGTCAGTTTTCCTAAAGGGCTTTTATTGGCTCTATAAGTCAAGTTTGATTCCTTAAAGGAAAGCCTACCATTCCAGTCAAAGCCTTGGTAAAATAACCAGTTTCTCCAATTGTGTCCTATTACAAATGAAAACAGATTCTCATTGCACTTTTGCAAATAACTATATAGCCATAGGTTAAGAACACTCAGTTTCCAAATTCTGGAGAATCAGGTAGAAACAAATATGCTTCAAATTTTGTTCATAAAGTATATTTAATTGTTAAAAGCTGTTAATAGCTCAAAAGAAAAGTTTCCTTGACTCTGAAAAACAAAGGATCAGCAACATTTTAAGCAAAAAGTCAAAAAGACTACTTCAGTTTTCTATTAGTTCAGTCTATGCAGTTCTGCTTGATATTCATGAACATTTCAGCTTTCCAGGAGTCCTGAAAGGTTTTTCTCTATTGTGATGTCACCATCTCCAAAGTTATCAGAAACCTGCATTCAAAAGTGCCTGTTAGAATTTTATAGCTGATTGGGAGCGGGTAAGGATTCGGCGGGCAAGCGGGTGTAATCCACAGCTATCCGTGGTAGGGCATGGTAGCTTCCAACCGCGGGGACCCCAAGAGTCTCCCGTCAGCCGAGTAGCAGCCAGGAAGGAGAGGCTGGGATGGTTTTTTACCTGTTGTCCCTTAAATCAAGGGCCGCCGGGCCGAAGAGGGATAGAGGGACTGGGGATTTGGGGACTCGAAAACGAGCTGAGGGAAGGGAGCCTGTGGAAATAGACTGGAGTCTGGGTAGTGTCGTTTCCTAGAGAATGGTCTCGAAGTAACTTCTCGGTAAAGTCTTCACAGAACTTCCAGACCACACTTGCCCACTGGGAGGCTTTTAGGACCTGAGACGTGTGCAGGCTTTTCCAGCCAAAATGAAGTTTAATCCCTTTGTGACTTCCCACCGAAGCAAGAATCGCAAAAGGCATTTCAATGCACCTTCCCACATTCGAAGGAAGATTACGTCTTCCCCTCTTTCCAAAGAGCTGAGACAGAAGTACAACGTGCAATCCATGCCCATCTGAAAGGATGATGAAGTTCAGGTTGTACAAGGACACTATAAAGGTCAGCAAATTGGCAAAGTAGTCCAGGTTTACAGGAAGAAATATGTTATCTACATTGAACAGGTGCAGCGGGAAAAGGCTAATGGCACAACTGTCCACGCAGGCGTTCACCCCAGCAAGGTGGTTATCACTAGGCTAAAACTGGACAAAGACCGCAAAAAGATCCTTGAACGGAAAGCCAAATCTTGCCAAGTAGGAAAGGAAAAGGGCAAATACAAGGAAGAAACAATTGAGAAGATGCAGGAATAAAGTAATCTTATATACGAGCTTTGATTAAAACTTGAAACAAAGAAAAAAAAAGAATTTTATAGCTGATTATAAAACCACCTTCTAAAGAGGACCAAAATAAGACAATTGTCCACGGATGACAAAAGGTTTTAGGGCACCCATAGTCAAAGACACAATTGACAAGGAAGTTTGTTACCTCTGTGACATAAAATAATGTCACATAACAATTATGATTATTACTGATAATGTACACTGAGTCATATCAGAATTATAGGAGTTTCTCATAATTTTGGAACACATACCAATAACATATTTATACAAATATAAGCCAAAGAAAACCAAACACCATTTCATATTTGACAATACTTCCTGTGTACATTTTATACCAAATAAGCCAAATATGCCATTTTGTACTTTAGGGAATCTAATATCTTAAAGGATTAGTTAGATCAGAAAGAGACATAATTTATAATTTTATTTTGGAAAATGTGCCAAATATCAAAGGCTTAAAACATTTGATATCACTAAATAGGATCACAGGTCATTGTAAAATAAGTGATTCACTTAGAGTGATAACTCAAACATCTCAAAAAAAAAAAAAAAGCAAAAACCTTCATTCTTTGAGAGAGGATACTTAATTTTCCAAACAATAAGCCCTAATAAAGTCAGCATGAAGCCAATTAAATGTTTTTTAAAATTTTATAAGCAATCTATAAAATGTTCATCTGACCATAAGATATAATTTCATAAGCCTTTTATAACCTTTATTAAGGAGTCAGTTAATGCTTCAAGAAAAACTTGTTAATCTGACACAGGGGCCCATTTGCTGGTCTTGCATCAGTGGGCCTTTGACATTAATGTTTAAGTTCAGTTCAGAGAAACGGAACTTATTTTATCTCTCAAAATCAGCCCTTACAATCTCATACACCCACCTTTTCTGCAATAGTTCTGGGCCTTGAGGAGTTGAATAGTTTAGTTTCTGGCCCTGTCTCAGGAACGCAGTTTAATTTGATTGGCACTTTCTACCAGGCCTGAAGATGAGGCTTTAATTGTTGTCAGTGTTTAAGATTTACCAGGACTTGGCCGGGTGCGGTGGCTCACGCCTGTAATCCCAGCACTTTGGGAGGCCAAGGCAGGCGGATCACGAGGTCAGGAGATCAAGACCATCCTGGCTAACTCGGTGAAACCCCGTCTCTACTAAAAATACAAAAAATTAGCCGGGCGTGGTGGTAGGCACCTGTAGTCCCAGCTACTCAGGAGGCTGAGGCAGGAGAATGGCATGAACCTGGGAGGCAGAGCTTGCAGTGAGCAGAGACTGTGCCTACTGCACTCCAGCCTGGGCAACACAGCAAGACTCTGTCTCCAAAAAAAAAGATTTAGCAGGACTTCATGTCCTTTTTGGGCGAAGGAGTCAAAGCCCCACAACTCAATGTCACGAGGACTTTAAAAGCACATACAGAAAGATACACGGATGTAATAACCATAATTTTTTTTAAAAAAATTAATCTCAGTTTTTTTCTAAGCAAATCAAAACTTAATAATAATGGCATAGGAATTATTTTGATAAAACGTAAAAATCTGTTAGGCCAGTTACCAAGAGGCAAAATAAAAGACCTTCTGCAGTGCACTGAATATTATGTTGGAAGAAAACATTTTCTTTAGACCCTTAAGAAAACATTGTTAGCATCAGGCTACAACAAACAGAACCCAATACGAAAAAAACTTACATGAGCTGAAAAATGAGTTGAAGGACAGTGTTATTTTGCACTTTTTAAAAGGGGAGAGGAAACAAAAATGATGAGATGCAATAAAAGTTGAACTTTGGGTTATAATTTTTTTAAATTAAAATATCGGCCTGGCACGGTGGCTCATGCCTGTAATCCCAGCACTTTGGGAGGCCGAGGTGGGCAGATCACTTGAGGTCAGAACTTCAAGACCAGCTTGGCCAATATGGTGAAACCCCATCTCTACTAAAAATACAAAAAAATTAGCCGGGCACTGTGGCATGTGCCTGTAATCCCAGCTACTCAGGAGGCTGAGGCAGGAGAATTGCTTGAACCTGGGAGGCGGAGGTTGCAGTGAGCCAAGCACGCCACTGCACTCCAGCCTGGGCGACAGAGAAAGACTCCATCTCAAAAAAAAAAAAAAATTAAAATATCTTATAATTTATTAAGAGTAAATCAACCCCTTAAGAAAATTTCATTGTTCTAACCAATTATTTAATGTATAAGTGATTTTCTTTACATTAAACCCAATCTCTAGAAAGGTCATTATAATTTCCCTTTAGTTATAGACAACTTGATCATATAAAACTTTTTGGGTTCTTTTCTTGTTTTCTTTTAAAGCTTTTTCGGTATGTTTATTAGTTCATTTAATTAATTCTTTTTTTTATTTAAGTTCTGAGATACATGTGTAGAACGTGCAGGTTTGTCACATAGTATACATGTGCCATGGTGGTTTGCTGCACCTATCAACCCGTCATCTAGGTTTTAAGCCCTGTATGCATTAGGTATTTGTCCTAATGCTCTCCCTCCCCTTGCTCCCCAGCCCCCAACAGGCCCTGGTGTGTGATGTTTTCCTCCCTATGTCCATGTGTTCTCATTGTTCAACTTCCACTTACGAGTGAGAACATGGGGTGTTTGGTTTTTTGTTCCTGTGTTAGTTTGCTGAGAATGACACCTTCCAGCTTTATCCATGACCCTGCAATGGACATGAACTCATTTGAGGGTGTTTTTTTTTTAATAAATCCACTTATTGTGACTCACACAGACCACTCATGACATGTTTGGACTTTCTGATTTATCCTGAACACCCTCTTTTTTTTTTTTTTTTTTTTTTTTGAGACGGAGTCTCGCTCTGTCACCCAGTCTGGAGTGCAGTGGCGGGATCTCGGCTCACTGCAAGCTCCGCCTCCCAGGTTCACGCCATTCTCCTGCCTCAGCCTCCCAAGTAGCTGGGACTACAGGCGCCCGCCACTACGCCCGGCTAATTTTTTGTATTTTTAGTAGAGACGGGGTTTCACCGTTTTTAGCCGGGATGGTCTCGATCTCCTGACCTCGTGATCCGCCCGCCTCGGCCTCCCAAAGTGCTGGGATTACAGGTGTGAGCCACCGCGCCCGGCCAACACCCTCTTTCTTAAACAACCAGTCATTTTATTCTAGGACAAAATTTACCGTACGAGATTCTTTCTCGTATAAAATTATTTCTCTTTAAGCTTTCTTACCAAAAAAATACCTCTTTTTTCTATAACTTTCTTTACATCTCTCTTATTTCCTGGTTCCTTTTACCTTGTTTTATACATAACCTCTAAATAAGCTTTGAATTAGACAAAAACAATTCACCTTTTTAAAAGGACATTTTTTTAGAAAGCATGTTTTCCTACAATATATTTTTACTGGAAAATACCCAAATAATGAAATATCTACTGTTTAATTTAACTTTAGATTCTAAATTATGATTCTAAGTATGCCTATAGGTATTTATCCCATTAAATGTACCTAATTATTTTATTTTAATCATTTACCTAGATTATTTGTGAAAACTGTGAGAGTCGTCATTTAAACTTATGAAACCACTATAACTGAGACAGTGAAAAAGATCTGGCCTAACTTACTCCATCTTGCTTCTAACCTCCAAGCTATCCTTATTTATTCCTGGGCATAGGCCGAACTAACTTTGGGAGGAACTTAGTTTATAGTTTAGGTTTGAAACAAAGATGCTAACTGTCCTTTCCCAAAACAAATCTCCTTTCTGCCTGTGGACTAGGCTGCTAAAGCCACAAGATTAGAAGTTATGGTAATTTTACTAGATAATTCAAGATGACTATTTTCACTAAACCAATAACAATGTCTTATTTATTAAAAATTACACAAGCAAAGATCATTCAGTTTGGGGCTGAGTTTATAGTTTCGTAACCCTGATGCCAAATTTTGACACCTTATAGTATTTGGCAGGGATAAGTACGCAATTGCTTAATCAATAAATGCAAACAAAAATGTATGCTGGAAATTCTTAAGACATTTCTAATATTACTTTACCAATAATTTCAAAGCTAGCTTATTTATTAAAGATTTTACTTAAGTCATGTAAACTTGAAAAAGCATTTGACTAGTATTTCCTTTTTTCTGGTAAAGTATTTGATTTAAGTGCTTTTAGTTTCCTTTAAGCCAATTAATTAGAGCTCTTTTATATATTTTTAGTAGTGAAACGTGTACACAACACATAAATACATAAATGTATTAGGCATACCAATAGAAGTACATCTTATAGATTCCTAAGACCTTTTTTTTTCTTACCTTAGACTTTCAAACTCTTGATAACCTGTTTCATTACCCTGGCAGTTGTCAGGTAAATAGCCCTAAGTCTGCATATTGAAGGAAATAACTCTTAGAAGAAAAATCAAATGGCAAAATTTACATCTCAAGGTACAGAGAGAAAAAATCTGGTGGAGCTAGAGGGAGATTAAAGATGAATGCCAAATCAAACATGAAATTATAGAAATCTATGATAGGATTGTATAAGGAGACCAATTTTATTTAGGTGGGAACTACCTATCTTTTAACTAGATCTCTGAGCTCTGGGCAGAGCCCACACTGAATCCTGGGTCTCCAAAAAGGGAGAGTTGACGCTAGAACACGTGATGCTTTTACAGGACACTTAAAATTTTTTTCAGTCAAAGACATTTCTAAGTGTCTACACTACAGTCTTCCTTAAAAACCCAAGAGTAGCCTCTGTTACAATAGCTATTTTAGTCAAAAAATCAGGTAACACAATACAAAAGCAAGCAGTTTAAGAGCTGAGACAAACTTGTCTGTTTACACTCTTGGGATTCCATAAGGAAAAACAGGGAGCCTGGTGCCTTCCCCATTTTCTTTAAGGAAATCCAGGCTATTATAAACTATTTTAGGTCCCTCATGCAGCAGAACATGCAAGAGAAAGGAGAGACAGCAGAAGTAAATGGAGAAAATAGAATTAAATCAACTGAGAAGAAAAACCTTTGCTCAAAAAAAGACAAGGTCCTAGGAGAGGGAAAAAAACAAAAACATGAAAGCCTCTTAAACGCACACACACACACGCACACATATACACATGCACACACACACACATGCACACATACACACGTGCATACATGCACACATGCACATACAGGCACACGCATACACATACACACATGCACACATACACATACACACATGCACACACACACGCACACACATATACACATGCACACACATACACACATGCACACACATACACACACATGCACACACACACGCACACACATACACATGCACACATACACATGCACACATACAAACACACATGCATACATATACACATGCACACATACACATGCACACATACACACACACATGCATACATACACACACATCTTGGATGTTATCTTCAATTAAGCTGACTTTTAACCACTGAGCTCCTATTAAAAAAATCTTTTTAAACCTCATTACCATATTTTAGCTAGGACAAATTGCTGCTATTTCAGAAGTACAAGTATCAAACCAGAAAGGGCTTGATTTAGGAACCAAACCCAGGCTGTCATAGTGGAAAAAAAGAAGGCAGAACCTTAGCTATGAAACTGCAGCATGGGGCGACAGCCATCGCTCTTTCAGTTTGGACTGGCTAGCAAAAACATAGCCCTGTTGTGTAAATAAATAAAGCCCCTTAAGTGGCCAAAATAAAAAATCTTTCCTTTTTTTTTTTTTTTTTCCTTGTGCTGGCTATTTTTCTCTCCCCACCACATCACCTTTTGTGTGTGGGGGTGGGGGGTGGAATTTAGCCAGTTCAGAGGACCTGTTCCCCATAATTTGGAACTTTCCTTCAGATTTGATCAAGGAAAAACACCAAAACAAAAACAAAAACAAACAATAAAAAAAATTAAGTGAAACAAATAATCACACAATGTGTGTGATTACTGAGTGCTCAAATGGTAAGGAGAAATTAAGACCAGCTGGTTGTTAATCTTAACTTTAGCCAAAACAAACCTCCATTCAGTTACTTAGATAGGGATGGGTCTCAGGCGAAGACTGCTCTCTACCATCCTAGAAGCAGGAAAAAACTCAAAACTCATCTTCCCTGTTGGGAGTGAGTTCAAACTCCATAAAAAAGTTGCCTGCCTTCCATCGTGATGGAAGCAGGAAAAACTTGCCTTCCTTGTGCTGGAAGCAAGTAAAACTCCACAAAAGGAGTCGTACAGCAAAATAAAATTTAGATCTCGACCAAATTTTGGGAGATCAGGGATTTTCCGGAGGGGTTGCTTCCAGGCCTCAGCAAATTGTTCCATTGGTTTGAGCCATAAAGATAGCTCAAGCTGGTACCAAGCACGAATTGGAGATGTGTCAAACGTCAGGGGCACCTCCACTCAGAATCCCTTCGTGGTTACCAAAATGTGAACCCAGAATATCTGAGACAGGTCTCAGTTGATTTAGAAAGTTTACTCTGCCAGGGTTGAGGATGCACGCCTGTGACACAGCCTCAGGAGGTCCTGATGACATATGCCCAAGGTGGTCGGGGCACAGCTTGGTTTTACATATTTTAGGGAGACATGAGACATAAATCAATATATGTAGGATGTACATTGGTTCCATTCAGAAAGTCAGGACAACTCGAAGCAGGGAGGGGGCTTCCAGGTCACAGTTAGATGAGAGACAAACAGTTGCATTCTTTTTTTTTTTTTTTTTTTTAATTGAGACAGAGTCTCACTCTGTCGCCCAGGCTGGGGTGCAGTGGCGCAATCGCGGCTCACTGCAAGCTCCGCCCGCCGGGTTCACGCCACTCTCCTGCCTCAGCCTCTCCGAGTAGCTGGGACTACAGGCGCCCGCCACCACGCCCGGCTAATTTTTTGTATTTTTAGTAGAGACAGGGTTTCACCATGGTCTCTATCTCCTGACCTTGTGATCCGCCCGCCTCCGCCTCCCAAAGTGCTGGAATTACAAGCCTGAGCCACCGCGCCCAGCCGACGGTTGCATTCTTTTGAGTTTCTGATGAGCCTCTCCAAAGGAGGCAATCAGATATGCATTTATCTCAGTGAGCAGAGGGATGACTTCGAATAGAATGGGAGGCAGGTTTACCCTAAGCAGTTCCCAGCTTGACTTTTCCCTTTAGCTTAGTGATTTGGGGGCCCAAGATTTATTTTCCTTTTACAGAGTGAAGATATAATCTACAGAATGGGAGAATATATTTGCAAACCATACGTGTGGTAAGGGATTAAGATCCAAAATATATAAGAAACTCAACTCAATAGTAAGAAAACAACCTGATATGAAAATGGACAAAGGGCCTCAATAGACATTTCACAAAAGAAGACATACAAATGGCCAACAGGTGTATGAAAAAATGCTCAACATCACTAAACATCAGGAAAATGCAAATTAAAACCACAGTGAGATATCCCCTCACACCTGTTAGAATGGCTCTTATCGAAAATACAAAAGATAAATGTTGGCAAGGATGTGGAGAAAAGAGAAATCTTGTACACTGTTGTACAAGGTACAATATACAAGAATGTACATTTGGTACAACCATTATGGAAAACAGCATGGAAGTTCCTCAAAAAATTAAAAATAGAATTTCCATATGATCCAGCAATCCCAACATTGAGTATAAATCCAAAGGATATGAAATCAGTATGTCAAAGAGATATCTGCACTCCCATGTTCTACAGTATTACAAGAATCAAGTTAGGAATCAACCTAAGTGTCCATTGATAGATGAACAAATAAAATACAGTATGTGTACACAATGAAATATTATTCAGCTTTAAAAAGAATAAAATCCTGTCATTTGCAACAATGTGGATAAACTGAGAGGACATCACATTAAGTAAAATAAGCCAGGCACAGAAAGAAAAATACGTAATCTCACTTGTATATAGAGTGTAAAAAAGTCAAACTTATAGAAGCAGAGAGTAAAATAGCGGTTCCCAGATGCTGGAGGTTGGGGGATTGGGAAGATATTGGTCGCAGGACACAAAATTTCAGTGAAATAAGAGGAATAAGTTCAAGAGATCTATTGTACATCATGGTGACTACAGTTGATAACAATGTGTTATATACTTGCAAATCCCTAAGACAGTTGATTTTAAGTGTTCTCACCACACACAAAAAAAATGATAAGTATGTGGCATGATGCATATGTTCAATAATTTGATTTAGCCATTCCATAGTGTGTCACAACATCAGGTTGTACACCACAAATATATACAATTTCTACTTGTCAATTAAAAAATAAATAAAATATATTGACACAGGAAATATGTACTTAAGTTCCTTAAAAGTCTTTTTTTTTTCTTTTTTTGGAGATGGAGTCTCACTGTGTCACCCAGGCTGGAGTGCAGTGGCGCAATCTCGGCTCACTGCAACCTCTGCTTCCCATGTTCAAGCAATTCTCCTGCCTCAGCCTGCCAAGTAGCTGGGACTACAGGCACATGTCGCCACACCCGGCTAATTTTTTTGTATTTTAAGTAGAAACGGCGTTTCACTGTGTTGCCCAGGCTGGTCTCGAACTCCTGAGCTTAGGCAATCCACCCGCCTCAGCCTCCCAAAGTGCTAGGATTACAGGCATGAGCCACCGCATCCAACCTAAAAGTTTTAATTTATGCTACATTATTCAAAATAATAATATTTTCAAAACAAAAGAAAAAAATGTGTGCAAAATGTTTAAAGGAATAAAGGCCACTGTTACAACTAACAGAGATCACTGGGAAAATATCAATAAAAGGACCCATGAAAAGACTACAAGCAACAATTCCTCAGGTCCAGTGAGCACCATAAGCATCTGATCTTAAAGACCGAATCCTTCCAGCCAGTAGCTCTTTAGAGAAGTGGCTGATTCGAGGTGCAGGACAGGGGGTGCCCAACATAGGTCAGGGCATCTGTGCTAAAATCAAGGAAGAAGCCAAAGACTGGTTCTTGCCAAAAAGACATGGAAGCTGGCCGGGCATGGTGGCTCATGCCTGTAATCCCAGCACTTTGGGAGGCCGAGGCGGGTGGATCACCTGAGGTCAGGAGTTCAAGACCAGCCTGGTCAACATGGTGAAACCTCATCTCTACTAAAAATACAAAAATTAGCCGGGTGTGGTAGCATGCACCTGTAATCCCAGCTACTAGAGGGGCTAAGAGGCAGGAGAATCGCTGGAACCCAGGAGGTGGAGGTTGCAGTGAGCCAAGATCGCACCATTGCACTCCAGCCTGGTTAAAAGAGTGAGACTCTGTCTCAAAAAAAAAGACACAGAAGCCAGCTTGACACCACATTTGATGACAATTTGCATAAAGCAAAGTTCATCCGTAGTGGCATTCATAAAAAGAGAAAGAAAAAAACGGTGAGGAGCTTTTTGTGAAAGAATGCCAGTTAATTCACCTAGAAGTCACGGATTTAGAAAATCACAATTTTGCAACCACCAGTATAACAACTGATTCAGGTGAAGGTCATTAGTGAATAACAGCACCAGGTAAAATATGGTTGGATGGAGCAGAATCATCACTGCCCCACCTACTTGCCTCAGACTCTCCACTCACTATGCCCCAGGTGACTTCCCATTGCCATTTCAGCATCTCCACCCTGAGGGCATTTTGCC
This sequence comes from Homo sapiens, assembly GCF_000001405.40. Classification (NCBI taxonomy): domain Eukaryota; kingdom Metazoa; phylum Chordata; class Mammalia; order Primates; family Hominidae; genus Homo; species Homo sapiens. The sequence goes on from NC_000014.9 coordinate 101,687,952, forward strand.
CACACATAGGGGAAGCGGAAGTGCCGGGCTATTAACAACCCTCTGAAACAGCTTGCGCCAATGACTGATGAAAGTTGGTGCATAAATATTTCGGCTCCCTTGGCCCTCCTCCAAGTGAGATAACTCTAAGGTGTGTGTGTTACACAACTTCCCAGCATCTCCCAACAGTGTTAAGCTCTGGTTTCCCTGTGGTGGCTGGCTTAATGACACAACTTTGATTGGCTGTATCCCCTTCCAGGTATCACTTCTTCACCCAAATAAACATCCTGCTCTCAAATTTTCATCTCAGGATCAACTTTGGGAAGGATGCAATCTACAACCTTGGTGTCAGTGACAGAGCAGAAGCACTGCCATCTTGGACAAACGCCACCATTTTAAATTCCAGCTCCCTTTCTAACCTCATGCATTTCAAGGAAATCACTTCTTTTCTAACAACAAGCAGCCAGAAAGAGCAGACGGTAAAACACAGATAAGACAGCTCAGGCAGGGAGAGAGAGGGGAAAGTCTCTTGGGTAACCACCAAGCTTCACACCCATACAATGGGACCCAGCAAAACAGTGGGTCCAAATAAGCACATTCCTTTCTTTTCAGGTGCACTAAGATAGGGAAGCTAAAAGTAAACTCGGGGGTATGCCTGCAGGTGCAGGAAGATGTATGGGAACAGACACAAAACTCTCCCTCCCAGATAAGCAAGACAAAGAGACACAGGACATTTCAAGCCTGTGATAAGCTCTCCCACCCTGAACCCTTAAATACTCTTAGTCTGTAAGAGAGACTGCTCCCAACCTAACTCGGCCAGAAGGCCCTCTCAGGTTTACTCTCTGAAATAAACCTGTCTTTGACTACTCAGCCACTTTTCATGTTTCTTTCTTCTTCAATTCTTACAGCCAGGAGTAGGAGGCAGATCCTCTAGTGGGACCCTGGAATGAGACCACTAGCCACAGGGCCGCTGGTGTTGAGAGGTGACAACGTGCTAGCAGCCGTCGCTTGCTCTAGGTGCCTCCTGGGCCTCGGCATCCACTCTGGCCATGCTCCAGGAGCTCTTCAGCCCGCCACTGCACTGTGGGGGCCCCTCTCTGGGCTGGCCGAGGCCGGAGCCGGCTCCCTCTGCTTGCCAGGAGGTGTGGAGGGAGAGGCACAGGCGGGAACCAGGGCTGCGCGCCGAGCTCGCGGGCCAGCACGAGTTCCAGGTGGGCGGGGCTCAGCAGGCCCCGCACTGGGAGTGGCCAGCCCACACCACCTGCCTGGGCAGTGAGGGGCTTAGCACCTGGGCCAGCAGCTGCGGAGGGTGCACCAGGTCCCCCAGCACTGCCAGCCTGCCCATGCTGTGCTCCAATTCACACCGGGCCTCAGCCGCCTCCCCACGGGGCAGGGCTCAGGACCTGCAGCCGGCCATGCCCAAGCCCCACCCCTCACCCCTGTGGGCTCCCCAGCGGCCCGAGCCACCTCAACGGTGCCACCTCCTGCTCCGGGGTGCCCGCCTGGTCCCATCGACTGCCCAAGGGATAAGGAGTGTGGGCCACAGTGCGGGACTGGCGGGCATCTCCGCCCACAGCTCTGGCGCAGGATCCACTAGGTGAAGCCAGCTGGGCTCCTGAGTGGGGTGGGGACTTGGAGAACTTTTATGTCTGGATGGAGGATTGTAAATGCACCAATCAGCACTCTGTGTCTAGCTCAGGGTTTGTGGATACGCCAATCAGCACTCTGTATCTAGCTAATCTGGTGGGGACTTGGAGAACTTTTATGTCTAGCTGGAGGATTGTAAATGCACCAATCAGCACCCTGTGTCTAGCTCAAGGTTTATAAACACACCAATCAGTGCTCTGTGTCTAGTTAATCTAGTGTGGACTTGGAGAACTTTTAGGTCTAGCTAGAGGATTGTAAATACACCAATCAGCACTCTGTCTAGCTCAGGGATTGTAAATGCACTGATTAGCAACCTGTCAAAACGGACCAATCAGCGCTCTATAAAGAGGACCAGTCAGTGCTCTATAAAACGGACCAATCAGCTCTCTGTAAAATGGACCAATCAGCAGGATGTGGGTGGGGTCAGATAAGGGAATAAAAGCAGGCTGCCCAAGACAGCAGCGCAACCTGTTCGGGTCCCATTCCACAGCGTGGAGGATTTGTTCTTTCACTCTTTGCAATACATCTTGCTGCTCGTTCTTCGGGTCCACAATGCCTTTAGGAGCTGTAACACTCACGTGAAGGTCTGCAGCTTCACTCCTGAGGCCAGCAAGACCACGAACCCACCAGGAGGAATGGACGACTCCAGACGCGCCACCTTAAGAGCTGTAACACTCACCATGAAGGTCTGCAACTTCACTCCTGAAGCCAGCAAGACCACGAACCCACCAGAAAGAAAAAACTCTGAACACATCCAAACATCAGAAGGAACAAACTCCGGACACACCATCTTTAAGAACTGTAACACTCACGGCGAGGGTCCACAGCTTCATTCTTGAAGTCAGTGAGACTAATAACCCACCAATTCTGGACACAGTGTGAGTGGGGTTGTCATCACCCTATGGGGCATGTCACAGCATTGCCATCACAAGCTGTCACATATGCTGAACTGGGAGAAGATACAGGGAAAAAAGGTTGTACCTTCCTGTATTAGTCAGTTCTTGCACTGCTATAAAGAAAGACCGGGTAATTTATAAAGAAAAGAGGTTTAATTGGCTCATGGTTCCACAGGCTGTACAGGAAGCATGGCTGGGGAAGTGAAGGGGAAGCAGGCACATCTTCACATGGTTGGAGCAGGAGGAAGAGAACGAAGGGGCAGGTGTTACCCACTTTTAGACAACCAAATCTCCTGAGGACTCACTCACTATCACAAGAACAGCAAGGGGGAAATCCACCCTGTGATCCAATTACCTCCCACCGAACCCCTCTGCCAACAATAGGGAGTACAATTCAACATGAGATTTGGGCGGGGACACAAATCCAAACCCTATCCATTCCCATTTGTGAAATGTCCGTAGCATGTGAAAGATGCCGAGGGAATGGGGAGTTTTAAGTGCGGTGGAGGTGTCTGTGTGCTGTGAAGTGCCTGAGATGTGAGGCAGGGGAGAAAATGATGGCTCAAGTCAACCAACCACTAACACATGGAATGACGTAAGAGGCAGAGGCCTCTATGAAAACGCAGAAAGTGACCTCTTCTCCTGTCGATGGAGGGCAAGACCTAATGCTGAGGGGGATAGAATTACAGAGAAGCCCAACCTCATATCCCTGGCAAATCTCTGCCACCTGCAAGGCTCTGCCAGGGGAGATGTGGGACCCTAAAACCAGGGAAAGAGACATCGGATGGGTGCATTTGGGAAATTTGAACACCCAGAGTCCCCCGTATCCTCCAGTCCTGTGGAAATCATGCACACCGCTTGTTAAAGGGTAGCTGCCTCCTTTCACCTAAAGCCCATTCCTGAGGCAAATGCTTTGCACGATGGTTCTTGCCTTCCTCAAGATCTGCACAGCTTCCTCCCCTAACAGCTTCTAGGACAATAAATAAGGTAAAGTCTCAACTTGGCCCATCTTAGATTGGCCCAGGAATCAGGTCAACTGTGGCAAAAAGCAAAACCAGCGAGATACGAGTGGTCATGGGAGTCTGAGATAATAAAATCCAAGACTAAGGGCCTCAAAAAGGCTGGATCCTGCAGCTTCACAATTGAGAGGCTAAATAATTCACCAAATTTAGAAAAGCAAAGTGGAATATCCTTCAACCTCATGGTGCTTAGGTGACAAAGACCTACTGGAGAAGGCCCCAGAGGACGAGTGAGAGTTGAAAACCTCCAGGAGTATAAGCCGACACTAACAAGCTGCAACCACTTTCTCCTGGGAGCACTTGCCAATCTGGGTGCAACTAAGGGCTAATAAAGACGCTTCTAGACAAAAAAGAAACCTAAGGGAATCTGTTGTCAGTACGGTCTGCATTAAAAGAAATAATAGAGTTCCTCAGATCGATGGAAATGATGCAAACCAAAACAACATGGAAACTCAGGCAGGAATGAAGAGCACTAGATAGAATGATTGTATGATCAAATCTACATGAATATTGACTGTGCCAGGCAAAACTAGAAATATTGTGTCGGGTTTAAAATCCATGCAGAAAGAAAATACGTTACAATAATAAAGCAAAAAGTGGGGAGGAATCATGGAGTTAAAAATATTGTGATGGATTGGCATTATTGGTGAAACGAAAGAGTAAACATCTGTACTAGATCACAAGTCAAGAATACGCACTGTGGCCAGTTGCAGTGGCTCACGCACTTTCGGAGGCCGAGGCGGGTGGATCACCTGAGGTCAGGAGTTCAAGACCAGCCTGACCAACATGGTGAAACCCCATCTCTACTAAAAATACAAAAAATTAGCTGGGCGTGGTGGCGGGCACCTGTAATCCCAGCTACTCGGGAAGCTGGGGCAGGAGAATCACTTGAACCCGAGAGGCAGAGGTTGCAGTGAGCTGAGATCGCACCATTGCACCATTGTCGCCTGGGTGACAAGATCAAGACTCTGTCTCAAAAAATATATATATGTGCTGTAATCTCTAGGGTAACTTTTAAAAGGCTAGTAAGAGAATATATAACTTACAAGCAAATAGAAGGAAAAATAGAATAATTGTAAAAATTGAAAAAAAGCCAGAGAGGAGAAAAAAGAACATAAAACAAGTGAGTAAAATACAAAATGAATAATCGTATCATAGATATAAACCTAACTATATTAGTAATCACAAGAAAAATATTAAGATTGTCAGACGTGATAAAGAAACAACCCAAACATACATTATGTAGAAGAGACACAGCCGAGCGCTATGGCCTGTAATCCCAGCAACTCAGGAGGTTGAGGTGAGAGGATAGCTTGAGGCCAGGAGTTTGAGACAAGCCTGGGCAACACTGCAAGACTCCATCTCTACAAAAAAAATTTCAGCCAGGTGTGGTGGCTCACACCTGTAATCCCAACACTTTGGGAGGCCAAGATGGGTGGATCACCTGAAGTCAGGAGTTTGAGACCAGCCTGGCCAATATGGTGAAACCCCACCTCTACTAAAAATACAAAAAATTAGCCAGGCGTGGCGGCGAGTGCCTGTAATCCCAGCTACTCGGGAGGCTGGGGCAGGAGAATCGCTTGAACCCAACAGGCGGAGGTTGCAGTGAGCCGAGATCGCACCATTGCACCATCATCGCCTAGGCGACAAGAGTGAGACTCCGTTTCAAAAAAAAAAAACAAGTGCTGTAATCTCTAGGGTAACTTTTAAAAGGCTAATAAGAGAATATATAACTTACAAGCAAATAGAAGGAAAAATAGAATAATTGTAAAAATTGGGAAAAAGCCAGAGAGGAGAAAAAAGAACATAAAACTGGTGAGTGAAATACAAAATGAATAATCATATCATAGATACAAACCTAAGTATATTAGTAATTACAAGAAAAAAATATTGTCAGACGTGATAAAGAAACATCCCAAACATACATTATGTAGAAGAGACACAGCCAAGAGCTACGGCCTGTAATCCCAGCAATTCAGGAGGCTGAGGCAAGAGGATAGCTTGAGGCCAGGAGTTTGAGACAAGCCTGGGCAACATAGCAAGACTCCATCTCTACAAAAAAACTTTCGGCCAGGCGCAGTGGCTCACACCTGTAATCCCAACACTTTGGGAGGCCGAGTGGGTGGATCACCTGAGGTCAGGAGTTCAAGACCAGCCTGGCCAACATGGTGAAACCCTGTTCCTACCAAAAATTCAAAAAATTAGCCAGACGTGGTGACACATGCCTGTAGTCCCAGCTACTCAGGAGGCTGAGGCAGGAGAATTGTTTGAACCCGGAAGGCAGAGGTTGCAGTGAGCCGAGATCAAGCCACTGTACTCCAGCCTGGGTGACAGAGCAAAACTCCATCTCAAAAGAAAAATTTTTTTCAATAATCTGGACATGGTGATACGTGCCTATAGTCCCAGTTTCTTGGAAGGCTGAGGTGGGAGGATTGCTTGAGTCCAGGAGTTTGAGGTTGCAGTGAGCTATGATTCTGCCCCTGCACTCCAGCCTGGGTGACAGAGCAAGGCCCTGTCTCTAAAAAAATAAGATGTACAACTTTAATGTAAATTTAAGATCACAAACAAGTTGAAAAAAAGGGGTGAGAAAAGGCCTAGTAGGCAAACACAAAATGGAAAGAGCAGGTACAACTATGCTAATACCAGATAAGATTTAAGGCAAGAACCATTACTAGAGGAAAAGAAGGACTTTTCACCAAAACAAAGAGGTCAATCCACCAAGAATATATCAACATCCTAAATCTAGAGGCCCTAAAGAACACAATTTGGAATAAGTGAAACAAAAATTGGCATAATTAGCAGGAAAAATAGACAAATTCATTATCAGAATATAAGATTTTAAAACTGCTGTAACGGCCAGGCGCAGTGGCTCACACCTGTAATCCCAGCACTTCAGGAGGCCGAGGCAAGTGGATCACTTGAGGTCAGGAGTTCAAGATCAGCCTGGGCAATGTGGTGAATCCCTGTCTACTAAAAATACAAAAAATTAGCTGGGCGTGGTAGCACATGCCTGTAGTCCAGCTACTCGGGAGGCTGAAGCACAAGAATTGCTCAAACCTGGGAGGTGGAGGCTGCAGTGAGCCAAGATCATGCCACTGCACTCTAGCCTGGGTGACAGAGCAAGATCCTGTCTCAAAAAAAAAAAACTGCTATAACTACCAAAACAAACCAAAAAATAAGTAAAGATATGAGAGCTAAGCAACAAATCAGCAAGCTTGACTTACATGACATGTATATGAAACTCTGCATGTTAGCCCTACTACCTAGGCACTGAACAGATGTCTATCTGCTGAAGGATGAATAAATAGTGTTCTACTTGCACAATGCAATAGTATTCAGCAATGAGAACCAACAAAATGCAACTACACACAATATGGACAAATCTCAAACCAATGGTATTGAGAGAAGAAGACAGAAGAGTACGTACAAAATTATTCTATTTATGAAAAGTTCAAACAGACAAAATTATTATATAATAATCTGTAGTGTTAGACATCTATAGAGAGATCACCCTTTGGGAGGTTTAAAAACCATAAGATGGCTTAAGTGGGGCCCCTGGTGGTTTGGTAATTATTATCTTTCTTGATCTGCATGCTGGTTACAGAAGTGTGTCTATTTAATAAAATCCATCAAACTGTACACCTGTATCTTGTGTAGCTTTATACATGTAACACTTGAACAAAAACTTTTTTAGATGGAGATGCTCTATATAATCCCTAGAATACTTCTTTGTAAAGAGTAATGGCTTCAAGAGAGGTGGCCTAATGTGATGGTTAGGAGCACACACTTCAGAGCTAGCATCTGTATTTGGAAACCTATATTCTGCCTGTCTAGCCATGTCACTATGGAAGATCTGAAACTCTGATTTCTTTCATCTCACAGCTTTTTACTACCTCAAACGTTGTTCAAAGATTAGGGTAAGTGATCTGAATGATACCATGCACATATTTGTTTATGTTAAAAGATAATTCTTTCTGCAACAAGTTTTGGATATTCCCAATAGGAAAAAGGGGAGGGAGGCTGGCAGGCATAGTGGCTCATGTCTGTAATCTCAGCACTTTGGGAGGCCGAGGTGGACATCAATGAACATCTAGGAAAACATGACATTACCAAATGAACTAAATAAGACACCAATGACCAATTCTAGAGTAACAGACATATATGACAGAGAATTAAAAATAGTTGTTTTGAGGAAACACAACAAAAGTCAAGATAACACAGAGAAGGAATTCAGAATCCTATCATAAATGTAACCAACAAATTGAAATAATTTTTAAAAATCAAGCAGAAATCCTGAAGCTGAAAAATTCAACTGACATACTGCAGAGTGCATCAGAGTCTCTCAAGAGCAGAATTGATCAAGCAGGAAGAATTAGTGAGCTTGAAGACAGGCTGTTTGAAAATAGTCAGAGGAGACAAAAGAAAAAAGAATAAAAAAGAATGAAGCATGCTTACAAGATGTAGAAGATAGCCTCAAAACGGAAAATCTAAGTTATTGACCTTAAAGAGGAAGTAGAGAGATTAGGATAGAAAGTTTACTCAAAGGGATAATAATAAAGAACTTTCCCAATCTACTGTAATATATCCATAGTCAAGTACAAGAAGGTTATAGAACACCAGGCCAATTTAGCCAAAATAAGACTACTTCAAGACATTTAATAATCAAACTCCCAAATGTGAAGGATAATGAAAGGATCCTAAAAGCAGCAAGAGAAAAGAAACAAATAACATACAAAGGAGCTCCAATACATCTGGTAGCAGACTTCCCAGTGGAAAACTTACAGGCCAGGAGAGAGTGGCATGACATATTTAAAGTGCTGAAGAAACTTTTATCTTGGATAGTAAATCCAGCAAAAATATCCTTCAAACATCAAGAAGAAATACTTTCCCAGGCAAACAAAAGCCAAGGGATGTCATCAATACCAGACCTGTCCTACAAGAAATGTTAAGGGGAGTTCTTCAATCTGAAAGAAGAGGACATTAACAATAAGAAATTATCTGAAGGTACAAAACTTATTGGTAATATTCTTAATATTGTACACAAACACACAGTATTATAACACTGTAATTATGGTATGTAAACTACTCATATCTTGAGTAGAAAGACAAAAAGATGAACCTATCAAAAATAATAACTACAACAACTTTTTAAGATACAGACAGTATAATAAAATATAAATAGAAAAAAAGTTTAAACGTAGGGGGGATGAAGTTAAAGTGTAGTTTTTATTCATTTTCTCTTTGCCTATTTGTTAGTTTGTTTTTGCAATTAGTGTTGTCATCAGTTTAAAATAACGGCTTTTAAGATGTTTTTTGCAAGCCTTATGGTAATCTCAAATCAAAACACCTACAACAGATACACAAAAATCAAGAAATTAAAACATACCACCAGAGAAAATCACCTTCACAAAAAGGAAGACAGGAAGGAAGAGAAGACCCCAAAACAACCAGAAAACAAGTAACAAAATGGCAGTAATAAGTCCTTACTTATCCATAACACCATTGAATGTAAATGGGCTAAACTCGTTAATCAAAACACACAGAGTAGCTGAATGGATTTTATAAAAACAAGACCCAATGATCTGTTGCCTACAAGAAACACACATAAGGACACATATAGACTGAAAATAAAGGGATGGAAAAAGATGTTCCATGCAAATGGAAACCAAAAAAAGGGTAGCAGTAGCTATACTTCTATCAGATTAAATAATATCAAGACAAAAATCTATAAAAAGAGATGAAGTTTACTATATAATGATAGGGGCAATGCAGCATGAGGATATAACAGTTGCAAATATATATACACCCCACACTGGAGCCTCAAGATATATAAAGCAAATATTATTAGATCTAAAGAGAGAGATAGACCCCAATACAATAATAGCTGGAGACTTTAATGCCCCACTTTCAGCATTGGACAGATCATCCAGAGAGAAAATCAACAAACAAACATCAGACTTAATCTGCACCATAGAACAGAAGAACCTAACAGATATTTACAGAACATATCATCCAATAGCTCCAGAATACACACTCTTCTCCTCAGCACATGGATCATGCTCAATGATAGACCATATGTTAGGTTACAAAACAAATCTTTAAAATTTCAAAGAAACTGAAATTATATCAAGTATATTCTCTGCCCACAATGGAACAAAACTAGAAATCAATAACAAGAGAAACTTTGGAAACTGTACAAACACATGGAAATTAAACAATATGTTCTTGAATGACCAGCAGGTCAATGAAGAAATTAAGATGAAAATTTAAAATTTTCTTGAAGAAATGACAATAGAAACACAACATACCAAAACCTATGGGATACAGCCAAAACAATACTCAAAGGAGGGTTTACAGCAATAAGCACCTACATCAAAAAAGCAGAAAAATTTCAAATAAACAACCTAATATTGCATCTTAAAGAACTGCAAAAGCAAGAGCAAACAAACCCAAAATTAGTAGAAGAAAGAAAGAATAAAAATCAGAGCAGAAATAAATGAAATTGAAATAAAAAATGTACAAAAGATCAATAAAACAAAAAGTTGGCTTTTTGAAAAGATAAACAAAACCAACAAACCCTTAACCAGACTAAGAAAAAAAGAAAGATGACCCAAATAAATAAAATCAGAGATGAAAAAGGAGACATTACACCTGATACCGCAGAAATTCAAAGGATGATTAGAGACTACTATGATCAACTATATGCCAATAAATTGAAAAACCTAGAAGAAATGGATAAGTTCCTAGACACATACAATCTACAAAGATTGAGCCATGAAGAAATCCAAAATGTGAATAGATCAATAACAAGTAATGAGATCAAAGCCGTAATAATAAAAAAAAAATCTCCGAGCAAAGCAAAACCCAGGACCCAATGGCTTCACTGCTAAATCTTACCAAACATTTAAAGAAGAACTAATACCAATCCTACTCAAAGTATTCCAAAAAACAGAGGAAGAGAGAATACTTCCAAACTCATTCTATGAGGCCAGTATTACCCTGATATGAAAACCAGACAAAGACACATGAAAAAAAGAAAATTACAGGCCAATATCCCCAATGAACATTGATGCGAAAATACTCAACACAATACCAGCAAACAAATTCAGCAGCACATTAAAAAGATCATTCATCATGACCAAGTGGGATTTATCCCAAGACTGCATGCATGGAACAACATACACAGGTCAATCGATGTGATAGATCATATCAGCATAATAAAGGAGAAAAACCATATGATCATTTCAACTGATGCTGAAAAAGCATTTGATAAAATTCCATATCCTTTCATGATTTGAAAAAAAAAACTCAAAAACTGGGTATAAAAGGCACATGCCTCAACACAATAAAAAGCATGGCTTTCATGTTGAGATATGTTCCTTCTATACCCAGTTTTTGCATCCTTCAACTTTCATATATAATATATATGTATATATATATATATATATATATATATATATATATATATATATATATATAAGTTGATCATACTAATATCATAGTGAATGCGGAAAAATGAAAGCCTTTTCTCTAAGATCTGGAACAAGACAAGGATGCCCACTTTCATCGCTGTTATTCAACATAGTACTGGAAGTCCTAGCTAGAGTAATCAGACAAAAGAAAGAAATAAAAGGCATTCAAAATGGAAAGGAAGAAGTGAAATTATTTTTATTTGCAGATAATATGATCTTATACTTGAAAAAAACGAAAGACTCCACCAAAAGGCTATTAGAACTGATAAACAAATTTAGTAAAGTTGCAGAATACAAAATCAACATACAAAAATCAGTAGCATTTTTATATGCTAACAGCAAACAATCTGAAAAAGAAATCAAGAAAGTAATCCCATTTACAATAGCTACAAATTAAACAAAATACCTAGGAATAAACTTAACCAAGGAAGTGAAAAATCTTTACAATAAAAACTTTTATGCAAGATATTGAAGAGGACACCAAAAAATGGAAAGATATTCCATGTTCATGGATTAGAAGAATCAATATTATTAAAATGTCCATGCTACCCAAAGCAATCTACAGATTCAGTGCAATCTCTATTAAAGTACTAATGAAATTCCTCACAGAAATAGAAAAAAAATCCTAAAATTTATATGGGACCACAAAAGGCCCAGAACAGTCAGAACCATCATGAGGAAAAAAAAAAAAAAAAAAAAACTGGAGGAATCCCATTACCTGATTTTAAATTATACTACAGAGCTATAGCAATGAAGTAACAAAAACAGGATGGTACTGACATAAAAACAGACACATAGACCAATGGAACAGAATAGAGAACCCAGAAATAAATCCATACAGCCACAGTGAACTCATTTTCAACAAAGCTTTCAAGAACATGTATTGAGAAAGGGATTGTCTCGTCAGTAAATTGTGCTGGGAAAACTGGATGTTCATATGCAGAAGAATGAAACCAGATCGCTCTCTCACCATACACAAAAATCAAATCAAAATGGATTAAAGACTTAAATCTAAAACCTGAAACTATGAAACTACTAAAAGAAAACATAGGAGAAACTCTCCAGGACATTGGTACGAACAAAGATTTCTTGAGTAATACTTCACAGGCACAGGCAACCGAAGCAAAAAATGGACAAATGGAATCACATTTTAAAAAATCACATCATTAAAAAGCTTCTGCATAGCAAAGGAAACTAGCAACAAAGTGAAGAGACAATCCACAGAATGAGAGAAAATATTTGCAAACTATCCATCTGACAAGGGATTAATAACCAGAATATATAAGGAGCTCAAACAATTCAATAGGAAAAAAAATCTAACAATTTGATTTAAAATGGGCAAAAGATTGAATAGACATTTCTCAAAAGAATACATCCAAATGGCAAACAGCTATGTGAACAGGTGCTCAACATCACTGATCATCAGGGAAACACAAATCAAAACTCCAATGAGACATCATCTCATACTAGTTAAAATAGCTTTTATCTAAAAGGCAGGAAATAATGAATGCTGGAGTGTTGAGAAAGGGAACCCTCGTACACTGTTGGTGGGAATGTAAATTAGTGCAGCCACTTGGAAAACAACATGGAGCTTCCTCAGAAAACTAAAAATAGACAGGGCGCAGTGGCTCCTGCCTGCAATCCCAGCACTTTGGGAGGCCAAGGCGGGTGGATCACCTGAGGTCAGGAGTTCGAGACCAGCGTGGCCAACACAACGAAACCCTGTCTCTACTAAAAATGCAAAAAATAGCCGGGCATGGCGGTGCGTGCCTGTGATCCCAGCTACTCAGGAGGCTGAGGCAGGAGAATCTCTTGAACCTGGGAGGTGGAGGTTGCAGTGAGCCAAGATCATACCACTGCACTCCACCCTGGGCAACAGAACGAGATTCCATCCCAAAAAAGAAAAAAATAATCAAAAAACAAAAAGAAAACTAAGAATAGAACTACCATAGGATCCAGCAATCCCACTGATAGGGATATACCTAAAAGAAAGTAAATCAGTAAATCAAAGAGATGTCTGCACTCTCATGCATTGCAGCACTATTCACAATATCCAAGATTTGGAACCGAGGTGTCCATCAACAAAAGAATAAATAAAATGTGGTACATATGCACAATGGAGTACTATTCAGCCATAGAAAAGAATGAGATTCTGTCATTTGCAACCACATGGATGGAAATGGAGGACATTATGTTAAGTAAAATAAGCCAGGCACAGAAAGACAAGCTTTACATGTTCTCACTCATTTGTGGGAGCTAAAAATTAAAACCATGGAATTCATGGAGATGAGAGTAGAATGATGGTTACTGGAGGCTGGGAAGGGTAGAAAGGGGTGGAGGGTAGGGACAGTTAAGGAGTACAAAGATATATTCAGATAGAATGAATAAGATATAGTATTTGATAGCACAACAGGGTGACTAAAGTCAACAATAATGTATTAAATATTTTTAAAATAACTAAAAGAGTATAATTGGATTGTTTGTAACACCAAAAAAATGATAAATGCTTGAAGTGATGAACACCCCATTTCCCCTGATGTGATTATTACAAATTGCATGCCTGTATCAAAATATCTCATGTACCGCATAGATACATACACTGCTATGTACCCACAAAAATTAAAAATAAAGATAAATGAATAAGATATAAAAAGCAATAGGGGAAACTGAATGAAGGGCATATGAGAAACTCTTTGTGTCATCTTTGCAACTTCTCTGTAAATCTAAAAAAAAAAATCAGAGTAATTCACTACTTGTGATGGTTAATTTTATGTATCAACTTGACTGAGCCACAGGTGGCTCAGATATTTAGCCAAACATTATTCTAAGTATGTCTGTGAGGGTGTTTCTGGATGAGATTAACATTTCAATCAGTAGACTGAGCACAACAGATTGCCCTCCCCAATGTGGGTGGACCTCACCCAATCAACTGAAGACTTAAGTAGAATAAAAAGATTGAGTAAGAGGGAATGCCTCCTACCAGACTTGTTGACCTGAGACATTGGTCTTGCAGGCTTTTGGGCTCAGAGAGAAACATAACTCTTCTTAGGTCTTGAGGCTGCTGGCCTTTGGATCAGCAGCTCTCCTGGTTCTCCACCTTGCCCACTGCAAATCTTGGGACTTCTCAGCCTCCATTATCACATGAGCCAATTCCTTATAGCAAATCTATATCTATCTAACTATCTATCTATCTATCTATCTATCTAATATGGTTTGGCTCTGTGTCCCTGCCCAAATCTCATCTTGTAGCCCTACCAGGGCACTGCCTAGTGGAGCTGTGAGAAGAGGGCCACCATCCTCCAGATCCCAGAATGGTAGATCTACTGACAGCTTGCACCATGTGCCTGGAAAAGCTGCAGACACTCAACACCAGCCCATGAAAGCAGCCAGGAGGGAGGCTGCACCCTGCAAAGGGGCGGAGCTGCTGAAGACTATGGGAACCTACCTCTTGCATCCACATGACCTGGATGTAAGACGTGGACTCAAAGGAGATCATTTTGGAGCTTTAAGATTTGACTGCCATGCTGGATTTTGGACTTGCATGGGGCCTGTAGCCTCTCTGTTTTGGCCAATTTCTCCCATTTGGAATGGTTGTATTTACCCAGTGCCTATACCTTCATTGTATCTAGGGGCAGAATGATATGGTTTGGCTCTGTGTCCCCACCAAAATCTCATATTGTAGCTCCCATAATTCCCACGTGTTGTGGGAGGTACGCAGTGGGAGATGATTGAATTATGGGGCAGGTCTTTCCCATGCTGTTTCATGATAGTGAATGAGTCTCATGAGATCTGATGGTTTTGAAAACAGGAGTTGTCCTGCACAAGCTCTCTCTCTTTGTTTGCTGCCATCCACATAAAATGTGACTTGCTCCTCCTTGCCTTCCTCCAGGATTGTGAGGCCTCCCCAGCCATGTGGAACAGTAAGTCCAATAAACCTCTTTCTTTTGTAAATTGCCCAGTCTCAGGTATGTCTTCATCAGCAGAATGAAAATAGACTAATTATCTATCTATCTATCTATCTATCTATCTACCTACCTATCTATATCTATCCACCTATACCTATATCTATCTATCTATATCTCTCTATCTACCTATCCTATTAGTTCTGTTTCTCTCTGAAAAACCCTAACTAATACACCATATTCACAGAAAGAAAAAAATGAGAAAACTCCCATGATTATCTCAATAGATGCAGAGAAGGCATTTAACAAAATTAATGATTAAAAACTCTTAGAAAACTAAGAATAAAATAACACTTCCATGATCTGAAAAAGAAGTCTACAGAAACCATCATAGGAATTGGTAAAATGTTGAAAGTTTTCTCCCTGAAACCAAGAACAAGACAAAGATGTCCATTATCACCACCTCTATTCAATATTGTATTGAAGGTCTTAGTCAGTGTAGAAGGACAAAGAATGGAGATGAAAGGCATCCACGTAGAAAAGAAAACTATAAAACTGTTATTATTTGCAAATAACATGATTGTGTTATTAGAAAATCCAAATGAACCTACCAATAAATGATTTTCAGTAATAAGTGCATTTAGCAGCATTGCCGTATACAAGGTCAATATACAAAAATCACTTGTATTTCTACATGCCAGCAACAAATGTTAGAAACTTAGAAAAGCTTTTGAAAAACATAAAACACTCTTAGGTGAATGAATATAATGAAAGATGTATAAGACTTCTATGCTGAAAACTACAAAACACTATTAAGGGAAATTAAACCCTAAATAAATAAAGAATATATACTATGTTAATCATTGAAAGGCTCATTATTTTTAGATGTGAAATTCTCCCCAAAATCATTTAAATATTTCATATAATCACATCCAATTCCCAGGAGAAGTCGCTTTTGGTGGAAAATGATAACCTAACTCTAAAATGTGTATGAAAATGCAAAGGCTGAGAATAACCAAGGTGATCCTGAAGAAGGAGGAGGCAGACGATGAGGATGAGAAGGAGAAAACTGAAGGTAATTAAGACACTGTGATATTGGTACAAAGGTAGAAATATAAACCAACAGAAAAAGAGTTTAGAAACTGATTCGAAAATATACAATCCCCTGATTTATGACAAGGACACAGGAGAACACTGGAGATGTGAGGGTCTTGTCAGTAAATGCTGGTGTTAATTGGATATATATTTGGGAAAAAAAAAAAAGGTATCTTCACCCCCTAACTCAAATCATGTCTAACAATTGAGGTAGGAGGTGGTATTAGACTCTGGAGGTGAGGCTCAGACACCAGACCAAATTGAGGACTAGCTAAAACAGGTCTAGGGCCAAAGCACCTCCACATAAGACACACCCACCAGTGTGCCACGCCAGTGTACCATTGCCATGGCAACACCAGGGATTTACCACCCCTTTCCGTAGCAACAACCTGATAACCCAGAAGTTACCGCTCTCATCCTAGAAATCTCTGTATAAACTACCCCTTAATTTGCATATAATTAAGCATGGGTATAAATATGAGTGCAGACCTGCCTCTGAGCTGCTGCTCTGGGCTCACTGTCTAAGGGGTGGCCCTGCTCTGCAAGGGGCAGTCCCTCTGCCACTGCTGTGCATTGCTGCTTCAATAAACGTTGCTGGCTAACACCACCAGCTCACCCTTGAATTCTTACCTGGAGGAAGCCAGGAACCCCCCAGGGCTAAGCCCCAATTTGGGGGCTTGCTTATCCTGTATCACAATCTATTCTAGACAGATTGTAGATGTAAATAGTAAAGATGTTTTTAGAAAAGTTTTCTCTTTTGTTTTCAATTGAGTTAGTTTCTGCTCTCATATGGTTTTTCTGTTTGTTTTTTGGTGGTTTTTGTTTTGTTTTGTTTTGTTTTGTTTTTGAGACAGGGTCTTGCTCTGTTGCCCAGGCTGGAGTGCGATGGCACGATCTCAGCTCACTGCAACTGCCGCCTCCTGGGTTCCAGTGATTCTCCTGCCTCAGCCACCTGAGTAGCTGGGGTTATAGGAGTGTGCCATCGTGCCCAACTAACTTGGGGTTTTTTTTTGTTTTTGTTTAAGACAGAGTCTCACTCTGTTGCCCAGGCTGGAGTGCAGTGGCACAATCTCGGCTCACTACAACCTCTGCCTCCAGGGTTGAAGTGATTCTCCTGCCTCAGCCACTCGAGTAGCTGGGATTACAGGCGCCCACCACCACACCTGGCTAATTTTTTTATTCTTAGTAGAGACGGGTTTTGCCATGTTGGCCAGGCTGGTCTCGAACTCCTGACCTCAGGTGATCCGCCCGCCTCGAGCCTCCCAAAGTGCTGGGATCACAGGCGTGAGCCACTGCATCCGGCCTTATATGTATTATGTCCTGCTTTCTGTTTGCTTTGGACTTCTGTTGCTCTTCTTTTCCTAGTTTCTTAATGTAGAAGCTTAGATATTTGATGAGAGACCTTTCTTTGTTTCTAATACAGAGCTTTAATGTTCTATCTTTAATGTTCTATATTTAATGCTGTAAATGCTTAAGGGGAAATTTATATAGAAGTGAAGTGTCACAATGTCTGAATATTACTTTCCAGTGGGTTGTGGGGGGAAGGTACATATATAAAAAGAGTGACAGAGAACGAACGTGACAAAAGAAGGCAAAATGTTAACGTGAAGAATTATGAGAGATTATTTGGGCATCTCATTTTTCCGTGGATTTGGACATTTTTGTCCAGTCCCCAGAGGTGACAGTGTGGCCTCTATGGCTGCCCCGTGCTCTGTGACCGGCGCATATTCACCACGGGTGAGCCCCTCGAGCTGGGCCCTGGGGAGAGAGAGGGCGGTGCCCAAGCCAGGACCCTGCGGGCCGGGGCTGGAGGAGGCGCAGGTCCCGGCGTCCATGTGCAGCCCTGCGGCCGGGGCGCGAGATCTCCCCGCAGGCGGCCGCTCCCCGCCAGGGGCTTCCGGGAGCAGCCGAAGCCTGAACCTGGACGAGCCGCGACCGCAGCCGGCGGGGGGTGCCGTCCTCCTCGCCCTCCCTGGAGCCCGGCCCTGGGCCCACGCCGTGCCCCGAGCCTCCTCTGCGGCCCGCCCCCAGTTCCCCCGGTCCGCCGCGGCCGGGCATGGGGAGGTGAAGGCCTCCGTGGGGTGACAGGGGGCGCGGGGCCGCTTGTCCCCAGCGCAGGAGGAGCCGGGACCCGACGCGCACCCTCCGGCCTGCTGGAGGCTGAGCCGCCGCAGGGAAAGCACGTGGGTGAAGGGCCCAGCGCGGCGGTTCCTTGAAAAAGCGGGAGCCTGGTCTCAGCTGGGGCCTGGGGCCTGCCCCGCCCATGCAGGGGTCGCGGGAGCAGGGGCTCGGCCTCCTTCCCAGGCCGTGGCGGCGCCGCCCCGGAGGCAGGGACAGGGGCGAGCTCCCGCTGAGCCGCACTTCCTGGGCGAGGCCGCTGCAGGCAGCGCCGGAGGCACGTGCCCCGAGGGCCTCCTCTTCTGCCCCAGCTTGACAGGCAGCCCTGGGAGGAGTGAGAAGCTGCTGGCGCCGGATTCCTGCCCCTAACTCCCTTCAGGAGGAAATTCATGAGGCCCAGGCCAAGAGAGGAGGCTTCCCGGCAAAAAGGGAAGGGCTGGGCAGGGGCAGCAGGAACCACGGCCCGAGGGGTGAGAGCTTCTGGGCTCTGAGAGCCTGACCCTGACTTCCCTTGGCCCGTGGACATGACCTCTCCAGGTCAGATTCCTCCTCCGCAGAATGGAGGGGATGGTACTGGCAGGAGGTTGTACCGACCTCGCAAGGCCATCTCGAGGGCTCGAGGAAAGGCCTACCACGCATGGCCCGTGGACAGAGCTGGTAAATATTGGCTGTCACTAAGTTCAAGGCCGCAGGGAACATGGCAGAGTGACCCAGGTGTCAGCACAGGCCTTGTGCATGAGGAAGCGCTAGGGGAAGGGAAGGAGACCTCTACACCCACTGCCTGCACACCCTGGGACAGGACTCCAGAAGTCCCCGCCCAAATCCCCCTCCATCTCCCCCTCTAACCTAAGCCCCAGGTGCTGTGCCGTATCCCCAGCACCCAGCACAGTGCCTGGCACACAGCATGACTGCCCACAGGGGCAGGGGCTGCAGAGAACCCGCAGGGATACAGCCGACCTGCAGGCCCAGTAACAACTAGGTTTTTAAAATCCAGAATGAGGCTCTGCGGTTCACCTGGAGACATGAAGACTGGGTCTGGCGCCACACACACACAGCAGGGTCTGTGGTCTCCGTTTCCAAGGCCCCCGAATCCCTGGCAGTCCCCAGCCCAGCTGCAGCAGGGACCAGCTTCCTTAGCTGGACCATGATCCCCCTCGAGCATTAGAGACAGGAGCTAGTTCTGAAGAGCCCGGGACAGGTGTAGTGAAGATGCCTGTCCCGTGAAATCCTCCCCTTTAATGAGGAGGCTGCCTACCGCCGGGGCCAAGGAACTGAAATGGAGCAAGAAGGGGCCGCAGGCAATTCACCACCAGCAGGGCCTGTGAGTCCTTGAGCCCCGCATAAAAAAGTATCCAGCTTGGCGCAATCTAAGGTGTAATTGTACCATTTGGTCACCAGAGGGCGCTCAATAATCATCTTTGCTTTTAGTATCGCAAATTACGCAGCAGAAAACTTCCTGCCCATTCAGCACACGCAAGCCACTGTTGCATGTTTCTTGTGTCAGCTCAAGTAATTCTCACAACCAGCCATGAAGTATTTGTTGTTGCCCTTACACAGCCGAAGAATCTGAGGTTCAGAGTATTTGAGTAATTTGGCTGAGGTCACACAGCAGTGACTCTTAGAGGCAGGACCAAGCCCAGGTCTTGTCTCCAGAGGCTGCACTGTGCACCCCCATACTGCTTCCTGTTCGACCTGTATGATACTGCATGCATTTAAGTTCATGTTCTAGCAAAATATCTCCCTGTATAAGGTGCCAAACTTTTATTTGAAGTGCTAGGGGTGCACACAGTGCAGCACAGAGGAAAGTCCTTTGTTTCGTCCCAGGAGTTTGGGTCTGACCCTGTAGCAGGGTGTGCTTGTGCCGGCTCACAAGCAGACTATTACAGTGCAGGGTGTGTAGTAGGACCCTCTGGGCTCCCTCATCCCCACCAGTGCTCACATGCTCCTGATCACCAAGGACAGCCGTCCTGGACCTCCCCAAGTCGTCATGCAGGCCATCTGGGAAGGGAATATGCCCAGGAGCTCCGCCTCTGAGCTGTTGGAAATGCATGCCCCAGGGTGGGCTCAGAGAGCAGGCAAACACACAGGGTATTGTCCAGGTGACGGAGGGGGTCCTGGGCCCTATCTGGGGGCTGCTGTAGGGTTAGCAGCTGAGAAAGGGCCTCACAGCTCTAGCCAAGGAGTCTTCCCTATTCACCCAAATCTGGAAGTTTCATATGGTTCTGGAGACCCGGCTCTGAGAGGACCCCAGCTCCAGAGGGCGGAGGCCACATTTGCATCCCCCGGCTTTGCAAAGCCCTGCCACATAGCAGTGGACTCCATACATACTCAGAGGTAAAGAGAGGGTGAGAAAGAGAAAGGGAAGGATGAAGGGAGGGAGGCTCAGACAGAGGGTGGAAGGGGCAAAGACCAGCGAGTCCATCTGGGCCCCACAAGTGGACCCAGGGAGCTGGCATGGGGCGTGGCTTGTGGAGGAGGGTGAGTCTGGACAGCAGCGGGCCACCTGTTTAGGCTTTGTCCCAGGAGTCTGGGTCTGACCCTGTAGCAGGGTGTGCTTGTGCCGGCTCACAAGCAGACTATTACATTTTCAGGAATTTTGCAGATCAGTTGTTAAGCACAGCCATTATTAAAGATTAAATTATATTCAAAAACAGGTAATAAATACTCAAAACTTTCTAACATTTTACTATACTTTATTGTTTTCTCTGCCGTTGAGGTTATTTCTGTGTGGTGCGTCTGTGTAGTAGAGCCTGTGTGACGATGTGCTATTGATCTCTTCCCCACGGCATAGTCAGTGACTTCAGATTGGTAGTTTGAAATTGGCCATGACAGGCAGATTTACACCATGGAAATTGGCAAACACTGCCAATCGGGGCTTTTTATCCAGAGCAGTCGTTAAACATTTACACGTAGTGCACTACTGTCCATAAGGGGCAGCATGGTCAGACTGCACTTTTAAAAGGTCTTGAGGGCAGGGGAACCAAGAGGCGTTCAAGTAAAGGAGTGAAGAATCAGAGCGTGACGTAGTTTAGCGACTTGGACCAGGACACGTTTGAAAGCCTAAGTACCTTAGAGGAGCCACTGGCTGACGTCCAGATGGCAGAAAGAAAGCCACCCCAAATCAGGCCCTCTCATTCAGTGCTGAGGAGCACGGTCTAGACGGCTGGTTCAACTTTTAAACACATGGGAAAATAATCCCCACTGGGACACAGCCCCGCCGCCCTGGATCCCAGCCTGCCCCAGGGTGTCTGTCTGCTGCTTCTGCCACCCTGCAGCTGCGCAAATGTTTGGGGAAGGGTCCTATCTGGAGGGGCCTCCTTTCACCGCCCAGATGCAGCAGGGCAAGCCTGGGCAGCTGTGTTGGACACCAGCCCCACGCTGCCTCCGTTGCCTTCATTCTCAGATGAGGAGGATGCAGGGAAACAGGGCAGGGGTGGGGGATGGGGGAGGGACAGAAGGCGAGGACTGCAGTTTTGGGGCATTTTCAACATCATTAGCCACGTCGAGTAGACGGCCGGAGGTGGGTGGGAGAGGTATTTGGGCATTGCTGGCACGCACGTAGGAGCTCCACAGGGGCCAGTGTAGGTAAAGGGAAGAACTGAGGTCGGAGAGGAGCTGAGAACATGTGGTGGGGGCATCGGTGGAGGCAAAGGGCCCCCCAAAACAGCTCGCTCCCTGGCTGGAGATGCTGTGCCAAACAGAAAGAGGAGGAGGACTTCATCGGAGGAGGCCAAGCTAGTGCCACCTAGCAGTGCCCTACACTTAGGTTCCAAAAGCTTGGTGTCTTGGGTTCTCAGGCACCATAGGCCACAGTGCTCACATATAAAGGGTATATGGAGGTTAAAAAAAAAAGCCTCTGTGACCAAACGGTCTCCTCACCAACACACAGCTCACAGCTGAGTTCTGCCTTAAATGCAATGAGGTCTGCCTGACCCCATAATCTCACATTGGCCCCAACTGGCCAACACCAGCCACCACGACCAATCCAGAACCTTTGCTAGACCAGCTGAGGCTGCAGGAGAGAGGTCCTGGCTTCAGCGAGAAGGAAATGAAGGATACATCAGCCCAAGATATATCCTAGGTGGACCAGCCAGGTCACCTAGGCCCTGCCTATAGCCCAGGCCGGCACACGGGACCTGTCCCTCTTCCTGTTGGTCAGCACAGGGATCCAGGAAGCGAGAAGTGGGGAGGTGGGGCCTTTTATGCAGTGACTGTGCCCACCGACCACACCTGCTGGCCACGCCTACTGCTAAACGCAGCCCAAACAGTGACTCAGCTTCCACCAATCCAATCAGCATCCGTTCCTCCATGGGAGGTGTTTGGAGAGGGAGTAGGCTCAGAGATGAGCTGAGGTCTGGAAGACTCCTCTCCAACAAACATCTCAGGGGAACCCAAACACCAAGAGGCAGGAGCACAGCTGCTCTGGCCAAAGGGAGGGCCTCAAGCCCACTTAGTCTTCACCTCACTAGGAGCCAGGGCACACTGCCTGTGAGAATGCTGGGAGCCCACTCACTCCTTAAAACCACACTGTGAGGCCAGATTCACTACCCTTCTTGTACAGAAGAAGAGACTGAGGTTCAGAGAGGCCCACTATACACCCAATGGCACACAGCTGTTGGGTAGCAGCCTCACTGGCCTCCTTCACTGGGCTTGTCCCCCTCCAGTGACTGCCTGGTTAGGGACACCAGGCATGAGGCTAGGACAGGCACCCCATGGATCAGCTCCACCTGCCTCTCAATGGCTCACCCAAAAAGATACCAGTAACTCAAAGGAAGGGGGTGCTGTGGTCTGAATGTGTTCCCCCAACATTTATGTGTTGAAATCCTAACTCCCAGGCGATGGTATTAAGAGGAAATTGGTACCAAGTGGGGGTGCTACTGTAACAAGTACCTAAAAATGTGGAAGCAGCTTTGGAACTGGAAGAGTTTGGGGGTACCTGCCAGAAAACGCCTACATTGCCATGAATGAACCATTAAGGGTGATTCTGGGGAGGGCTCAGAAAGACAAGAGACTTGGAATCCCACAGACCATGTTCCCCGGGGCCGCCTGTCCACCCCCCTCACTCAACCACCGGGCCATCCAGTGCTGGGGATGAGGAAACAGCCGGGCCCCTGCCTGCCTGTGGAGGCCCCATCTGGTCATCTGCTGTCACCCATGACGAAGTGCAAGGAGGTCTATGTTTGAATGTCCCAGAGGCCAGCCCAGCCACTCCACTGAGAATTTCACCCCTCCCAGGCGTCACCTCCCTTCCCAGCTTCATGTAGCTCCAGGACACAGGAAACAGCATTCCTCCTTTACCCTGTTGCCTCCACCCTCCACCACAACACAGACACCAGGCAGGCTCTTTCCAGCACTGTGTTCCCTGCAGAACCCCCTGCCACAGACCCACACTCATTCCCTGAAGGGAGGGAGGCAGGCAGAAGGGTGGCAGGAGGACCCCCCTGCACAGAGCTGCTGCCCCAGCTGCACGGCCAGAGAAGGGGGGCAGCCAGTGTGGGGAGGGGTGGCAGTCAAAGGAGTGCCACAGGGGAGCAGCAGCTGGGGCTGGGTCTAGACACTCAACAGAGGTTGACTGGAAGCTTCCACTGTGGCTAAGGGACAGCCACTCCTGCCTTGTCCCCTCACAGGTCAAGTCCTCAGAGGAAACACAGAGGACAGAACTCAGCACTTCCCAACTGCAATCTCACCCCACCCAGCGAGATCTCACCCCACCCAGCGAGATCTCACCCGACCCACCGATATCTCACCCCACCCACCGAGATCTCACCCCACCGAGATCTCACCCCACCGAGATCTCACCCCACCCACCATCATCTCTCCCCACCCACCGTCATCTCACCCCACCCACCGTCATCTCTCCCCACCCACCGTCATCTCACCCCACCCACCGTCATCTCACCCCACCCACCATCTCTCCCCCCCCACCGTCATCTCCCCCCCACCCACCATCTCTCCCCACCCACCGTCATCTCTCCCCACCCACCGTCATCTCTCCCCACCCACCGTCATCTCACCCCACCCACTGTCATCTCACCCCACCGAGATCTCACCCCACCCACTGTCATCTCACCCCACCCACTGTCATCTCACCCCACCCACCGAGATCTCACCCCACCCACCATCATCTCTCCCCACCCACCGTCATCTCATCCCACCCACCGTCATCTCTCCCCACCCACCGTCATCTCATCCCACCCACCGTCATCTCTCCCCACCCACCGTCATCTCATCCCACCCACCGTCATCTCTCCCCACCCACTGTCATCTCTCCCCACCCACCGTCATCTCACCCCACCCACCGTCATCTCACCCCACCCACTGTCATCTCTCCCCACCCACTGAGATCTCACCCCACCCGCCGTCATCTCACCCCACCCACTGTCATCTCTCCCCACCCACCAAGATCTCACCCCACCCACCGAGATCTCACCCCACCCACCGTCATTTCTCCCCACCCACTGTCATCTCTCCCGACCCACCGTCATCTCACCCCACCCACCGTCATCTCATCCCACCCACCGTCATCTCACCCCACCGTCATCTCACCCCACCCACCGTCATCTCACCCCACTGTCATCTCACCCCACCCACCATCATCTCACCCCACCCACCGTCATCTCACCCCACCCACCGTCATCTCTCCCCACCCACCGTCATCTCACCCCACCCACCGTCATCTCTCCCCACCCACCAAGATCTCACCCCACCCACCGTCATCTCTCCCCACCGTCATCTCACCCCACCCACCGTCATCTCACCCCACCCACCGTCATCTCTCCCCACCCACCGAGATCTCACCCCACCCACCGTCATCTCACCCCACCCACCGTCATCTCACCCCACCCACCGTCATCTCCCCCCACCCACTGTCATCTCTCCCCACCCACTGTCATCTCACCCCACCGAGATCTCTCCCCACCCACCGTCATCTCTCCCAACCCACTGTCATCTCACCCCACCCACTGTCATCTCACCCGAGATCTCACCCCACCCACCGTCATCTCCCCCCACCCACCGTCATCTCCCCCCACCCACTGTCATCTCTCCCAACCCACTGTCATCTCACCCGAGATCTCACCCCACCCACTGTCATCTCACCCCACCCACTGTCATCTCACCCCACCCACTGTCATCTCTCCCCACCGTCATCTCACCCCACCCGCTGTCATCTCACCCCACCCACTGTCATCTCTCCCCACCCACTGTCATCTCACCCCACCCACTGTCATCTCTCCCCACCCACTGTCATCTCACCCCACCCACTGTCATCTCACCCCACCCACCGTCATCTCTCCGGACCCACCGTCATCTCTCCCCACCCACCGTCATCTCATCCCACCCACCGTCATCTCTCCCCACCCACCGTCATCTCCCCCCACCCACCGTCATCTCCCCCCACCCACTGTCATCTCTCCCCACCCACCGTCATCTCACCCCACCCACCGTCATCTCACCCCACCCACCGTCATCTCACCCCACCCACTGTCATCCCACCCCACCCACTGTCATCTCACCCGAGATCTCACCCCACCCACTGTCATCTCACCCCACCCGCTGTCATCTCACCCCACCCACCGTCATCTCACCCCACCCACTGTCATCTCACCCCACCGAGATCTCACCCCACCCACCGTCATCTCTCCCCACCCACTGTCATCTCACCCCACCCACTGAGATCTCACCCAAGTATAATCTTGCAGCACCGCTTTTCTTTCTAATGTCTTGACAAGCAGGTGAGAAGATGCTGAGTGTTCTTGGTCCATTGCTGTGGCTACAAAGGCTGGTTCTAGTGTCTCACTGGCTGTCTCCTGCTCAAGCATGGTTTTAGCAGTTCCCTTCTTATCCCGGGCCATACTAGACCTACTGTCTTCCCTGGCTTGCACTATGCTATGGTTTGAATGTTTGTCTCCTTCCTCATGTTGAAATTTAACCCCCAATGTGGCAGTATTGGGAGGTGGGGCCTTTAAGAGGTGATTATGTCATATGTCCCCTTCCCTCATGAGTAGATTACTCCATTCAGCGAGTAATGGGCTAATGGATGTTCTTGGGAGTAGGACTTGTGGCTCTATAACAAGGAGAGAGAACTGAGCTTGCACACTCAGCCCCTCATCTTGTGATGCCCTGGGCTGCCTTGGGACTTTGCAGAAAGTCCCTGCTAGCATGAAGGCCCTCACCAGATGCAGCCTCTCAACCTTGGACTTCCCAGCCTTCAGGACTGTAAGAAATAAATCTTGTTTCTTTATTAATTACCCAGTTTCAGGTATTCTGTTATAAGCCACAGTAAATGGACTAAGACAGGCTGTGGTAACAAACTACCATTAAATGGGTGGCTTAAATAACAGATTTATTTCTTAGAGTTCTAGGGTCTGGGGAGTCCAAGATCAAGGTGCTGGTAGATCCCCTGTCTGATACGAGCTCACTTCCAGGTTTGTAGATAGCCACCTTCTCATTGTGTCCTACATGGCAGACAGCAGACAGAGGAGGAGCAAACTCCACTGTCTCTTCGTATAAGGGCACTAATCCCATTCATGAGGGCCACACCCTCATGACCTAATTACATCCCAAAGGCCCACCTCTGAATATCCTTGTGTTGAAGGTTAGGAATTCAACACATGAATTTGGGGGAGACAAACGTTTAGTCCATAACACCTATAACAACCAAGACACAGCTACCAGCCACATGTGGCTACTGAGCCAGTATGAATTGGGATGGGCTATAAAATGCAAAATATACACTGAAATGTAATGATTCTGTATAAAGGCTGGGTACAGTGGCTTAGGCCTATAATCCCAACAATTTGGGAGGCTGAGGTGGGAAGATCCCTTGAGACCAGCCTGGGCAACATAGGAAGACCCCATTTCTAGAAAAAAATTTCCCAGTCTGGGCAACATAGAGAGAACTTGTCTCTGTAGAAATTTTTAAAAATTAGCCAGGCATGGTGCAGGCACCTGTAGTCCCATCTACCCAGGAGGCTGAGGTGGAAGGATACCCTGAGCCTGGGAGGTCGAGGCTTCAGTAAGCTATGATCATGCCACTGCACTCCAGCCTGGGTTACAGAGTGAGCCTCTTCTCAATTTAAAAAAAAAAAAAAAAAAAAAAGATTTAGTAGGAAAAAAGGATGAAGGCAAAATATCTCATTAATAAGTTTTATTTTGATGGCATGTTGCGATGATAATATTTTGAGCATATCTTGGACTACATTAAATATATTACTAAAATCAATGTCATCTTTTTCTTTTTACTTTTGAAATGTGGGCACTAAGAATTTTTTAACACCTACGTGGTTCGCACTTGTGGCTCACATGACATCCCTATTGGGCAGAGCTAGTCCAGAGGATTCTGAGCCTTTGGCGCCAGTGCTTGGATCATCTGAGTTGTAGGCGCCCTCCCCTCATGCGTGCACAAGCAGTGAAGATCTTGATCTCACTCTTGGGTCGATGAGTTAAATGTGTGTGATACTACAGAGGGAGGCAGGCAGCCCAGGTGTTGCAGGGCTGTGAGTGGAAGCTTCGGGGGCATCTGCTTCTCTGTCTTGCAGGTCTTCAAGTGATTGTCCGGGAAAGTCTGGGGAGAGGTGGGGATACTGCAGTTGCAAACCCCAGTGCTGGAGGTGGGGCCTGGTGGGAGGTGACTGGATCTTGGGGCGGTTTCTCATGGTTTAACACCACCCACCTTGGTGCTCCTGCTTGGCCTCAGCCATAAGTCAAAGATCCCCAAGGCCTCCCCAGAGGCAGATGCTGCCATGCTTCCTGTATAGCCTGTGGAACCACGAGCCAATGACACCTGCTTCCTTTATAAATTACCCAGTCTCAGGTATTTCTTTATAGCAGTGCAAGAACGGACTACAGCACTCCAGTGCCGGCCTCTCTCCAAGGGCAGCTCCACTTCCAGCCTCCACTCTTGGGTCATCTGGGACCTGTGGACATTCACCCCAAGCGAAGCCAAGAGTCCCCTTTGGGATGAATAAATCCAATGGCTGACCAGGTGGTGACCTCCAGGCCTGGCAAAGCTGCCTCCCACGAAGCCCTATCTCCATATTGAGGATTGCAATTCCACATGAGATTTGGGCGGAGACAAAGATCCAAACCATATCATGGGTCAGAAACCTGAGTATGGAACAGGACGTGGCCAGTGAGGGCCGGTGGGGGGCAGCATGGAGAGTCACACTGGTGAGAACTCATCAAGGTCTGTCCACTGGGTCTGAGCAACACCCCCTGACCTGCCTGCCCCACCCCAAGCCAAGACGCCAACTGGAGGCTGCATCCCCTCCACTGCTGGCTGCAGTGTTGAAGATTGGGAGGCTCTCCCTCTTCCGCAGGCATAGAATTTCAAATTGACACAGACTGCAGTGGAACCGCTGACCCAGCACTAACCTCACCCATCCCAGCCCCTCGGCAGGCCTGCCAGCGGGTAGCTTCCTGCCCCAGTCACCCCTGCAGGACACCAGCTCTCCATTCCTCTGGCACCCGTGTCAACCTCTCGTTCCCACAGTGGCTGCCTTGGCTCATGCCTTCACATGTTTCTCCCTTGCACTCTCCCAGGCCCCTGACCCATCTCTGCACCTCTCAGCTCTCCTGCCGCTGCACCTGCCCACATTCCCGAGTCAGAGCCCCCTGCTGCGCACCGCCACCTGGGCAGCCTCTCAACAGGAGAGTTTAACCGACACCCAGCTCTGGGTGCACTCCTCAGCAGAGCCACCCTTGGCTCCCAGAATGCCCACCCTGTGACCCCTCTTCGGCTGGACTGCAAGGAGTCTCTGTGCCAACAAGGAAAAGGCGCCCCTGCTGGCTGCAGGACATGGGCTGTGGAGGGAAGTGTCTGACCCAGACAGTGCCCAGTTGTAATTATCTCATAACCCGCAGTCTTTACTTGTCTGACTTCCTTTTTAGACCATGGGAACTGCCAGGGCAGATCCCTAGACGCTCAATAAATGCATCTTTATTTAGAATGCACAGGTGCAGTTATCCAGCGGGCGCAGTGGAAGTGGGGATGCAGGAGGTGCCTGTGAATGGGCAGCCGGGGAGATTCTAATGTGGGCAGAGAGCGGAGAGGACCTGGGAAGGAAGGGAGGGGCCGCGGCACTGGGAGTCACAGGCCAGGCTGTCGCTTTGAGGGTCTGCACAGAGGGCAGGACCAGAGGAGACCACCCTGGGACTGCACAGAGCCGGCTTGAGGGTCCAGCCCCTTAAAGACAATCCTCTAGAGGCTGCAGAGTTTCCTCGAGCTGCCATAACAAAGCTCACAGGCTGTGTCCCCCAGCCACCCTTCACCCGCCGATTCCTGTGTTGAAGCCCTAACCCCCAGTACCTCAGAATGTGGCTGCATTTGGAGACTGGGCCTTTAAAAAGGTGATTGAGTTAAATTGAGGCCCTTAGGTTGGCCCTAATCCAACCCGGCTGACATCCTTTAAAAAAAAAAAAAAAAAGAGGTGATTCAGACACACAAAGAGCCACCAGGGATGTGTGAGTGCATAAAAATAGAGCATGTGAGGGTGCAGCGAGCAGGCGGCCGCCTGCAGACCAAGGAGAGAGGCCTCCAGAGAAATCAGCTCTGCCGGCATCTTTGTCTCAGACTTCTGACCTCCAGAACCGTGAGAGGACACATTTCTGTGGTTGAAGCCCTGCGTCTGTGAGATTTGTTACAGCAGCCCTTGCTGGCTAATATCATGGCTTGGACTAGACACGACCCCTTCACAGTTTTGGAGGTCAGAAGTCTGAGACCACGGTGCAGGCAGGGCTGTGCTCCCTCTGAGGGCGCTAGGAAGGGCCTGTTCCTGGCCTCCCTCAGAGCTTCTGCTGGTTCCTTGGCTTGGGGCAGCAGAACTCCAATCCACACGTGGCCCTCTCCCTGTGTGCGTGTCTGTGTCCAAATTTCCCCTTTTGGATAAAGACATCGGTCAGGTGGACTAGGACCCACCCTAATGACCACATCTTCACTTCAATACATCTGCAATGACCCTGTATCCAAATAAGTTCACATTCTGAGACGCTGGGAGTTACGACTCCAACACATGGATTTTGGCAGACACAATTCAACCTGTTACAGACTGGATTTCTCAGAGAAATTCCGGTGCTGAATCACTGGCCTCCAATGCGACCACATTCGAAGATAGGGCCATCAGGGAGGTAGCTAAGGTTATGAGGCCACGAGGGTGGGCCCTCAAGCCAATAGGGTTGGAGTCCTTATACCAAGAGGAAAGACACCAGAGACCACCCCCTCTCTAAGTGTGCACAGGGAAGAGGCCATGGGAGGATGCCGTGAGAAGGTGACACCCGCCGGCCAGGAAGAGAGGCCTTCCCAGAAACCAACCCCACGAGCGCCCTGATGTGGACTTCCAGCCTCCAAAACTGTGAGAAACAAGTTTCTGCTGTTTAAGCCACCCAGTCTGTGGCACTTCTTATGGCAGCCTAAGCAGAAGAAAATGCCACCCAGAGCCTTATCTATTAAATCGTTTGGTTGCAAATGACAGAAACTTAAATTAAACCACTTTAACCAGAGGAAAATTTCTAGCTGGGCATGGTGGCTCACACCTGTAATCCCAGCACTCTGGGAGGCCGAGGTGGGCAGATCCCTTGAGCTCAGGAGTTCGAGACCAGCTTTGGCAACATGGTGAAACCCCTGTCTGTACAAAAAATACCAAAAAATAGCTTGGTGTGCTGGCACATGCCTATAGTCTCAGCTACTCGGGAGGCTGAGGTAAGGGGATTGCTTGAGCCTTGGAGGTTGAGGCTGGAGCCAAGATTGTGGCAGAGTGAGACCTTGTGTCAATAAAAAGGAAAGGAAAGGAGAGGGGAGGAGAGGGGAGGAGAGGGGAGAGGAGGAGAGGGGAGGGGAGGGAAGGGGAAGGGAGGGGAGGAGGGGGAGGGCAGGGGAGCAGGGAAGGAGAAGGAAGGGGAAGGGAGGGGAGGAGAAGGGAGGGGAGGGGAGGGACCTAAGGAGGCATGTCACCTGAATGTCACGTGGAGTCCTGAGTAGAATCGTGGAACAGGAAGACGACATTAGGGAAAAACTAAGGGAATCTGAATAAAAGGTGGATTTAATATGTCAAAAATGGTGCTATAATGGTGACAAATGTACCATATGCTGTGAGGGGAGGGGAGGGGAGGGGAGGGGAGTAGGAAGGATTCTTAGCTCAAGAACTGAATAGGCCAAGCATAGATCTGGGCGCAGCAGTCTCCAGGGCTCTTCGGGCCCCACGTCTGTCTGTTTCTACGAATGCCTCTCCCAGCGGCCCTTTCCTCCCTGGGTTCTGTCCTGGAGTGACTCTCCAGCTGTGTGCCTGTCCGCTCAACAACTTCCATAGACAGGAAGCACTCCCTCCAGAAGCTCAGGGCTGTGTTGAGAGACTCACAGAGGCCAAGCAGCAGCTTACACAGGACACAGTGACAAGAGGACACAGTGACAATGAGACACAGGACACAGGACACAGTGACGACAGGACACAGTGACAACAGGGCACAGGACACAGAGATGATGGGACACAGGACACAGGGATGACGGGACACAGGACACAGTGGATCACAGGGGCCAGACATGAAACAGGGAACTCAGAAGGAACCCACAGAGATGACGAAGGACCCAGGAGGCCCCTGAAGGAGCTCTCAACGGCCTAGGCTGGGACAATTGGAGCCACAAAATAAAACAGTACTGGGTTATGACCCAAAGCAGAAAACAAATGTCCTTGAGTCTGTGGGGATACAGATCAATGACTGGATAAACACCTGAAGAGGGGAGAGGAGGTGAATCTCCCGCAGAAGAATTCCACCTAATGTATGCAGAAACACCTCCCTCAAGGAGGAGCAGCAGAACTCCCAGCTCGGGAGCGTGGGCTGCACTGACAGACGCATCCCAAGAGGACAGCACAGGGGCAGGCCAGGGGGAGGAGCTCCGTTTTTATTTTCAGGGGAAACCCTATGAACATGATCTCCGCCAGGTGGTCAAGGCCAGAATCAACAGGGATAAGTGGCGTTGATGGCACGGACCCTTGACCTTGATGTGATGAAATGGCCTCCCATAACCCCAGTCTAACCATGAGAACATCAGACAAATCCCAACTGAGGGACATCTTACAAAGCACTCGGCCACTTATCCTCAAAACTGTCACATTCAAACTGTCACCGTCGAGAGGAGCCTAGGGAGGCATGTCACCTGAATGTCACGTGGGGTCCTGAGTGGAATCGTGGAACAGGAAGAGGACATTAGGGAAAAACTAAGGGAATGTGAATAAAGTGTGGACTTAAGGTGTCAATAACGGTGCCGTAATGGTGACAGCTGTACCACATGCTGCGAGATGTTCGCAATCAGGGAGGTCATGTGAGAGGTACGGAACGCTCTGTACTAGCTTCACAATGATTCTGTGCCTCTAGAGCCGTCCTAAAAGAAAACGTTTATTTAACAGTATCAATTTTTTTTAAAGAGGGGGCCAGTTGGGGCCGAAAAGGAATGTTGGATACTCAAGAAATATGGATCTATTAAACCTCACATCAAAATACATTCTGAATTCCAGATGGATGTAAGATCCAAACATATATATTTTTAGCCCAGGCGCAGTGGCTCACGCTTATAATCCCAGCACTTTGGGAGGCTGAGGCAGGTGGATGGCTTGAGCCCAAGAATTCGAGACCAGCCTAGGCAACACGATAAGATTCTGTCTCTACCAAAAAATAAAAAATAATGCTAATAATTAGCCAGGCATGGTGGTGTGTGACTATTGTCCCAGCTACTTGGGAGGCTGAGGTGGGAGGATCACTTGAGACCAGGAGGTGGAGGGTGCAGTGAGCCGAGATCACACCACTGCACTCCAGCCTGGGCGACAGAGTGAGACCCTGACCCTATCTCTTTCTTTCTGTCTCTTCTCTCTCTCTCTGCAGATACATAGATAGATAGATAGATAGATAGATAGATAGATAGATAGATAGACAGACAGACAGAGACACACACACATATATGGAGATATATATATAAATAATATATTATATGTTTATATATAAATATATTTATTTATATATATATTATATATATAATATATATATTATATATATATAATATATATATAATATATATATATTATATATATATAATATATATATATGAAATCATGAAGGCTTCATGGCAGGAAAATAGGGTCTGGAGGCAGGGAACAGAAGGCCGATTCACACTTCAGCTATGACAGGAAACACCCTCTCCATAGGGCATACGCCTTAAATGACTGTGTAACTTTACTTTGATCTCTCCATTTACATCAGGAATACCCAAAGTAACCAGTGCAATCCTCTAGGGGGTATTTAAACTCCCAAAAATTCTGTAACTTGGCCCTTGAGCCCCTACGCTCAGGCCTGCCCCCACACTGTGGAGGGTTCTTCCGTTTTCAGTAAATCCCTTCCTTCCTTCCCTGCTTTGTTTGTGCGTTTTGTCCACTTCTTTGTTCAAGACACCAAGAACCTGGACACCTTCTACCGGTAATAAAGGTACTAAAGAGAAAATGGAGGTAAATACTTATATAATCTTAAAATAAAGAAGCTGGCTGGGCACAGTGGCTCACGCCTATAATCCCAACACTTTGGGAGGCTGCAGCAGAAGGATCACTTGAGCCCAGGAGTTTGAGAGCAGCCTGGGCAACATAATGAGACCGTGTCTCTACAAAAATAAAATAAAATAAAAATAAAGAAGTTCTTTCTACATATCACTCCAAAGACAAAAACCACAAAAGATAGCTTTAACTACAGAAAATACAATACTATACATATGGCCAATAAGAAAAATAAGATAGACACTAATAAAAATAGCAAATAATTATCTCATACTCGCTGTATTCCAGGCCCTGTTATAAGTACTGTATTAACTCATTTAATTCCCACAACAAACCTACAAGGTACTGCAAAGGCTCTGGTAGGTGAAGCAATGCACCCAAAGCTACAGAGCTAGGAAGCGGTGGGGCAGTGTGGCTACGCCTGTGCCCTGAACCACAAAAGTAACAGGCACACGGCTGACTGGGGAAAACGTGAGAACATTTTGTGAACCATATCCGAAAAGCAAAGATTATATCTTTATGACGGTAATATATATATGCACTCTTACCAATAAGAAAAAGACAAACATCTCAGTAGAAAAACAGGCAAAGGAAGTCATTCGCAAAGGCAATCCACAAAGGAAGTCATTCAGTCAATGCTTGTAAAAAAAAAAAAAAAAAAGTTCAACCTCAACAGTTAACAAAGAGATGCAAATTAAAACGGACATCTTCCCACCCCATCAAGCTGACTCATGCCAAAGAAATCAGTCTCCGGTCGCCAGTCTACGTAAAGCGAGCCTGGCACGTTGGGTTCTTAGGGAGGTACCACAGGATGTTTACGAGGGGCTTGCCTCGGCATCGGTGGAAGGAGGAGAGAGAAGCAGGATTGGACGAGGGAGAAGGCAAACTTCCATGCAGACCCAGTGATAGCCCCAAAGACCAAACAGTAGCCTCCAAGCTAGAGTGGCCCCGGGAGACCTTCCTGACTCGGGCAGAGGTGGTCCCCACATTGAGGAGTCGTTGAATGCAGTTGCCCAGGAAGAGTCCCGGCTTTGGACAGGGTGGCTCTTTGCAGCTGAACAGTCTCTGAAGGGACTGAGAGTTGAAGGCACCCCAAGCAGCTGGGGTAACAAGTCCTTCCCGGAAGGGGGATCTAGGTGGCTCATCACAGTGAAGACATACAAAAATGTTTATTAAAAGCCAGAGGCATGGTGGCTCATGCCTGTTATCCCAGCACTTTGGGAGGCTGAGGAAGGAGGATCAATTGAGCCCAGGAGTTCAAGACCAGCCTGGACAACATGGTGAAACCCTGTCTCTACAAAAGAAAAAAATTTAAAAATTAAAATTAAAATTAAAAGTCACTAACATTAAAGAAATGCAAATCAAAACTACAATGAGATACCAGCTCACATCCATTAAGATGTACCATAAAAAAAAAAAAAAAAACACAGAAAATAAGTGTTGGGGAAGATGAGGAGAAATTGGACCCCTTGTACACTGTTGGTGGGAATTACAGAGGTGCAGCTGCTGTAGAAACAATATGGGTGTAAGGATTAATACCGAGTGTCAGCCTGATTGGAATGAAGGATGGAAAGTATTGATCCTGGGTGTGTCTGTGAGGGTGTCGGCAAAGGAGATTAACTTTGAGTCAGGGGGTTGGTAGCGGCAGGCCCACCCTTAATCTGGGTGGGCACCATCTAATCAGCTGCCAGAGAGGCCAGAATATAAAGCAGGCAGAAGAATGTGAAAAGACTAGACTGGCCCAGCCTCCCAGCCTGCATCTTTCTGCTGTGCTGGATGCTTCCTGACCTCGAACATCGGAATCCAAGTTCCTCAGCTTTGGGACTCGGGCTGGCTTCCTTGCTCCTCAGCTTGAGACGGCCTATCGTGGGACCTTGTGATTGTGTGAGTTAATGCTCCTTAATAAACTATCCCATATATATATATATGTCCCATATATATATATAAACTATATATGTATATATAACTATATATGTATATATACAAACATATATGTATATGTATATATAACTATATGTGTATATAAACTATATATAAACTATATATATGTCCCATATACATACATATAAACTATCCTATATATATATCCCATATATATATCCTATATATATCCTATATATATATCCTCTATATATATCTTCTATATATATCCTCTCTATATATATCCTCTATATATATCCTCTATATATATCCTCTATATATATATATCCTCTATATACATATCCTCTATATATATATATCCTCTATATACATATCCTCTATATATATATATCCTCTATATACATATCCTCTATATATATATCTCCTCTATATATATCCTCTATATATATATCCTCTATATATATATCCTCTATATATATATATCCTCTATATATATATCCTCTATATATATATCCTCTATATATATATATCCTGTATATATATATATCCTTTATATATATCCTCTCTCTATATATATATCCTCTATATATATATCCTCTATATATATATATATCCTCTATATATATATATCCTCTATATATATATCCTCTATATATATATCCTCTATATATATATCCTCTATATATCCTCTACATATATCCTATATATTCTATATATATATCCTACATATATCCTATATATATATCCTACATATATCTCCTACATATCTCCTATATATATATCTCCTATCTATATATATCTCCTATTTTATGTCCTATATATATATCTCCTATCTATATGTCCTATATATATATATCTCCTATCCATATATATCCTGTATATATCTCCTATCCATATATATCCTGTATATATCTCCTATCCATATATATCCTGTATATATCTCCTATCCATATACCCTGTATATCTGCTATCCATATATACCCTATATATATCCTCTACATATATACCCTATATATATGTCCTCTACATATATACCCTATATATATGTCCTCTACATATATACCCTATATATATGTCCTCTACATATATACCCTATATATATGTCCTCTATATATATACCCTATATATCTGTCCTATATATGTCCTATATATATCTGTCCTATATATATGTCCTATATATATCCTATATATATGTCCTATATATATATCCTATGTATATGTCCTATATATACCCTATATATGTGTCCTATATATACCCTATATATGTGTCCTATATATATACCCTATATATGTGTCCTATATATATACCCTATATATGTGTCCTATATATATACCCTATATATGTGTCCTATATATATACCCTATATATATGTCCTATATATATATCCTATATATATATGTCCTATATATATATCCTATATATATGTCCTATATATATATCCTATATATATGTCCTATATATATATCCTATATATATGTCCTATATATATCCTATATATATATGTCCTATATATATCCTATATATACATGTCCTATATATATATCCTATATATACATGTC
The DNA here is from genome assembly GCF_000001405.40 of Homo sapiens. Classification (NCBI taxonomy): domain Eukaryota; kingdom Metazoa; phylum Chordata; class Mammalia; order Primates; family Hominidae; genus Homo; species Homo sapiens. The sequence goes on from NC_000014.9 coordinate 101,725,051, forward strand.
CTATATATATCCTATATATACATGTCCTATATATATCCTATATATATGTCCTGTATATATATCCTATATATATATGTCCTATATATATCCTATATATATGTCCTATATATATCCTATATATGTCCTATATATATATCCTATATATATATGTCCTATATATATATCCTATATATATATGTCCTATATATATATCCTATATATATATGTCCTATATATATATCCTATATATATATGTCCTATATATATATGTCCTATTAGTTCTGTCCCTCTAGAGAACCCTGACTAATACAATAGGTATCCCTCCAAAAATTAAAAATAGAATTTCTATAAGATCCAGCAATTCCACTTCTGAGTATATACCCTAAAGAATTAAAAGCAGGCAGTCAAAGAGATATTTGCACACCCATGTTCATAACAACAGCATTAACAATAGCTAAAACATGGAAGCAGCCCAAAGTGTCTGTGGGTGGATGAGTGGATACGTGAAAAGTAGCCCATCCAGACAAAGGAATATCACTCAGGCTTAAAAAAGGACATGTGGCTCACAACAGTAATCCCAGCACTTTGGGAGGCTGAGGCAGGTAGATCATGAGGTCAGCAGTTTGAGACCAGCCTGGCCAACATGGTGAAACCCCATCTCTACTAAAAAAAAAATACAAAAGTTAGCCGGATATGGTGGCGGGCACCTGTAATCCCAGCTACTTGGGAGGCTGAGGCAGAAGAATCATTTGAACTCGGGAGGCGGAGGTTGCAGTGAGCCCCAAGATTGCGCCACCGCACTCCAGCCTGGCAACAGAGTGAGACTCCATCTCAAAAAAAAAAAAAAAAGAAGAAGAAGAACTTTATGCAATCTGCTACAGTATGGGCGAACTTGGGGACACTGTGTCACAAAAAGACAAATACTAGATGATTCCCCTTACATGAGGCACCCAGAGTAGTCAAAAATATAGAGACAGAAGGGAGAATGGTGGGGACCAGGAGCTGGGAGGGGCAATGGGGAGTTAGCATTTAACGGGTATGGAATTTCCACTTTGCAAGATGAAAAGAGTTAACGGAGATGGCTGGTGATGTTTGCACATTACAAACTGTAGGCTTAAAAAGGGTTACGATGGTAAATGTTTTGTTATGTATATTTTACCACAACAAAAAAAAAATTGAAAAAAAGCAGTCATTGTGATATGCAGCCTATTTCTGCAGACTCCCTGACAGGGGTCAAATGGGGGTTAAAAGGCCGGACATGGTGGCTCACGCCTGTAATCCCAACACTTTGGGAGGCTCAGGCAGGTGGATTGATTGAGCTCAAAAGTTTGCGATCAGCCTAAGTAACACAGCAAGACCCCGACTCACAAAAACATTTTTAAAATTAGCCAGGCATGATGGCGTGCACCTGTGATCCCAGATATTTGGAAGCTGAGTCGGGAGAATCACTGGAGCCAGGGAGGTCAAGGCTGCAGTGAGCCGTGATCGTGCCACGGCACTCCAGCCTGGGCAACAAAGCAAGACACTGTCTGAAAAAAAGAAAGGGCGTTAGAGCTCTGAGTAATTCTGACAAGATCTCCATGCCTCCCTCCCCCAACTCACACCCTCAGCTCTCACATCCCTCCCCCTGTCTGCTGTGGAGACCTCCAGGACCTATCCCATGGTGCCCTATACCCAGCTATCTGCTACAGGAACTGGCTTGCACCAGCTTGCAAGAGCCCATTGTTAAATGTTTAAATATTCCACAAGCCTGCTGTTAAACCACTGGTAGCTTGAAATGAGCCATGGTGGGAGTATTTACACCATGGAAAGTGTCAAAGGCTACACGTCAGGCCAAAGAGTGCGAGTGCACTCTAACAGCCTCAGGGCACAGCTGCAAACGCTGTTCTCCTCATTCGCCAAAGACCCAGGACACCCAGGTCGTCACTTCACCCCAGGTCGTACTTCACCCCAGGCCCTAACCCCTGTAAGGCCATTCTCACCTGCTAATCCAACCCCACCTCCAGGCCTCCTTACTCCCAAAACCCTCACTGTTTCCTCTGGAGCTTGAGACACGCCGGGAGCCACAGCTCCTCCTTCCCACAGCTTCTCTCCACCTGCTTGCTCTGACTGGAACCCGGGCCCCTGGAGCATCCTCCGTTGCAGTTACTTCCAGATCAACCCCCACCTTCCCCAAACCCGCCAGCCTTGAAGCTGGTGCCATCACACTATGCTCTGTGCCGCCTGTCCTGTCTGGTTCTCTGCAGACCCTAGTCCCCTCCGTCTTGTTCCTACGCGACTCCTACTCCCGGTTCACTGTCACTCTTGCTAAATCCCTGTCCTAATTCTTGGCGATTTAAATCTCCACGGAGATGATCCTCCTCCTTCCCTGACCTTTGCTCCTCCAATGATCTTGCCTTCTACCCGTGCTCGGCCACCTCTCCCACGCTCCTTCTCTAGATCCCTACGTGCCATCCAACAGAGTGGCCACAAACCCCTCAAAATGAGCCTGGTCCAAAGTGAGAGGCACTGTCTGTGTAAATCACATGCGAGGTTTCAAAGTCGTAGTGTGGGAAAAAATGTAAAATACTTCACTAATAATTCTGAATGTTGATTACATGTTGAGGTGACATTTGGGATGCATTTGGGTTAAATAGAATATAATTGTACCTTCTTTACCTCATGTCCCACTCCCCTTCTTCCCATGTGGACTCCATAGTCCATTGTGCCACCCCTCTCTCCTGTGCACCTTCAGCCCCCTCACCTTTCTCTCATTTCCTCATACTCGCCTGGGAAAAACCTCCAACCTGCTCAATTACAACACAGTGCCAGCACCTGTTAAGCTGAACGAGGTTGAAGGAAAACACGCAAAGATTCTGACCCTCCACTCAGGTTTTGGCTTCCCCCATTTCAGCAGCGCTCCACCACCACCACCAATTGTTGATTTGTCCTCCCTATTGGAGCCAACCCATCATCTCCCATTATAATAATTCATTCATTAAAAAAATTAAAACTTGATCTCTGATATGGTTTGGCTGTGTCCCCAACCACATCTCATCTTGAATTGTGGTTACCATAATTCCCACTTGTCATGGGAGGGACCCGGTGGGAGGTAATTGAATCATGGGGGTGGTTACCCCCATGCTACTGTTCTCATGATAGTGAGTGAGTTCCCACGAGATCTGATGGTTCAATAAGGGGCTTTCCCCCTTTTTGCTCGGTACTTCTCCTTGCTGCTGCCATATGAAGATATGAAGAAGGACATATTTGCTTCCCCTTCTGCCATGACTGTAAGTTTCCTGAGGCCTCCCCAGCCATGCTGAACTGTCAGTCAATTAAACCTCTTTCCTTTGTAAATTACCCAGTCTCGGGTATGTCTTTATTGGCAACGTGAGAACGGACTAATAAAATCTCTCTCTCCCTTTCTGCTCTCCTTTATAGCAAGACTCTTTGGAAGTATCCATCTGGGCCAGAGTGCAGTGGCATACTCACAGCTCACTGCAGCCTCGATCTCCTGAGCCCAAGCAATTCTCGCACCTCAGCCTCTTAGTAGCTGGGACTACAGGTGTGCACCACCACTCCCCGCTAATTTGTAAAAATTTTTTGTAGGCCGGGCGCAATGTCTCATCCCTGTAATTGCAGCACTTTGGGAGGCCGAGGTGGGCGGATCACCTGAGGTCAGGAGTTGGAGACCAGCCTGGCCAACATGGTGAAACCTTGTCTCTAGTAAAATACAAAAAATTAGCCAGGTGTGTTGGCGGGCACCTGTAATCCCAGCTACTCAGGAGGCTGAATGAAGAGAATTGCTTGAACCTGGGAGGTGGAGGTTGCAGTGAGCTGAGGTTGCACCACTGCACTCCACCCTGGGCTACAGAGCGAGACTCTGTCAAAAAAAAAAAAAATTAAAAAAAAAATTTGTAGAGACAGAGTCTTGCTATGTTTCCCAGGTTGCTCTGGAACTCTTGGCCTCAAGCAATCCCTACCTCAACTTCCCAAAGTGCTGAGCTTATAGGTGTGAGCCCCTGCACCCAGCTGGAAGTATCTATTCTTATTATCTTCAATTTTTCTCCTCCCATTTTCTCTTGAACCTTTTCAATCAGTATTTGCCTCCTACCACCACATTGAAGCCCTCCAGTGGCTTCCCTATTTCATTTGGGATAAAATCCAAAGTCTTGGCCAGGTGCGGTGGCTCATGCCTGTAATCCCAACACTTTGGGAGGCCAAGGTGGGCAGATCACTTAAGCTCAGGAGTTCAAGACCAGCCTGGGCAACATGGTGAAACCCCATCTCTACAAAAAGTACAAAAATTAGCCATGTGTAGGGGCGCATGGCTGTAATCCCAACTACTTGAGGTGCTGAGGCAGGAGGATTGCGTGAACTTGGGAGGTCGAGGCTGTAGTGAGCCAAGATCATGCCACTGCACTCCAGCATGGGTGACAGAGCGAGACCTTGTCTCAAAAAAGAAAAATAAAGCCAGAGTCTTCGCAGTGCCCACAAGACCCTACGTGACCTGATCTCCCATGACTCATTGCTCCTCGACAGCCACCACTCCGTTCCATGGAGTAGCCCAGGCCAACTGCTCTGCAGCCAAACTCAGGGAAACTTGGAGAACATGTGTGGACCAGAGGACCCCTTCCTCCTGGCTACCAAAAGAACCCCCAAATCCTGCAGCCCACCAGCTGTGTGCCCAGACACAATCTGGAGTAGAGGAGTAGACAGTGGCAGCCATCAGAAGCCCCACTGGCCAAACACTTCAGCCTCAGAATGCTGAGCTGCTCAAAGAACTGGTTAAATGTTTGTATTAGACCAAGGTTACTAGAATGGATGTTTCTCCCCATTGTATTACCCAGCAGAGAGTACCTTTCAAGAAAGATCAGATTAATTAAGTAGGAAAATGAAGACACTCTATTTTCTTTGCACATCTGATGTATTGTGAGTGATTTTGTGACCCTGCTACGTGCACGCATATGCACAGAAAAAAAATATCTTAGAATGTAGACCAAAATATTAACAGTGGTTATGGATGAGTGATGGATGAGTGAACTAACTATAGATTTGGAAGGATATTGTCTGTTTTAAAAGAAAATGAACACTTTCACTCCCAAACAAGACGGAATGTAGAGACTGGATTTCCTCTCCTGCCTGAAAAAGTCAAAATAAATTGGACCAAATATATAAAACAAGAGTTCTCAAGACACTGGATGATATGGTTTTGCTATGTCCCCACCCAAATCTCATCTTGAATTGTAGCTCCCATAATTCCCATGTGTTGTGGGAGGGACCTGGTGGGAGATATTTGAATCATGGGGGTGGTTTCCCCCATACTGTTCTCGTGGTAGTGAACAAGTCTCACGAGATCTGATGGTTTTATAAGGGGTTTCCCTCTCCACTTGGTTCCATTCTCTCTTGTCCACCACCATATAAGATGTGCCTTTCACCTTCTGCCATGATTGTAAGGCTTCCCCAGGCCCGTGGAACTGTGAGTCCATTAAACCTATTAAACCTGTTTTTCCTTATAATTTACCCAGTCTCGGGTATGTCTTTATCAGCAGCATGAGGACAGACTAATACACTGGATATCAGGTAACTAGGCACAATGATTTCTGAGAATGTGGAAAATAAAGTGAGCCTGCAATTAACCCAGCTTCCTTTCTTGAGAGGGTTTCCAAGCTACAGTATGGACAAGGGTACCCAGGTGGGGCCTGGCAGGCTCTTCGAGTTGGGAAGACAGAGCTGAGAGTCCAGGGAGACTCTGGTCACAGGTAGGGGCAGGGGGGTGATGCTGAGAGCCCCTGGGGCATGCCTGCCCTCTACAAAGCTCGTGGTTGAATGCAGGGAGGTGGTCTGGGGGTGGACTTGGGCAATGGGGAGGCTGCATGGGTTAGAGCCAAGCTCTCCCCTCTTCCAGTCTGTCTGGGCCTCTGCAGCTCCCGGTAACTTTGCACTGATTCCAGAGACAGTGATTGCTCAGGTACCCAGGTCTGGGTGTAATTAAAAAAAAAACAAAACAACAACAACAACAACAACAACAACAAAAAACCAAACCTGGCTCTTGGTGCTTTCAGAGATGGCTCAGAGCAGGAATTCTCTAGCTTTGGGGTGCATCCTCAGAGGTGGGGGGGGGCTTGCTGAAAAGACAGGTGTATGGTCCCACCTCAGGCCTGCTGAACAGAAGCTCTGGAGCAGGCTCAGGAGTTTCTTTTCTAACAGGCTCCCCGAGAGATCCTAGCAAATGTTTGCACAACACTCACTTGGAAGCTATGTGACCAAAACCATGATCACAGGGTTGTCCCTGAACACGGTGGGGAAATAACCTCTCCCTTAAATCTCCCCTGCGTGGTGACTTAGGGGAGGAGCCGGAAGAGAGCAGTGCTTCACAATAAAAGGAAGAATTGCTTGAACGGAGGCGTTTCAGGCATGAGTCACAGGCCGGGTGTGGAAGAGGAAAGTGTGAAGCAAGGTAGGCTTCCCAGCACCCCTCCATGCACAGCAGGGGCTGGCCAGCCTCAGCCAGGCCAGATGGAGCCCTGGAGGGTGGGGCTGGCTGCCCAGCTAGAGTGTCTCCTTTTACTTCCAGCAGGAAAAAAAGGCCTCCTGTCAATAGCAGAATCATCTACGTTTTCCCTGCCTTCCTCACTTAAATGCTTTCGAGGAGTGGGAGGAAGAAATTGGAGGCTGGAATGAATACCCTTTGCCCTCCTCTGAAAGCAGCCTGGGAGGGGTGACGGGGTGTAGGAGCAGAGACTTCAAGTGGCCCCCACCTGCCAAACCATTCTCAGGGACAGGTACCAGCTGGGATGTTGGCAGCAGCCGCTCCCCTGCAAGGAGAACCTCCCACTTCCTGTCCCGCACACCTGCCTCATTGGAAAGTGACGCACCCACTGTTTGGCCTCGGCAGCCTGATGTTTCTCATCACACAGGAAGACGGTCATGCTACAGGAAGACCTCGGACTTTGCATCCAGCAGATGTGAGTTCAAATTCCAGCTTTGTAATTTGCAAGCTCAGAGGTGGATTTGCTGGGAAGCTAAACAAGCTTACCTGCAGAGCCCCCAGCTTGCATGGGCCCCTCCCAAGACCTTAACCTCATTTTGTATTCATAATTTTGTAGTCTTTTCCCTTCAAAAGGCAGCCCAAATTTAAAAGCATTAAGCCCCACAAGACCTGAGTCCACCTAGGAGGTGGGAGATATCCCTTGCAGCATGAGAATAATAATTACCACCTCGTAGGGTTGTTCTAGAGATTGTCAGACCGAGACCACGCCACACACCCAGAAGGCACCCAAGTCACAGAGCCTGATATTGTTCCTGGAGCGCCATTGCATCATCCTTGACCACAAGATCTGCGTCATTGGATTTGTCTCAAAAACTTGGGACTCTGGAGATAAAACCTCATTGCAAGGCTACCTTTGCCACTGTATCTTAGCAGCTTTTGAAGCAAAGCATTTCAATATTTAGACACTGTGTTTCTAATGGGTACTGGGATCAAAATAATAAAAACTCAGTCTGCAAAGGGAGAAGAATAGAAACCAGCAGATTTATTATTTCACAGAATGTTCCTCTCCTCTCAGGTAAACATGCCTAATAATATCTGCTTAACTAATGAGCACCCGCATTGTCAGTGGGGCCTTGACTCTGACGACGTAATGCATTTCTGTGCCATTGCACCCCCCACCCATCTCGGAGAGCATCTGAAAATTAAGTGGGGC